>NC_000024.10:20628230-20998667 GCF_000001405.40 Homo sapiens
AGGCATGGGCAAGGACTTCATGTCTAAAACACCAAAAGCAATGGCAACAAAAGACAAAATTGACGAATGGGATCTAATTAAACTAAAGAGCTTCTGCACAGCAAAAGAAACTGCCATCAGAGTGAACAGGCAACCTATAAAATGGGAGAAAATTTTTGCAACCTACTCAGCTGACAAAGGGCTAATATCCAGAATCTACAATGAACTCAAACAAATTTACAAGGAAAAAAACAACCCCATCAAAAAGTGGATGAAGGATATGAACAGACACTTCTCAAAAGAAGACATTTATGCAGGCAAAAAACACATGAAAAAATGCTCACCATCACTGGCCATCAGAGAAATGCAAATCAAAACCACAATGAGATACCATCTCACACCAGTTAGAATGGCAATCATTAAAAAGTCAGGAAACGAGGTGCTGGAGAGGATGTGCAGAAATAGGAACACTTTTACACTGTTGGTGGGACTGTAAACTAGTTCAGCCATTGTGGAAGTCAGTGTGGCGATTCCTCAGGGATCTAGAACTAGAAATACCATTTGATTCAGCCATCCTATTACTGGGTATATACCCAAAGGACTATAAATCATGCTGCTATAAAGACACATGCACACATATGTTTATTGCGGCACTATTCACAATAGCAAAGACTTGGAACCAACCCAAATGTCCAACAATGATAGACTGGATTAAGAAAATGTGGCACATATACACCATGGAATACTATGCAGCCATAAAAAATGATGAGTTCATGTCCTTTGTAGGGACATGGATGAAATTGGAAATCATCATTCTCAGTAAACTATCGCAAGAACAAAAAACCAAAGACTGCATATTCTCACTCATAGGTGGGAATTGAACAATGAGAACACATGGACACAAGAAGGGGAACATCACACTCTGGGGACTGTTGTGGGGTGGGAAGAGGGGGGAGGGATAGCTTTAGGGGATATACCTAATGCTAAATTATGAGTTAATGCATGCAGCACACCAGCATGGCACATGTATACATATGTAACTAACCTGCACATTGTGCACATGTAACCTAAAACTTAAAGTATAATTAAAAAACAAAAGAATGTCTTTGGCCATTTTGGATTTTATGTGGTTTTATATAACTTATAGAATTCTTTTTTCTATTTCTGTGAAAAGTAATATCGTTGCATTGATACTCCTAATCCATAAATATGGAACATTTTCCATCTTTTTGGTGCCCTTTTAAATTTCTTTTATTAATGTTTCATAGTTTTTATTATAGCTATCTTTCACCTCTTTAGTTAATTCCTAAGAGTTTAATTTTATGTTTCGCTTTTGTAAATGAAATTACTTTTTTGTTGCTTTTTCAGATTTATTGGAGTTGGCGTATAGAAATGCTACAGATTTTTGTATGTTGATTTTGTATCCTGCAATTTTACTAAATTTATCAGTTCTAATAATCTTTTGTGAAATCTTAAGATGTTCAAAATGTTCAATTTTATCAACTGCAAACCATGATAATTTGATTTCTTTATTCCCAATGTAATGTGATTTGTATCTTTCTCTTGTCTGATTGCTCTAGCTAGGGTTTTCGGAACTGTGCTTAATAATAGTGGTGACAGTGAGCATCCTTATTGTGTTCCAGATCTTAAACGAAAGTCTCGTCATTTTTTCCCCATTCAGCATACTAGCTGCATGTCTGGCATATATGACTTTTATTATGTTGAGCTATGTTTCTTCTAACTCAATTTTTTCAGGATTATTATAATAAAGAAATATTAAATGTTATCACCTGATTTTTCAGCATCAATTGAAATGATCATATGATTTACATTTTTCATTTGTTGACATGATGTAGTACACTGATTTGCACATGTTGAGCCATCCATTCATCCCTAGAATAAATCCCACTTGGTCATGATGAATGATTTCTCTAATGTGTTTTTGAGTTATGTTTGCCAATATTTTGTTGAGGATTTTTGCATCAATATTTATCAGAGATATTGGCCTGTGTTTTTCTATGGTTTTGATGTGTCTCATGTTTTGAAATCGGGTTAATGTAGGCCTTGCAGAATGAGGTTACAAGTATTCTGTCTTCCACTATATTTCAGAATAGTTTTGCATAAGATCAGTATTCTTCTTTTAATGTTCAGTAGAATTCAGCGGACAAGCCATGAAGTCCCAGGTTTTTCTTACTGAGAGACATTTTATTATGATTCTAATTTCATTACTTGTTATTGGTCTATTCAGGTTTTGGATTTCTTCCTAGTTTAATTTTGGTAGGTTGTTTGTATCGGAATGTGTTCATTTCCTCCAGATTTTCTTAATTGTTGGCATATACTCTTCATAGTAGCCAAGAATAATCCCTCAAATTTATGTGGTATCAGTTGTAATGTCTGCTTTTTCATTTATAATTTTACTTATTTAAATCATCTCTCTTTTTTAGTCTTTCTAAAGGTGTCAGTTTTGTTTAACTTTTCAAAAATATCGATTTTTGTTTAATTGATCTTTTGAATTTTTTTAACTTCAATTTTGTATATTTCTGCTCTGATCTTTATTTTTTTTTTCTAGTTTTGGGTTTGGTTTGCTCTTGTTTTCTAGTCCTTAAGACGCATTGTTAGACTGTTTATTTGAAATTTTCCCCTTTTTTGATATAGGCACTTACAAACTTTCTTTTTAGTACTGCTTTTTTGTATCTCATAGACACATTATGTTTCCATTATCATTTGTTTGAAGAAAATTTTTAATTTTCTATTTCTTCATTTACCGTCCTGTTATTTAGGATCATCTTGTTTAAGTTCCCTGTATTCATTAATTTCCATTAACTTCCAAGCTTTCTCTTGTTATTAATTTCTAGTTTTATTTAATTGTGGTCAGAGAAGATGTTTGATATTATTTAAATTTTTGAATATTTTAAGCGTTTTATGGCTTAACATATGGTCTATCCTTGAGAATGATCCATATACTGAGGAAAAACAATGTGTATTCTGCAGATCTTGAATGAAATACTCTGCAAATATCTACTACATACATTTGGTCTATAGTGTAGATTAAGTCTGTTGTTTCTTATTTTCTGTCTGAAAGATCTGTCCATGGCTGAAAGCAGAGTGTTAAAGTCTCCAGCTATTATTATTGTACTGGGGTCTATCTTTGTCTTTACCTCTAATTATATTTCCTGTATATACATGGGTGTTCCAGTTTGGGGGGATATTTATTTAAAGTTGTTATGTCATCTCATATCAAAACCATCTCAGACTTTGTTTGTCTAGAAAAGTCTTTATTTCTCCCATTTGTTTGAAGGATATTTTCACCAGTTATACTATTCTAGGGTAACTTTTTTTCATCAGCATTTTAAATATATTATGCCACTCTCTCTTGGCCTCTGAGGTTTTCACTAAAAGTCTTCTGCTAGATGTGTTAGAACTCCTTTGCATGTTATTTGTTGTTTTTCTCCTGCTGCCTTTAGGATCATTTCTTTATCCCTGACCTTTGCAAGTTGGACTATTAAATGCCTTGAAGTAGCCTTCCTTGGATTAAATCTCTTGGGGTTCTATAACCTTCTTGTACTTAGATAGAGATATGTCTCTCTAGGTTTGGGAAGTTATCTGTTCTTATCCCTTTAAATAAACTTCCTACCTCTCTCTTTTTCCCCACCTTCTCTTTCAAGCCAATAACTCAGATATGCCATTTTTAGGCTATTTTATAGATCCTGTAGGCATGCTTTTTTTTTTCCTATTGTCTCTTTTGACTGTGTGTTTTCAAATAGCTGTCTTTAATCTTACTAATTCTTTCTTCTGCTTGATCCATTCTGCTATTAAAGGACTCTGAGGCATTTACCAGTAAGCCATTTGCTTTTATTATCTCAAGAATTTCTGCCTAATTATTTTAAATTATTTTAATATTTTTGTTAAATATATCTGATAGAATCTGCATTTATTCTCTGTGTTATCTCTAATTTCTTTGAGTTATCTTAACACAGCTGTTTTGAGTTCTCCATCTGACAGGTCACGTATCTCTGTTTCTCCAGGATTGGTCCTTGGTGCATTATTCTGTTCATTTAGTGAGGTCACGTTTCCCTACATATTGTTTATGCTAATAGATGCTCTTTGGTGTCTCAGCATTGAAGAGTTAGGTATTTATTGTAGTCTTCATTATCTGGGCTTATTAGCGATCCTTCTTGAGAAGATTTTCTAGATATCAGAAAAGACTTGAATGTTGCAGTTCAAGTTATTTCTGGTTTAGGGGACACTCCAAGCCCAGTGACACTCTGGTGCTTGCAGTGTTGTAGAGGTACCATTTTGGTGGTCTTGGACAGGAGCCAGGAGAACTCCCTGGATTACCAGGTAAATATGCTTGTTCTCCTCCCTCATTTGCTCACAAACATACAGTCTTTTTCTGTTTTTGTTGTGAGGCAGCTAAAGCTGAAAGTGTAGTGACACAAGTAGGCCTTTTGCCACCACCACTGTAAATGCTAAGTCAGATTTGAAGCCATCTCACTTCTAGGTCTCACACAAGGCCTCTGGTAACCACTCCCTGGTTACTCCCTTTGTTTGCTCCAGACCCTGAGGTGCTACAATTGACAGGTGGCAAAGCTAGCCAAAATTTTGTCCTTCTTTTCAGGGAAGCAATTTTTCTCAAGCCCCTCATGGGCTTAGAAGTGCCACACAAACAACAAAATGCAGTCCTTTCCACTCTCTGCTTTCCAAAGACTGTGGCCACTGTCACTCCAGATTATGAGGAATACTATCCGACTGAAACTGATGATTCCTTAAGGCCCAGTGTCAACTAAATCAGCTTATGATGAATGCTGTCTAGGCCGGTACTCACCTTTCAGGGCCATGGGTAACTTTCTGGCCCAGGGAAGGTTTACAGATACCATCCAACAATCAAATCCTAAAATTAGGGACTCTCCAGGCACCTGCCTGATGCTCTACCTTCCTGTGGTCATGCTGGTACCTACAGTGAAAGACAAAAATCCCTTTACTTTTCCATCACTTTCCTTGAGCAGAAAGTTGTTTTGCCTCTTAGCCACAGCAACTGGTAATGTGCTGAGTTTCACCTGAAGTCAGCAAGTCTCTGAGCTTCATCCAAGACCCTCAATGTAATATCTGGGTGTCACTGCTGGTTATTCAGGGGCCAAGGGCTCTTCAGTCAGCAGTTGGTGAATGCTGCCAAGCCTGAGACTTTTCCTTCAAGGCAGCAAGTTTCCTTCTGGTCCATGGTGTGTCTAGAAATGTCATCTGGATTTTAGGGCTTGAAATAGGGGCCTCACAACACAAACCAGTGCCAGGTTCTGCTGTGGCTGACGTGGTACGCTAGATGAAAAACAAACTTATTCCCATTACTTTCTCTCCTCTCCTCAATAAGAAGAAAGGAGACTCTTTTGGAGTCATAAGGTATTTGGCCTGAAGTTAGGTGAGGAGTAATGCCAGCATTCCCTTGTCTTTCCCAGCTAATTTCTCAGTATGCCATGTGCCCCCTCAGGCTACTGTCTTTGGCCTAGTTCAGCACTAGAATTCACTAATAGTTGCAGTTCTTGTGGCCTAAACTGTCTCTTAAGTTTAGTTAGAGACACAGAGTACTGTAGCAAATTTAGATCACTGCATTCAGTAATACCTATCTGGCTAGGGCTTATTTAAGTATTCCCTCCAAGGCAGGATCCTGGCTGAGTTTGTTCTGGTTTTCCTTTCTGCTCTAAAAGGACAGCACTGAGTTCAATGCCTCAAAATTATTGTTCTCCCTTTCCTAGTGCCCAGAGATACTCTCCACACCATACCACTGATTAGGATGGTGGGGAAGAGGCGGCATCAGTAATTCAGGACTTTTATTTTCCTATCTCATCAGTGCTTCTTTCAGTTATATGAAGTTATAAACAGATACTATGAGTCCTAACCTGATTTTTGGTTCTTACGGTGTTTTTTCTGTGTAGATAGTTATTAAATTGGTGTCTTGGGGGGGGAACAATCAGTGGAACTTTCTATTCTGACACTTTGCTTCACCTCCCCCATTTTTAATACCTTTTTTAAAAAAACTGTTTAAATTCTCTGTATTTTTTTATGTATAAATTTGCTTTTCTCTTTTCTCTAAAACCTGATAAGGGCTTGGTTACTTGGCATAGACAAAGTTTGGGCAGAGATAAAATTTAATACAACTCTTCTTTTGAAATATTGAGCTTTCATGACTAAAATGAGCCCTGTCTTACTGCTGAAATTTTAAAATTAAAGCTACAATTTGTATTTATATTTGTAGTGTTGTATATATTTGTGCACATGTCTGTGTTTATATATGTCTACATGATACCAAATTAACTTGTAAATAAATAAATACTGATAAATTAAGTAAATAAATCCAAATGTTTTTTAACTTTATGTGACTCTGGTAATCTTTGATAATAAAAGCCCATTTTAAAATTGTTAGTAAAATAAAATGTCTTTAGAATGTTGAGCTTTTTGCCCATATCTATTTTTCAGAAAGGTTTATACTTTCTCTGACAGATATTTTGGTAAGGTAATAAACCGTGCTTCTGTGATGCTTCTGGTATAAAATTAAGAGGCATGTTGGTGAAGTTTTTGGTTTTGAGCCTTATGGTGAGGCTTGGGGACACTGTGTTTTTGCAGTGCCTGGATTACCAGATACAAAGCAAATCCAATCACAATATAGCCCAATTCTTCATCTAGCCCTGCTTTTTGGCCATGCTGAGAGAAGTTGGGCTTTCTAGGCATTAACTTCACAGGTTTGTCCTCTATCTTGTCATCTTCAGTTGAATGACAATTAAAATTGCTTTCTAAGTGTTTTACTGAAAATTAAGCTTATTAAAAGTTAATATTGTAAATAATACAGGTAATTTAACCTATCAGATTTTTTTAAAAAAATTCTATATGCAGAGTACATAAGGTAAGTAGAATGTGTTTTTGGTAAAAAATCTTACAAAGAAGTCATTAGTGTGTGGTTTTGGTTGAATAAAACGTAATTTTCTTTAGCTTAGATATTATTTAAAGTTATTTTTAATTAAATTTTTATATTTCCATAGGTTATTGGGGAAGAGGTGGTGTTCGGTTACATGAGTATGTTCTTTAATGACTATTTATGCGATTTTGGTGCACCATCCCCTGACCCGTATACACTGCAGTCAATTTGTGATCTTTTATTCCTCATCCCTTCCCAGCCTTTCTTCCTGAGTCCCAAGTCCTTTGTGTTATTCTTATGCTTTTGCATTCTCATAGCTTATTTCCCACTTACAAGTGAGAACATATGATGTTTGGTTTTCCATTCTGGAGTTACTTCACTTAGAATAATAGTCTCCAATGTCATCCAGGCCACTGAGAATGTCATTAGTTTATTTCTTTTTATAGCTTAGTATTTGTATTCCATCATGTATACATACATATATGCACATACATACACACCACAGTGTCTTTATCTGCTTGTTGATTGATTGACATTTGTGTTGGTCCCACGTTTTTGCAATTGCAAATTGGGCTACTATAAACACACATGTGCAAGTATCTTTTTCATATAATGATGCCTTTCTCCTGGGTAAGTACCCCAGTAATGGAATTGCTGGATCAAATTGTAGTTCTACTTTTAGTTCTTTAAGTAATCTGCCCATTTTTTTCCATAGTGGTTGTATTAGTTTACATCTCCACTAGAATTGTAGAAGTGTTTCCTGTTCACCGCATCTACACCAACTTCTATAATTTTTTTATTTCTTTTATTATGGCCATTCTTGCAGAAGGAAGGTGGTAGGTAACACATTGCGTTTCCTGATCATTTCCCTGATCATTAGTGATGTTGACCATTTTTCATATGTTTGTTGGCCACTTGTATATCTTCTTTTGAGAATTTTATATTCATGTCCTTAGCCCAATTTTTGATAGAATTGTTTGATTTTTTCTTGCTAATTTGTTTGAGTTCCTTGTAGATTCTGGATATTACTCCTTTGACAGATGTATAGATTGTAAATATTTTCTCATATTCCATGGGTTGTCTGTTTACTCTGCTGATTGTCCCTTTTGCCATGCAAAAGTTATTTAGTTTAATTAAGTCATAGCTATTTATCTTTGTTTTTATGCATTTGCTTCTGGGTTATTGGTCATGAAATCCTTGTCAAAGCAAATGTCTAGAAGGGTTTCTCCAATGTTATCTTCTAGGATTTTTATAGTTTCAGGTCTTAGATTTAGGTCCTTGATACATCTTCAGGTGATTTTTGTATAAGGTGAGAGAAGAAAATCCAATTGTATTCTCCCATATATGGCCTGCCAATTATCCTAGCACCATTGGTTAAATAGGATCCTGTCCCTACTTTATGTTTTTGTTTGCTTTGTCGAAGATCAGTTGGCTCTAAGTATTTGGGTTTATCTCTGGGTTCTTTATTCTATTCCACTAGTCTATGTCCTATTTTTATGCCAATACCATCTTGTTTTGGTGACTGTGGCATGATAGTATAGTTAGAAATCAGCTAATGTGATGTCTGGAGATTCATTCTTTTTGCTTAGTCTTGCTTTGGATATGTGGGCTCTTTTTTGGTTTCATATGAATTAAAAAAATTTTTTTCTAACTCTGTGAAGAATGATGGTGGTGTTTTCATGAAAATTGCATTAAATTTGTAGATTGCTTTTGACAGTATGGTCATTTTTACAATATGATCCTAACCACTCATGAACATAGAATATGTTTTCATTTGTTTGTGTCATTTATAATTTATTTCAGCAGTTTTGTAGTTTTCCTTGTAGAAGTTTTTACCTCCTTGGTTAGGTATATTCCTAAGTATTTTATTTTTTGCAGCTATTGTAAAGGGGTTGAGTTCTTGATTTGTTTCTCTGCTTGGTCAATGCTGTTGTATAGAAGAGCTACTGAATTGTGTATATTAATTTTGTATCCAGAAACTTTGCTGAATTCATTTATCATCCTAGGAGCTTTCTTGAGGAATTTTTAGTGTTTTCTAGGTCAATAATCACATCATCAGCAAACAACAAGAGTTTGACTTCCTCTTTAATGATTTTGATGCCATTTACTTTTTCTCTTGTCAGATTGCTCTGGCTAGGACTTCCAGTGATATGTTGAAGAGGACGGTGAGAGTGGGCATTCTTGTCTGGTTCTAGGTCTCAGAGGAAATTCTTTCAACTTTTCTCCATTCAGTATTATGTTGGCTGTGGGTTTGTCACAGATGGCTTGTGTCACATTGAACTATGTCCTTTGTATGCCAGTTTTGCTGAGAGTTTTATTTATGAATAGATGCTGGATTTTGTTTAATGCTTTTTCTACATCCATTAACATAATCATGTGATTTTTTGTTTTTAATTCTGTTTATACAGTGTATCACATTTATTGTGTTCTGAATATTAAACCATCCTTGCCTCCCTGGTACAAAACCCACTTGATCATGATGAATTATCTTTTTCATATATTGTTGGATTTTTTTTGTTATTTTTATTTAGTATTTTGTTACTTTCATTTAGTATTTTGTTAAGGATTTTAGCATCTATGTTCATCAAGAGAATTGGTCTGTAGTTTTCTATTTTGGTTATATCCTTTCCTGGTTTTGATATTAGGGTGATAATGGCTTCATAGAATGAATTAGGGAGGGTTTCCTCTTTATCTTGTGTAATAATGTCACTAGGGATTGATACTAATTCTTCTTTTAATATCTGGTAGAATTCTCCTGCGAATCCATTTGGTATTGGACTTTTTTTGTGGGTAGTATTTTGAATTGCCATTTTATTCTTGTTGCATGTTATTGGTCTGTTCAGGGTACCTAATTCTTTCTGATTTTAGCTAGGAGGACTGTATGTTTCCAGGAATTTATATATCTTCTCTAGGTTTTCTAGTCTATGTCTGTAAAGCTGTTCACTGTAACCTTGAATGCTTTGTTTTGCTTTGTTTTTTGTATTTCCGTTTTGTCAATTGTAATTTTGTTTCTAATTGAGCTTATTTAGATTTTCTCTCATCTTTTCTTAGTTAATCTTCTTAATGGTCTACCAATTTTATTTGTCTTTTTGAAGAACCAGATTTTTTATCTTTTTTATTTTTATATTTCAATTTCATTTAGTTCTGCTCTGATACTGGTTATTTCCCTTCTTCTGCTGGGTTTGGATTTTGTTTGTTCTTATTACTCTAATTCCTTGAAGTGTGACCTCAGATTGTTTGTGGTGTTCTTTCAGACTTTTTGATGTAGGACATTTACGGCAAGGAACTTTTCTATTAGCACTGCCTTTGCTGTATCCCAGGGCTTTTGAGAGGTTGTGTCACCTATTGTCATTCAATTTGAAAAATTTTTAAACTTTGATCCTGACTTCATTATTGATGCAATAATCATTTAGAAGTAGGTTATTTAATTTTCATGTATCTGCATGGGATTGAAGAGTCTTTTGGAGTTGGCTTCTAGTTTTATTCCACTGTGGCCTGACAGAGTACTTGCTGTAATTTCAATTTTCTTAAATTTATTGAGCCACCTCTGGTGGCCTATTATATGATCTATCTTGGATACAGTTTCATGTGCTGTTGAATAGAATGTGTATTCTGTGGTTGCTGGGTAGAATGTTCTGTATATATCTGTTAAGCCCATTTGTTCCAGGGTATAATTTAAATGCATTGTTTCTTTCTTGACTTTCTGTCTTGATGGCATGTCTAGTGCTGTCAATAAGAGTATTGAAGTCCCCACTATTATTGTGTTGCTGTCTATCCCATTTCTTAGGTCTAGTAATAATTATTTTTAAATTTGAGAGTTCCAGTGTTAAGTAGATATATATGTAGGATGGAGATACTTTCTTGTTGGAGAAGGTTTTTATCATTATATAATGCCTCTCTGTGTAATTTTTTTTTCTTTTTCTTTTTTTTTTGGAGACAGAATCTTGGTCTGTCACCTAGGCTGGAGTGCAGTCGTGGGATCTCGGCTCACTGAAACCTCTGCATCCCAGGTTCACACCATTCTCCTGCCTCAGCCTCCCAAGTAGCTGGGACTACAGGTGCTCGCCACCACACCTGGCTGATTTTTTTTGTATTTTTTTAGGAGAGATGGGGTTTCACTGTGTTAGCTAGGTTGGTCTCAATCTGCTGACCTCATGAACTGCCTGCCTCAGACTCCCAAAGTGCTGGGATTACAAGTGTGAGCCACCATGCCTGGCATCTCTCTGTGTAATTTTTAACTGCTGTTGCTTTTAACTTTATCTGCTGTAATAATAGCTACTCCTGCTTGCTTTTGGTGTCCGTTTGCATGGAACGTCTTTTTCCACCCATTAACCTTAAGTTTATGTGAGTCCTTATGTGTTAGGTTAGTCTCTTGAAGGCAGCAGATATTTGGTTGGTAAGTTCTTATCCATTCTGCAGTTCTCTATCTTTTAACTAGAACATTTAGGCCATTTGCATTCAACATTAGTGTTGAGATGTGAGGTACCATTCCATTCATTATGCCATTTGTTGTGCATATACTTTTTTGTTTGTTTGTTTTAAATTGTATTTTTGTCATATAGGTCCTGTGAGATGTATGCTTGAAAGTGGTTCTGTTTTGATGTGTTTCCAGGATTTTTTTCCAGATTCAGAACTCCTTTTAGCAGTTCTTTCAGTGCTGGCTTGATAGTGGTGAATTCTCTCAGCAGATGTTTGTCTAAAAAAAGACTGTATCTTTCCTTCATTTATAAAGCTTAGTTTCACTGGATACAAAGTTCTTAGCTGAAATTATTTTATTTGAAGAAACTGAATATAGGGCCCCAATCCCTTCTAGCTTGTAGGGTTTCTGCTGAGAAATCTGCTGTTAATATGATAGGTTTTCCTTTATAGGTAACCTGGTGCTTTTGCTTCACAGCTTGTAAGATTCTTTCCTTCATATTAATTTTAGATAACCTGATGACAATGTTCCTAGGTAATAATCTATTTGTGTTGAATTTCCCAGTTGTTCTTTCAGCTTCTTGCATGTGGATGTCTATCTGTCTAGCAAGGCCAGGGAATTTTGTTTCTTTATTTCCCCAAATATGTTTTCCAAACTTTTAAATTCCTTTTCTTCTCCAAGAATGCCAATTATTCTTAGGTCTGTTTGTTTAACATAATCCCAGACGTCTTGGATGTTTTCTTTATATTGTCTTACTCTTTTTTCCTTATCTTTGTTGGATTGGGTTAATTTGAAGACCTTGTCTTTGAGCTCTGCAGTTATTTCTCCTGATTGATTGTATTACTGAGACTTTCCAGAGCATTTTGCATTTCTGTGTGTATATTTTTTCCTGATGTTTTGATCATCTTTTATTTATGCTATTTCACTGAATATTTCTCCCTTCACTTATTGTATCTTTTAAAAATTTTCTTAGATTGGACTTCACCTTTCTCTGGTGCCTCTCTGATTAACTGAATAACTTACCTTCTGAATTATTTTTCAGGTAAATCAGGGATGTCCTTTTGGTTTGGATCCATTTCTGGTGAACTAGTGTGATTTGGGTGTTAGAAAACTTTCTTTTGTCATATCATCAGAGTTGATTGGTTGCTTCTCATTTGGGGAGGCTCTGTCAGAGGGAAGGTCTAGGACTCAAGACTGTTGTTCAGATTCTTTTGTCCCATTGGGTGTTCCCTTGATGTAGTACTCTCCCACTTTTCCTAAGGACATGGCTTCCTGAGATCCGAGTTGATCATTATCTCTCTTCCACATCTGGGCATCCAGCAAGTGTCTACCAGGACTCTAGTGAACAGTCTGTGGGCCTGTCAGCCATGGATACCAGCAACTGCTCCAGTGGAGTTGGCAGGGGGGTAAAATGTACTCTGTGAGGGTTCTTGGCTTTGGTTGCTTAATGAATTTTTTTTTTTTTTTTTTTTTTTTTTTTTTTTGCTGGTTGGTCTCCTGCCATAAGGTGGTGCTTTCAAGAGAACATCAGCTGTGTAGTATTGGAAGAAACAGGCAGTGGGCATAGTTGTAGAACTCGCAAGAGTATATATCCTTTGCCTTCAGTTACCAGAGTGGGTAGGGAAAGACCATTAGATGGGGGCAGGACCAGGCTTGTCTGAACTCAGACTCAGGCAGGTCTCACTGCAACTACTATGTGATGGGGTTGAGATTCCCAGGTCAATGGATTTATATTGCTAGGAGGATTATGGCTGCCTCTACCCTGTCATCCAGGTATTCATGGAAGTGAGAAAAAGCCAGCAGTCATAGCCCTCAGCCAACTCCCACACAACCCAAAGGGCTGGTGTCACTCCCATCATGCCCCCTCCCACCACCCCGCCAACAGCACCAAGTCTTTTTCCAGGCTGGGGGCGAGCAAGGGTGAGAACTTGCCTCAGGCTCCCCACATCCCAGGTGCAAAAGCAAGTAGATTGTTCGTTTTTACCCTGCCTGTGGTGTTTGCAAACCAGATTAGTGCCCTCCCTCATTTCTGGCCAGGAGACTTCTTAATTGGTTCAAATTTTACAAAATTCAGCTGAAGGTTTTTGTATCCCTGTGGCCCATTCTCAGTGCCTCTGGGAACCATGTGAGGCAGGGCAGAAATGGCTTCCTAGGGGAACCAGCAAGCCCACATGGCTTTTTCCCACGGCTTTATCCTTGTATTTCGCATGACTCTCTACATTGACTCAGCTATAGGTAAGTCCAGAATGTTCTCCTATAATCTAGACCTTCAGTTTCCCCATTGGGGGTGTGTTTTTGGGGGTGGACAATCTCCCTTTCCCACTTCCACATTTGGGCACTCACAGTATTTGGATTGTTTCCCTAGTCCTGCAGGAGCAATGCTCTTCCTTGAGACAGTCTGTGGGTTCTCTTGGCTTTTCTAATGTATTCCTGCAGTCATTCCAGAGCAAAAGTTCATGTTGTAAGCCTCCACACACTACTCTGTCCATCCAACTGGGAGCTGCAATCTAGTCCTGCCTCCTGTTCACCATCAAGGAGATGCTTCTTTGAAGGATGTTTTAAATTAAATATATATATATTTTTTTTTTATTTGGAGTCTCACTCCGTTGCCTAGGCAGTGGCACGATCTCGGCTCACTGCAAGCTCCATCTCCTCAGTTCACACCATTCTCCTGCCTTAGCCTCCCAAGTAGCTGGGACTACAGGTGCCCACCACCATGCCTGGCTAATTTTTTGTATTTTTAGTAGAGACAGCGTTTCACCATGTTAGCCAGGATGGTCTCGATCTCCTGACCTCGTGATCCACCCGCCTCAGCCTCCCAGAGTGCTGGGATTACAGGAAATTAAAGAAATTTTTAAATGACACTAGATGAAATAGATATAGAAAGGCTGGGGGAAAAAAGAGATTGAAAACAGTTGTAAGAAGCTATAAAAGTTTATGGAAATTTTGGGTCCAAACTTACCAAGATTAGGTAAATATGTTTCTGAGATTTTATTTAGAATAGGTTTAGTATTAATAATACACAGATACAAAGACAAAATTTAGTTTTGTGTTTTAAAGATTTTTGTGTAGTGTTAATAAAATGTAGTAAAATAATTTTTTACCTTTGATTAGACTTCAAAAAAAAAAAAGAAAAAATCTTGATTCAGGCTGTCTTTGTTGTTCTGTGGATTATTTGAAAAACAGTATTGTCTTTATTAAAATAAAAGTTTTTTTGGTGTTTTTGAATCTTTCAGTCAACACTGTGCAAAATATATGATTCTGTATTAATCAAGTATTTTAAGCTTTTGATATGTCAGACTTCTCAAAATCAAATTTTAAATTTTAAATGAGGTTGTTACTTTTACCTAACATTTAGACAGTCTAAAAAGGTCCCCCATAAAGTCCAAGAGAGACATATTAGGATTATTTGGTAAGATAAAGTCATACAAATGCACAATCAAATATAATGTTTGACCTTTTTTCTTTACTTTTTTATAGCTATGTTATTAATATGTGTTCTAAAATGTAATGTTATATCTAAAATGTTATATATTGGTATAATTTATCAGTTTATGATTATTTTATTCAATTATTTTAAGCCACAGTGAGGAGAGAGGCCCTTTCTCCTACTGTCCCCTGTCTCCAAAGAACAGGAGAAAGTGAAAATTGAAAAATAGCGGCTGATCGGTGCCACTGGCCAGGCCTGTAGGTTAAAGATTAACGCCCACCCTAACTGCTTGTGCTATCTATACATAACAGACAATGGTATGGAGAAATACTTGCCCTGCTTCTCCCTACCGCTAACATATGTGGACATAGTCATGCACACCATGCTTGCTGAATCTATCATGACCCTTTCACGTGGACCCCTTAGAGTCGTAAGCCCTTAAAAGGGTGAGGAACTCTTTCTTCAGGGAGCTCAGTTCTTGAGATGCAAGTCCGCTAACACTCCCAGCCAAATAAAGCCTCTTCGTTCTTTAATCTGGTGTCTAAGGGTTTTGTCTGTGGCTCATCCTGCTACATTTCTCGGTTCCCTGACTGGGAAAGGAGGTGGTTGACAGATGGTCAAGGCAGCCCCTTAGGCAGCTTAAGCATGCCCTGTGGAGCATCCCTGTAAGGGACCCCAGTCAACTTGGGTGACGCGGATCCTACGAGCACTGCCAGGTAGGCATTTGCTCAGGTAAAACACCTCATTGGAGTGGTGCAAGGCAGGACCCCGCAGATGATCAGTGCAGCTGCTGAACACCGGGAAGGAACCTGACACTTGGAGTCCAGACATCTGGAACATGGTAGGACTAATCCTGGGAACTTGCCCATTCCATTTGAGTGGAAGCATGGCCTGATCACCCATGATGTGCCTTTATAGGCAGTTTGGTCTCAGTTTTTATTTTGATTTGGCTTGGCTTATTTGAAAAAAGGGAAAGTAAATGTGAATGAATGCTTGTGTTTGAGATGGACACCTGATGGACAGTGGTCACTGTCTAAAGTGAGTGTTGAGCCCCAAGCTGCAGTTCTGTAGGATACCTCATATGGCTAAGTGGTAGTTTGTGCTGGCACCTGGTACCAGTCTTTCTAAGCTAAGAGGATCTGAGATTCCCACGAGGGAAGTGACCAGTGATGGGAGAGTCGAGTGAGTGAA
This sequence comes from Homo sapiens, assembly GCF_000001405.40. NCBI lineage: Eukaryota > Metazoa > Chordata > Mammalia > Primates > Hominidae > Homo > Homo sapiens. The sequence goes on from NC_000024.10 coordinate 20,644,152, forward strand.
TGCTTTACCCTTTCCCTTCTTGTGGCATGAGAGTTGTTTTTCTCTCCAGGTGGAAGACGGGTGAGAGACAAAGTAAGCCCACTCCATTAGGAACTATGTTAAAGAATTTCAGGAAAGGTTTTAATGGAGATTATGGAGTTACTATGACCTCAGGAAAACTTAGGACGTTGTGGGAGATATATTGGCTAGCATTAGAAGTGGCTTGGCCAAGAGAAGGAAGCCTAGACAGGTCTCTTGTTTCAAAAGTACGGCACAAGGTAACAGGTATATCAGGACATATATCAGGACACCCAGACCAGCTTCTATACATAGATACCTGGTTACAGCTTGTATTAGCCCCCCACCAAGATGGTTGAGAGGACAGGCCGCAACAGTACTAGTAGCTACGGGACAGACAGCCAAGGAAGAATCCCACTCCACCAGCCAAGGAAAGTCAGCTCCTAAAGTCCTATCTGACAAGACATCAGAGGATTCATGGCAAGAAATAGCGCCAGTGACACTCACCTTTCATCAAGAAGGAAAGCTTCTCAATCCTAAGCCCAGTGTGCCTGAGCTTCCACAAGGCTTCATACACCTAAACCACCCAGAGTAGAGAAGGAAGGATGTGAGACCTTGGGAGAGACCCCCTCCCTTGGTAGCCTGTTTGAGGCCTAGAACTGGGACACAAATGCCCCTGAGAGAGCAACTGTATACTGAGGTAGACAAGGATGGTCATATGGTGGAAAGGCATGCCTTTGTTTACCAACCCTTCATCTCTGCTGATCTCAACTGGAAAAACAATACTCCATCCTATATTGAAAATCCTCAAGCTATAATTGATTTGCTCCAAACTATAATCAAGACCCACAACCCTACTTGGGTTGATTGCCACCAGTTGCTCATGTACCTCTTCCACACAGATGAAAGGAGGAGAGTGCTCCAAGCAGCAACTAATCACTTGGGGCAATTAGTTGGAGAACATGTTCTGGCTGATTACCAAAACCCCTAAGAGTACATACGGATCCAGTTACTAGAAAAAGACCCCCGGTGGGACTCAAATGAAAGACTGGGTATGCAAAGCCTAAACAGGTACAGGGAAGCCCTCTTGGAAGGGTTAAAGAAGAAAGTTCAGAATAACTCAAATGCTAACAAGGTCTCTGAAGTAATTCAGGGAAAAGAAGAAAGTCCAGCACAATTCTATGAGAGACTGTGTGAGGCCTATTGTATGTATACTCCCTTTGATCCTGATAGTCCTGAGAATCAGTGCATGATTAACATGATTTTAGTTAGTCAAAGCGCAAAAAACATTAGAAGGAAGCTGCAAAAAACAGGCTGGGTTTGCAGGTATGAATATACTTCACAGCTGTTGGAAATATGTTATCAGGTGTTTGTGAACAGAGATATGGTAAGCCATAGAGAGACTTGCAAAGAGAATGAGTGCCAGGCCAGACAGAATGCCGACTTGTTAGTTGTGGCTATGGTGAAGAAGGGGAGGTCCTGGAAAAAATACCCAGTCCAATCACCCATGCATGCAGTGTAACCAGTGTGCTTACTGTAAGGAAATAGGACATTGGAAGGACAAGAGCCCCCAGTTGAAAGGGGAACAAGGTGACTCTGAGCAGGGGGCCTCAGACAAGGATGAAGGAGTCTTGTTCAGTCTTGCAGAAGGGTTATTGGACTAAGGGGGACTGGGCTTAGGTGACCCCAACAAGCCCATTGTCAGGATGACAATCAGGGGCAAGGACATTGAGTTTCTTGTTGATACTGGTGCTGAACATTCAGTAGTAACCACCCCAGTCACCCCCTTATCCAAAAAGAATATTGATATAATCAGAACCACAGGGGTTTCCGCAAAGCAAGCTTTCTGTTTGCCCCAGTCCTGCAGTGTGGGTGGGGGTGGGGGGAGTGGGGCATGAGCTAATTCACCAGTTCCTGTACATGCCTGACTGCCCCTTGCCTTTACTTGGAAGGGACCTACTTAGCAAGCTGACAGCCACTATCTCTTTTACAAAGCACAGCTCTTTACAGCTAAAGTTACCTGGAATGGGAGTCATAGTGGCCCTTTCGCTTCCTTAGGAGGAAGGGAGACTCTACATAACTGAGCCAGGCCAAGAGATAGGACCAGCTGTGGCTAAGTGGTGGCCAAGGGTGTGGGTAGAAGACAACCTTCCAGGGTTGGCAATCAATCAGGCCCCTGTACTCATAGAAGTTGAGCCTGCGGCCCAGTTGGCCAGGCAAAAGTAGTACCCAGTCTCCAGAGAAGATCTTGAGGGCATCCAGGTCTATCTCAAGTGCCTAAAGGCCTTTGGAATTATAGTCCCTTGTCAGTCTCCATGGAACACTCCCCTCCTACTTGTTCCCAAGCCAGGGACCAAGTACTACAGGCCAGTACAGGATTTGCACTTGGTCAACCAAGCTACAGTGACTTTGCATCCAATGGTACCTAACCTGTACACATTGTTAGAATTCCTGCCAGCTGAGGACAACTTATTCACCTCCTTGGACCTGAAAGATGCTTTCTTTAGCATCAGACTAGCCCCTGAGGGCCCAAAACTGTTTGCCTTTCAGGGGGAGGATCCAGGGTCAGGTGTCATCACTCAGTACACTTGGACACGGCTCCCCCAAGGGTTCAAGTACTCCCCCACCATCTTTGGGGAGGCACTGGCTCAAGACCCCCAGAAGTTTCCTTCCAGAGACCTAGGCTGCGTGCTGCTCCAGTATGTCGATGACCGCCTGCTGGGACAACCCATGGCAGTCTGGTGCACCAAGGGAATATACCCTTCTCCAACACCTGGAGAACTGTGGGCATAAGGTATCCAAGAAGAAAGCTCAGCTCTCCAGACAGCAGGTACGTCAGCTGGGATTTACTATCTGACAAGGGGAGCACAGCCAGAAAGAAAGCAAGTCATTTGCAACCTGCTGGAGCCTAAGACCAGAATGCAGGTGAGAGAATTCTTAGGAGCAGTAGAATTCTGCAGGTTGTGGATCCCAAACTTTGCAGTATTGGCTAACCCCGTGTATGGAGTCACAAAGCGGGGTGAAAAGGAACATTTCAAATGGGGATCCCAACAGCAATGAGCTTCTCATTAGTTAAAAGAAAACCTCATGTCAGCCCCAGCCCTGGGGCTACCTGACCAGACAAAACCTTTTACACTATATGTGTCAGAGGGAGAATAAATGGCAGTTGGAGTTTTGACCCAGAGTATGGGGCCCTGGCCAAGGCTGATGGCCTAACTCTCTAAACAACTAAAGGGGGTTTCTAAGGGTTGGCCCCATATTTGAGGGCCTTGGCAGCAACAGCCCTGCTAGCAAAAGAAGTGGATAAGCTAACTCTTGGGCAAAATCTAAACATAAAGGCCCCCCATGCTGTGGTCACTTTAATGAATACCAAAAAACATCATTTGCTAATGAATGCTAGACTAACTAGATACCAAATCTCGCTCTGTGAGAATCCCTGCATAACCACTGAAGTTTGCAACACCCTGAACCCTGCTACCTTGTTTCCAGTATCAGAGCCCAGTTGAACATGACTGTGTAGAGGCGTTGGACTCAGTTTATTCTAGCAGACCTGACCTCTGAGACCATCTTTGGACAACAGTAGACTAGGAGCTGTGCATGGATGGGAGCAGCTTCATCATCCCACAAGGAGAGAGGTGTGCGGGATATGCAGTGGTAACCCGCACATTGAAATGCTGTCATTGAAGCCAAATCGTTGCCCCAGGGCACTTCAGCCCAGATGACCGAACTTACTGCTTTAATTCAGGCCTTAGAGCTAACTGATGGTAAGATTGTAAACATTTACACTGACTCTGGGCATGCCTTTTTAACTCTCCAAGTACATGGGGCATTATACAAGGAAAAAGGCCTGTTGAACACTGGGGGAAAATACATAAAAGATCAGCAAGAGATCCTGCAATTATTAGAGGCAGTGTGGAGACCCCGAAAGGTGGCAGTCATGCATTGCAGAGGACACCAGTGAGCTTCCACCTCGATTTCCCTGGGGAACTCCCAAGCTGACTCAGAGGCTTGAAAATCAGTATCCACCCCCTACTGGGCATCAGTCACAGCCCCCCTGCTCCCTCAGGCACCTGACATTGTACCTACTTATTCTAAAGAAGAGAAGGACTTTCTTCAGGCAGAAGGAGGGCAAGTGATAGAAGAGGGAGGGATTTGGTTATTGGGCAGAAGAATAGCCATGCCGCAAATGCTAGGAGCCGCAGTCATACTGGCTGTGCATGAGACCATCCACCTAGGACAAATGTCATTTGAAAAGTTGTTAGGCTGGTACTTCTACATCTTGCACCTGTCAGCCCTTGCGAAAACAGTGGTGCAGCAGTGTGTCACCTGCTGGCAACACAATGCTAGGCAAGGTCCAACAGCCCCTCCTGGCATACAGTCTTATGGAGCAGCCCCCTTTGAAGATCTCCAAGTAGACTTCACCGAGATGCCCAAACATGGAGGCAACAAGTATTTGCTAGTTCTAGTGTGTACATACTCTGGGTGGGTGGAGGCCTATCCAACACGGACTGAGAAAGCTTGTGAAGTAACCCGCATGCTTCCCCGAGATCTCATCACTAGGTTTGGACTGCCCTTATGAATCAGCTCAGACAATGGCCCAGTGTTTGTGGCTGACTTGGTATAGAAGACAGCAAAGCCATTGGGGATCACATGGAAACTGCACCTACCGACCACAAAGTTCTGGAAAGGTGGAGCGGATGAATCGCACTATCAAAAATAGTTTAGGGAAAGCGTGTCAAGAAACAAGATTAAAGTGGGTACAAGCTCTCCCTATGGTATTGTTTACAATTAGATGTACCCCTTCTAAAAGAATAGGATATTCCCCTTATGAAATATTATATCATAGCCTCCTTCCCATACTATGGGGACTCCCAGGCACTCCTCGAGAGCTAGGTGAAATTGAGTTACAGTGACAGCTACAGGCTTTAGGGAAAATTACACACAATTTCAGCCTGGGTAAATGGGAGGTGCCCCATCAGCTTATTCTCCCCAGTTCACCCTTTCTCCCCAGGTGATCAGGTGTGGATCAAGGATTGGAACATAGCCCCCTTGTGGCCACAGTGGAAAGGACCCCAGACCAACATCCTGACCACTCCCACAGCCATACAGCCTGGATCCACCACAGCTGCATAAAACCTGCAGCACCTGTCACCTGGAAGGTGAGACCAAGCCCAGATAATCCCTGCAAAGTGACTCTGAAGAAGATGACAAGCCCTGCTCCAGTCATATGTGGAAGCTGACTGGTCCATGCATGGCTGAAGCATGAGGAAACTCATCATGGGCCTCATTTTCCTTAAAATTTGGACTTGTACAGTAAGGACTTCAACTGATCTTCCTCGGACTGAGGACTTTTCCCAGTGTATACATCAAGTTACTGAGGTAGGGCAAAAGGTTAAAACAGTCTTTCTGTTCTATAGTTATTATGAATGTACTGGAACTCTAGAGAAGAACTTGTCTATATAATTCCACTCTATGAAAGTTATGTAGCCCAGGAAGTGACCAGCCTGATGTGTGCTATAACCCATCTGAGCCCCCTATGAATACAGTTTTTGAAGTAAGATTGAGGACTGGCAACTGGGGAAATGCTGATATGAGTACAGTAATAACTAGAACAGAAGAAAAAGAATTCCCAAACAAATTATCTTAAAATTTGATGCCTGCGCGGCAATCAACAGTGACTTGTATGGAAATAGAATAAGATGTGGCTCTCTAGATTGGGAAAGAGGTTATATAGTAGAAAATAAGCATGTTTGTCATGAATTAGGACTGTGTAGTGATGAATGTAGTTACTGGTCCTGTGTCATTTAGGCCACCTGGAAAAAAGATGAGAAGGACACTGTTCACCTTCAAAAAGGAAAGAGTAACTCTTCCTGTACTAGTGCTCACTGTAACCCATTAGAACTACTAATTGCCAATCCCCTCGATCTCTGTTGGAAAACAGGAGAGTATGTAACTCTAGGAATCAATGGAACTGGACTGGATCCCCAAGGAAATATTTTAGTCCAAGGGTACGTCCACAGGTGCTGTCCCAAACCAGTGTTTCAGACCTTTTATGATGAGCTGAATCTGCCAGCACCAGAGCTTCTGAAAAAGACAACTTATTTCCCCAGTTAGCAGAAAATGTAGCTCATTTCTTCAATGTTACTTCTTGTTGTGTATGTTGGGGAACCACTGTGGGAGACCAATGGCCTTGGGAAGCCTGAGAATTGGTGCCTACTGATCCAGTTCCTAACATAATTCCAGTCCAGAAAACCCAAACTAGCAACTTCCGGGTTTTGAAAACCTCAATTATTGGACAATACTGAATAGCTAGAGAAGGAAAAGACTTCGCCATCCCTGTAGGAAGGCTCAATTGTCTAGGACAGACGCTGTATAATAGCACAACAGGGACGGTCTCCTGGTGGGATGTAAACCATACTGAAAAGAATCCCATCAGTAAATTTGCTAAATTACAGACTGCTTAGGCCCCTCCAGAATCTCACTGAGACTGTACGGTTCCCACTGGACTATACTGGATATGTGTAGGTACAGAGCCTATACTCAGTTACCTGATCAATGTGCAGGTAGTTGTGTCATTGGCACCGTTAAGCCATCCTTTTTTTTTTTTTTTTTTTTTTTTTTTTACTGCCCATAAAAACAGGTGAGCTCCTAGGTTTCCCTGTCTGTCCCTCCTGGGAAAAGAGAAGCATAGCTATAGGAAATTGGAAAGATGATGAGTGGCCCCCCTGCCAAAGGATCATACAGTAGTATAGGCCTGCCACATAGGCACAGGACAGCTCATCGGGATACCAAACCCTCATCTACATGCTCAGCCAGATCATATGATTACAGGCCATCTTAGAAATAACCACTAATGAAATTGGCAGAGCTTTGACTCTTTTATCCTGGCAGGAAACCCACATGAGAAATGTCATCTATCAAAATAGATTGTCCTTAGACTATTTGCTCGCAGCCAAAGGAGTCATCTGTGGAAAATTCAACTTGCCTAATTGCTGTCTGCAAATAGATGATCAAGGACAAGTAGTTGAAAATATAGAGACATGACTAAACTGGCACATGTGCCCATGCAGGTTTGGCATAGGTTTGATCCTAGATTCCTGTTTGGAAAATGGTTTCCAGCTCTAGGAGGATTTAAAACTCTTGTAATAGGAATAATAATAGTGTTAGGAACCTGCATGTTACTCCCCTGTAAGTTACCCTTATTTCTGCAGTTACTAAGAAGCTTCATTACCACCTTAGTTCATCAAAAGACCTCAGCACAAGCATATTACATGAATCACTATCGATTTATCTCACAGGAAGATTTAGACAGTGAGGATGAGAATGAGAACTCCCACTAGTGAGTGAGGTTCTCAAAGCGGGGAATGAGGAGAGAAGCCATTTCTCCTACTGTCCCCTGTCTCCAAAGAAAAGAAAGAAGAAAAAACTGAAAAATAACAAACTGATCAGTGCCACTGGCCAGGCATGTAGGTTAAAGATTAACCCCCACCCTAACCACTTGTGCTATCTTCAGACTACAGACAATGGTGTGGGGAAATACTTGCCTTGCTTACCCCCACCGCTAATGTATGTGGACACAGTCATGTACCTCATGCTTGCTCAATCTATCATGACCCTTTCACATGGACCCCTTAGAGTTGTAAGCCCTTAAAAGGGCCAAGAACTTTTTCTTCAAGGAGCTTTGTTCTTGAGACGCAAGTCTGCCGGTGGTCCTGGCCAAATAAAGCCTCTTCCTTCTTTAACGCAGTGTCTGAGGAGCTTTGTCTGTGACTCATCCTGCTACAACAGAACAACTCAAATTTTCTGCGTCCTTAACCATGATGATCCTCAATCTTTTTATTTGACAAAACAATTATTTTATTTTGATTGTTCTCAAAAAGTGGTTATAATCAATCACACTTTAAAATTATATTATTTCCAAAAAATAAATTTGTATTTTATAAATTAAAATCAAAATATAAAAATTTTATATTGTTTCTGATAACTTTAGAGATTATATGATTAGAGTAGATAAAAACTTACAAAATGCTAAAAAAGAAATGCTGATATGTTCATACATGTTGCTAACACCAAGTAGAAAAAAATTAACTAAAGGGGATAAAACTGAGAAAATAGTCAAATAATTGTTGTAATTTTACTTTAAACTATTGCTGCTTTATTTTGTGTTTTTTGCCAAAGTTAAGAAAACCTTATTTCTTTTTATGCTATTTATAACTTGTAAAAATGATTAAAATATACTTTTATAAGACAAATTAAAGCTTTTGCCTTTATCTCTATCTAAAGTCTTCAAAATTCAAACACTATTTTATGAATCTTCTGATTTTATGAAAAGATAGTTATGTATATGAATTCAATAAAAAAGAGATCTGTACTTTCCTGGTAGCAGCACACAATTGGAGTCATTAGAAATTTTACCAAGGCATTGATTTAAAATGAATATTTTCAAATTTGACCAGACTGCTTCAAAAATGATTTGACTTTATGGAGATCATAAGAAGTCGTTTAAAAAGACTTGCCTTACTTCTAGTCTACACTGCTTATAGTTTTCCTGACCTTTTACCCAACAAGCTTGTTATAGACAACTTGATATAAACTTAAAAAGTTGGAGCTTATATATAAGCAAGTTTAAGGCCTCTTGAGTATAAATTACTCAAGGATCTCCAAGGAAGACTTGAACTATAACCCAAAAAGTTTGTCAAAATGCCATTTAAACTAAAAATGTTTCTGAGATTCTTAAAAACTAGTTTTTAGACTAATTAGTTCATTAGGGTTTTTATTGTTTTCATAAAAATAAATTTTATTCAAAATATTTTTATGGCCAGGCATGGTGGCTCACACCTGTAATCCTGGCACTTTGGGAGGCTGAGGTGGGTGAATCATGAGGTCAGGAGTTAGAGACCAACCCATCTCTACTAAAAGTACAAAAAATTATCTGCGGATAGTGGTGCTCACCTGTAGTCCTGGCTACTCAGGAGGCTGAGGCACAAAGATTGCTTGCACCCAGGAGGTGGAGGTTGCAGTGAGCCAAGATCACACCACTGCACTCCAACCCTGGTGACAGAGAGAGATTCCCTATATATACATGTATATATATTTACATCGATCATATAGTGAGTCTTAACTGTGAGAGACATTTTGCAATGCCATCTTTTGAAGTGAAATACATTTGTTTAATTTTACTGATATATTCTCAGGAATCAGAGATTAATTCAACAAGATATTAAATAAAATACATAATATTTATTCTTTTCTACTTATCACAATCTTTTCCCCCTTCTTTCTATGTCTCTTATCAAAACTTCTGACTTAAGCTTCTCAAACTCTGCTTTTAATATCTCAAATGTTCTAAATGTAAAAGTTTTATAGAGAGGACTGAAGGAAATCAAAATATTTTACTTTGAAATATTTTTATTTGATATATTTGAGATGGCTATGCAAAGGGCCTGCAAGGAGAAGAAATCCTCAAAGCTGTTTTTTTTTTTTTTTTTTTTAAAAAAGAGTCATATTTGCATAGAAAATTTACATTAATGCAGCCAGACTTAGAAATACTGAGTGACAAATTTAAAAAGCTGGAAAAAAAAATGTACTATTCTATCTGAGGACTGCCTTCTATGAGATTTAATCTATATAACAAGATAAAGTTTGCTAGCTAGGCCTTCTCTTCTCCTCTTTCTATAACTTAAGCATCTTTAGTTCTAGTTGCAATTTGACATAATTTTTTGGATTATAGTTTGCTCACTGTAACTTGTTTTTTCATGCTTCAAGCATCCATTTTTTCCTCTAAGCTCAATTAGTATAAAAGCATTAAAGATCTGGCTGTTTATTTGAATTTTTATGTTTTATATAATGCTCATACATGTTAATAAATTTATATACCCATTTATTTTTCAAAATGGCAGACAGGAGGTAGTGTTAGCATGCCTTTCACCCTTGAAAGAAAAAATAGAGGGTAGAAATTCACACTATGAATTGTTTTTTTCAAGTACCACTTTGAATCTTAATAGGAAAACTGAAAGAATCCACACAACCTTTAAAAGAAGTGGCGGCCGGGCGCGGTGGCTCACGCCTGTAATCCCAGCACTTTGGGAGGCCGAGGCGGGTGGATCATGAGGTCAGGAGATCGAGACCATCCTGGCTAACAAGGTGAAACCCCGTCTCTACTAAAAATACAAAAAATTAGCCGGGCGTAGTGGCGGGCGCCTGTAGTACCAGCTACTGGGGAGGCTGAGGCAGGAGAATGGCGTGAACCTGGGAAGCGGAGCTTGCAGTGAGCCGAGATTGCGCCACTGCAGTCCGCAGTCCGGCCTGGGCGACAGAGCGAGACTCCGTCTCAAAAAAAAAAAAAAAAAAAAAAAAAAAAAGAAGTGGCAAGCTGATTCCTACTCTATGAAGCAGGTAAAAAAATGTTTCCAGAGTGTTAAAGTTAGAAAGCCTGCATCTGAGCACACAACCCTAGGTAATCTGAACATCCAGATTACAGGAGAAGCCCTTAACCCTACCCAAAGAGATTTAGGGGGCCACATGAAATGTAAAAGTAGAAGCAGCAGCAGAAAGAACCTTGTACGCATTCCTAGTATCCAGCATGAGCTGAGGGAAGTCATCCATGACTACAACTCACAAGGGCCTTCATGAAAGTCAAACAATGAGATCAGGGAGTGTCACAGTGTGGAAGGAGCTCCCAAGTGAATTTTGTAATTCTCTAAATGGGGAGAAACTTCCTCGAACACAACTGGGGACAAGTGTGAGGATACTGTAGACAGGAGCACAGGAGCTGGGCAGCCAGCTTCACATGAAGACATAGAGGGTCATGGAATAGAAATCAAGGTTGTTATCTCTGCAGGGAAGCTTACAAAGTGGGGAAGATCTGAGTTGTGTGTGCAAGCTACCTGGATTTAAACAAGGTGCTGTTAATGGGGCACTGTTCAGGTGAGACCAGCTTTGTCAGGTTTTTGGGACCTGGGTGAGGCTTATAATTTCCTGCTACTCCCCACACCATTTGTGAACTTTACTGCCCAGCAGAGGCAGTTTTACTCCCTTCTGGAATATTACCTAGTGACCTGGATATTTTCTTCTGGAATATTACCTAGTGGAATATTACTTTCTGGAATATTACCTAGTGACCTGATAAACACAGTGGCCACAGCTGGCCCTGCCCAAGGAGAGTGTGAGCTCATACCTAACACTGACCCCACCTAATGGTATTTCTCTACCTACCCTGGTAGCTTAACACAAATAACATAAACTTTTAGGAGTTTTATGACCCCATCTATCACCTGAGAACCCAGAATACTTCTACAGAAAAACAAAGTAAGCACAAATCTTACTGCTACTACCACAGCTGGTGCTCTCTTTTATATGCCATCTCTTGGTGGGAGGCCAAACTGCTTAGGCCATTACAGCATCTCTCAGCAGAAGAGCACTGCTCCTAGGAGTGAGAAAATAGTTATGGGAATCTCAGCTAACACCACTGCCTACAAAAACCTGGCCAATGACAGGTCATAAGTGTGTACATGTTACAAGTTCATTACAATTAAAATCAGCATTCAAGAAAGCCATCACATTAAGTTTATATACAACTAAGGAATCAAATGGTGTATGTCATTCCCCTGCCACCTCTAAGGGAGCAGGCACTGGTATCTACTACTAGGAGACCTGAAGTCAGGTTGCATCACTAGATCCCTTCCAGACATTTCCCAGCACGAGCTTGAAGTTTGGCAGCCCATCTGGGTAGCTAGACTCAGAAGAGCAATAACAATAAATGCAGTGCAGCTCTCAGAAAGTTCCATTCACAGGAGAAGGAAGGATCGTGCACCATATCAAGGGAACACCCAGTGGGACAAAGGAATCTGGGTGGAAGGCCTTCCATCCATTATCTTTCCCACTGGTGGGAAGCTTCTTACAGCAAAGACATAATTGCAGTGCTAGTTAAAGCAGGGAAATTCTGTACCTCTACCCCAACAGGCAGGCAACCTCCGTGATTGTAAAGAGGCTTGGAGAAGAGGTCTGTTCCCACTCCCACCCCCTGCCACACCGTATACCTTTGCAGACAGAGCTGGGGCTTGTCTTATGGGATGCAGCATGAATTAATCTACAGGCAAACTTCCGGGAACAATTCAGGGTAATTGCATCCCCGCAGGAGGAGTGCTTCCCTGATTCAGACCCGCACAACAGGCAGAGTCACAATTTCTGTCTACTTGGAACATAAACGTTCCTATGGATGATAAGAGGTACCTGTTTGATCTGAAAAGCTAAAATATGGGACAGGAATGAGGCTGAGAGGCAGATAACTTTTCTCCTTGTCTGGCAGGGGTGCTAAAGTAGCTCTCCCCTTCACTTTGATAAATCCTCAGCACATCTAATTGAGAGCTCCCACAGCCACCTTCATCAAAGGTTGGAACCTCTACCCAACACTGGGTATTACATCTTCCTAGATCTACCCACATTAGCTACAACCAGTGTCTACCCAGGGTTACCTGCCCTATTGACTGAATCATCAACTCAGTAAATAAAATCCTGGGGGGAAATTAAATAAATAAATGAAATGTACACATTTTAGGGGGAAAATTAAATAAATAAGTGAAATGTATACCACTTGAGAATGAGCTAAGCTTCAAGAGATCCCTGCCATTCCAAAACCATAGAAGCCAGTGAACTCATCCACATACCAAGAACATTACTACTACAACCAGCATCTCAGAAAGCCAGCACAAAAGGACGCTCTATAAGTAAAAAAAACTCATACAGGGTCATCACCACTACAAGCACCAAGAACAAAATTAAGCTAAAATAAACTATAAACATCAAAGTCAGATTATTAGGAATAAGAAAAAATAATCAAGTAAAAAATAAATTCAAGAAAAACTTAAAAAAATAGTTTATCCATGTGAGAAGAAACAAGAAAGGTATTCTAATAATATGACAAAACAGGCTCTATAATTCTCTCCAGAGATTATACCAGCTCCCCAGCAGTAAATCTAAACCAAGATGAAACCTCTGAAATGCCAAAGAATTGAGAAGATTGATTATTATGATACTCGAGAAGATATCAGAGAAAAGTAAAAAACAACCAAAAATTTTAAAAATAGGATATGAATTTTTAAATTTCCAAAGAAATAGCTATAATAAGAAAAAAGGAATCAGAACAATCATAACTTCTCTGGAAATTAAAGACACACAGGGGAATACTAAACACTGTGGAAAGTTTCAATAATAGATAAGAACAAGTAGAGGAAAAGATTTTAGAGCTCAAAGGCAAGACTTTTAACCCAATGAAACAAAGACAAAATAAAAAGAATTCAAAAACTGAACACAGTCTCCAAGAAATATGGAATTATGTAAAACTGACAAACCTAAGATTAATTGATGTTCTTGAGGGAGAAGTCTAAAAGTTTTGAAAACTTAACTTGAGGCAAAAATTGAGAAAATTGTCTCTGGCCTTGCCAGACATCTAGACAGCCAAATGCAAGAAGCTCAAAGGATTCCTGGGAATTTTATTGTGGAAAGATCATCATCACCAAAGAACAGAGTCATCAGAATATCTAAAGTCAAAATGAATGAAATAATTGTGAGTTATATGTGAAACGGCAGGAGATCGGTCAGAGTGGTGGGAGAAATTTATAGGGAAAGGAGCAGGCCTTCTGAAAGGTCAGAAGCCTCTGCATAGCTTCAGGGGAGAATAGCTGAAGGCAGCTGTTCTCTATCTCTGAGGCAGACAGCAAGCGGTAGGTACAAGGAAGTGTAGGGGAATTTATCTTAAACAGGCTTATTCACTTATATTGACCAGGAACTGATGCTTGATCATCCAGGTGCATGACACTCCCTGAAAGGGGAACAATAAATATTAATTTCCCACAGATTGTGTTTGCTCCAGGCTCTCAGCATTATGCCTGCACTGAATAAAAGCAAGCAGCTCTAGCTTCTCGAGGCTACACTTTGGCCACTAGAGCTAGGCAGACCCCTACCGGATCTTACACTGCATACCTGTGTCTAAGTATTCCTTTTATCTGTCACTCGGCCAGGGTCTGCACAAAAAACATGGCAGGTAGTGTCCTTTGTGAGGAACACTGCAATGGATCACAACAGAACCCTCAAAAATGAAGGTGAAGTGGGCCGGGCGCAGTGGCTCACGCCTGTAATCCCAGCACTTTGGGAGGCCGAGGCTTGCAGATCACGAGGTCATGAGATCAAGGCCAGCCTGACCAACATAGTGAAACCCTGTCTCTACTAAAAATACAAACAATTAGCTGGGTGTGGTGGTGCGTGCCTGTAGTCCTAGCTACTTGGGCACTCTAGCCTGGGCAACAAGAGTGAAACTCCGTCTTAAAAAAAAAAAAGAAGGTGAAGTGACTGCACAGTAAGTAATTTGTGTCTGTTCAGCATTCCCAAGTTGAAGGGGATTTTCAAGCTAGGGTTTCACCATGGGACAACAGTTACCAGCTCAACAGCAACAGTATATAAAAGTATTGAAACAGCTACTTAAAGCAAGTGGAGCCTCGGTTTTGCAGGCTCGATTAAGGAAACTAATGCAAACTGTTGTTTGCCATAACCCCCATGGTTACCTAAAGAAGGCACATTAGACTTAGAGCTCTGGGACTAAGTGGGGAGAAACTTAAATGACATCATGCAGAAGGGCAACATGTCCCAGTAACATCTTTAACGTTATGGGCCTTAGGTAGGGCTGCTTTGGCCCCACTCTACACAGAATAGCCTAAAAAGGGAAGGGAGGAAGAACTATCATCTACCTTACCTCCTCCTCCTCTTCCCTCAGACCCACTGTTATCAAGTAAAGGTGCCACACAGGAGACAGAGATTTTCCCTGAGCCCCCTCCACCAATAAATTGGAAAAAAGACAGATGATACACTACAGTTATGGGACCCTAACTTAGGAAAGCATATTAGAAGGGGAGCTCTTGGCCTACCCAGTGATGCAAGATCAACAAGGAAATCAGGTACATAAACCCATTATTTTCAACACTTACAAGGAAATGAGAAAAAACATTAGAGAAAATGGAGCTGCTAGCCCATTTACAAAAGGATTAATTGAGGCCATAGCAAACAACTACCATATAACCCTGTGGGACTGGTCAGTATTAGCTAAAACAACTTTAGAGGCCAGTCAATACCTCTAAATGTCATGAGTTGTGAGGACAACAAGCCAATCAGAATCAATAGGCCAAGCAAAACATAATGGCTGCTACGTTCAGGGGAGGGGTCCCTGTATTAATGCACAACAACAATTAAATTTTGTCCCTCTTTGCACAAGTATCTTTGTGCATTCACAGGATCTGGGACCAAATTCCCCAAGGCAGAATTCATCAGGGGGCTTTTGTAAATGTTTGACAAGGGCCTCAGGAGGCATTTGTTGAATTTATCAGTTGGTTGACCCACGCAATTGAGAGACAAATTACTCATGACTAGGCTGCTGATATCTTATTGTTGCAATTGGCTTAAAAAAATGCTAATGTAGACTGCCAGCAAGCAATGTAGGCAATCAGAGGAAACGCAGCTACAGTCAGGGGAACTTACATGAGGAAGTCAGCTGGTGCAGACTGAAACACACAAAGCCAGAATATTGGCAATGTCATTACAGCCTCCTAAAGTGAAAAGAGAGAAAAACCCAAATTGTTTCTATGTGGAGAACCAGGTTATATGAAGCAGAAATGCCCCAATAGTAAAGACCAAAGTAACTCAGGAAAAGAACCTTCTTCTATATGCCCCTGAGGTAAAAAGGGACAACACTGGGCAAATCAAAGTAAGTCCAAATTTGATAAAAATGGCAACCCCCTAAGTAATTAAGTTGAAAACTTCAGCAGCTTTCCTAGATCAGATGGAAAGCCCTCAGTCCTCTTTCTCAGAGCAGCCACCACTGGGAACTCACAACTGGACTTACTCTGCCCCAACAAATTAGTGCTAAAAGAAGAAGACCCTAAAAGGGTTGCAACAAGAGTCTGGACCCACTGCCTCTGGAAACAGTGGGATTGGTCCTAGGGTGATCCAAACTATCCTGTAAAGGAATCAATGTGCTTACCAGAGTAATTGATAGTGATTATCAGGTGACATATTAGTTATGATGTAATCTAAAGGACTACATATGCTCTCCTATATCTAAGATAGCTGGATTACTACTTACTATACTGGGTTCCCAATGCCCAGGGAAAGGAAAGGGGACAAGGATGTTTTGGAAGCTTGGGAGCCACAGGAGTATATTGGGACCAGTTAATCCCTGATCAGAAACCCGTGATTACCTTAAAAATGGGAAATAAAAATTTTACTGGCCTGTTGGATACAAGGGCAGACATTTCGATCATTAATGATTAAAACTGGCCAGAAACTTGGCCCTATGTCACTCAGAATTAAAAAAACTGTCAGCATTGGGAAAGCACCGACAGCCAAGCAGAGCATGCACCTCCTAACATGTCATGATCTGGAGGGAAGAAAAGCAGTTATACAACCTTTAATCATCCCCATCCCTGTTAATCTTTGCGGATGGGATCTGTTAGTCCAATGGGGGGTCACCTTGCAGACCCTTTTCTAATAGTGGCCACTGCTGTATTTCCTCCCCTACTCCTGACATGGCTCTCTCAATATCCAATTTGAGTAGAACAGTGGCCTTTAGAGGGAGATAAATTACAATGAGCCCATGAATTAGCTGAGGAACAATTCAAACCAGTCATACAGAACCATAAAACAGCCCTTGGAATTTGCCTGTTTTTGTCATTCCCAAAAATTCTGGTAGATGAAGAGTTTTGCATGACTTACATGCTATCAATGCTAATTTGCCCTGATGGGGCCCGTTCAACAGGGTCTCCCTTTTCAGGTGGTGATTCCTCGAGACTGGCCCATAGTCATTATTGACTTAAAAGACTGCTTTTTATACTAGTCCCCTTGCAGAACATGACATATAATAATTTGTGTTTGCAATACTAGCTATCAATAATGAAAGTACAGCTCACCAATTTTGCTGGAAAGTATTTCCTCAAAGAATGCTAAACAGTCCTACCATGTGTCAGTATCATGTAAATCAGGCTTTGCTCCCCAGTAGAAAATAATTTCCTAATTGTGAGGTCATCCATACCAGCAGCCCCAAAGGAGCCAATACTTTTGAGTTTATATGCCTGTCAAAAGGACACAGTTATGAGGTTTAATCATAGCACCTGAAAATGTACAGATGTCCTCCCCTTGGAAATATCTTGGATACATACTAACTTCCTGGTCCGTAAGACCTCAAAAGTTTAAATTGAATACTAACACCTTACACAGCTTAAATGATTGTCAAAAATTACTGGGCCCTATTAACTAGCCCTGCCCCACCTTGGGCATAAGTACTGACAAATTACAGAACTTGTTTTCATCCTAAAGGGCAATGCAGCCCTGGACTCACCCAGTACTTAACCCCCACTGCAAAAAGAGAAATTGAGGAAATAGAACAAGCTATTTTTCAGGGGCAACTATATTGAATAGACCCACAATATTCAGTCCAATTGCTTGTTTTTCCTACTAAGCATTCTCCAACAAGATTAAAAGGACCAATGGTCCCAGGGCTATGCTTCCTAGAATGGGGTTTTTGGTCACATACTGGGACTAGAACACTATCTCTCCATGTCCAGCTATTTAGTAAGTCATCTATACAGGTAGAAAACGATGCAATCAATTGCAAGTTTATGACCCTGATGTCATAAGAATACCCTTAAGTAAAAAACAATTTGAAGCACTCCTGCCCCTATTTCTATACTTTGAGATAGCACTCTCTGATTATGAGAGCCATGTAGAACATGCTCTTCCCATTGACAAACTACTTCAGTTCTTATCTCATGTTCCCGTAGTTATGCCTATGTAGGTAGTTCACTCCCCCATACCTAACACATTTATGCTTTTCACTGATGGCTCTGGTAAATATGGAAAAGCAGCTACCTGGTAGGAACCACAAAACTCCCTCACTCGATCTGAATTTACTAGTACTCAGAGAGCTGAGGTTACAGCCCTAATATTGACCCTGGAAAT
Source organism: Homo sapiens (assembly GCF_000001405.40). Taxonomy (NCBI): domain Eukaryota; kingdom Metazoa; phylum Chordata; class Mammalia; order Primates; family Hominidae; genus Homo; species Homo sapiens. The sequence goes on from NC_000024.10 coordinate 20,662,149, forward strand.
CTTTTCCACTCAGCCCATCAATATTGTTAGTGACTCTGCTTACTCCGTTTATTTATTGCAAAACCTCAAAACAGCCCTCATGTCCACTACTGAGCCCACCCTGTGTGCCCTTTTTCTTCAACTTCAGCAATGGCTGGATCAATGAAGACATTATATTTTAATTACACACATTCAGGCCCACATCTTGCTGCCCAGTCCACTAGTTCATGGCAATGATTAAGCAGACCTGAAAGTTATGACGTCAGTGCTTGACCAAGCCACCCAATCACATCACTTTTTCCACCAAAATTGGAGAAAATTAATTAAACAATTTCAACTAACCCAAAGACTACCTAAACAAATTATTTTACAATGCACAGATTGCCAGCACACAGGCACATCCCATCCTTCAACAGGGGTTAACCCTGGAGGACTAGAACCTAATCAGTTATGGCAAAAAGATGTTACACATGTCCCTGAATGTGGAAAACTAAGATACGTACATGTATCTGTTGATAACAATTCCCATCTAATTAGTGCTCATGCTCTTTCTGGAGAGTCCACATGATATGTCATTAAACATCTTTTCTTAACTTTTGCATTTATGGGGCAGGCCACCAAAATTAAAACTGGTAATGGCCTGGCTTTTACACCTGCTCAGTTTCAAAAATTTTGTCACACATGGAACATCCAACATTCCATGGGTATCCCATATAACCCCCAAGGACAGGTCATAATAGAATGTGCCCACTCCACCCTTAAAAATATGCTGAGAAAACAGAAAAGTGGGAATATGAGTAAGGACCCTGCAACACTATTGGCACAAGACTTATTTACCCTTAATTTCTTAAATTTAGGTGATAAATTTCCATCAGCTATAGAAAAGCACTTTGCAAAAGCCCCTCAAGACATAAAATCTGTGGTGTTATGGAAAGATGTAAATAGTAATATATGGTGTGGTCCACATGACTTAATGTGGGGAAGAGGATATGCTTGTGTTCACACCCCCTCAGGTCTTCTTTGGATTCCAGTGTGAAGCATCAAACCATACCATGGCATGGCTGGGACCCCATCCGGTAGCAGAAATGAAGGAAATGACCCTGCAGGACCCGCAGCCCCAGATGATGCAGCTTCCTCAGGTGACACAGGCCCCAGACATTACCTGGGGGTTGCTGAAGAAGACAACTCAGGCTGAGCGAATCTTGCTTCAGACAAAGACACCATTTACTCCAGATAATTTGTTCCTCACTATGCTTTCTGTTACGTAATGCAACTGTCATAGGGTATTAACATTTCTTATTCTCTCACTTTGCCTGCAATCTGCACCTACTACTCTCTATTGGGCCCATCTTCTGGATTCACCTTTCTTCTGCCCTGTTACTTGGGTGGACACCCCCTTCCCAGCCTCTAACAACATGACTACTTGGCTGGGAGGGATTGACATACCCCGTTAGGGTCCCTTCTTAATGACACATGTTGGGCTGAGATGTCAGGTAACACTACATATCACTCCACAATCCTCCCACTGAATGTAAGTTATAACAGTGCTAAACCTTACTGTGTGCCTGCCCAAAAACAATTATGGCTACATTGTGGCAAAGGAAATGCCTTAACATTCTTGGTTGCAGGTAGCCTCAAATCAGGCAGTGCAAACAATGGCACATTCCCTGATATTCCTCTCTGTGCTAAAGAACAAAGCCAGGAAAGTAATGGATTCCACTTTGGCTATAGTGCAGTGGTGCAATCATAGTGCACTGCAGCCTCCAACTCCTGCTCGAGCAGTACTCCTGCCTCAGCCCCCACAGTAGCCAGGATTACACACATGTACTACCATGCCAGACTAATTTTTTTTCTTTAATTTTGTAGATATGAGGTCTCACTTTGTTCCTCAGTCTGGTCATGATCTCCTGGGTTCAAGCAGTCCTCCTGCCTCAGCCTACCAACATGGCAAAACCACCTGTCTACAAATAATACAAAAATTAGCCAGGTATAGCGTTATATGCCTGTAGTCCCAGCGGCTCAGCAAGCTGAGATTGGTGGATCACTTGAGCTCAAGGCATGAAGACCACATGCCTGTAGTCCCAGCTGTTAGTCCAGACTACATCACTATGTAAGCTCCCTGCTATTGTGCAGAGCTTGGTCAAAGTGTAATATTTCATAGGGGGTTGGACCATGTGAAACATCCTGCCTGATATTTCACATCATCATAAGGCAGATAAAGGCCCAACTAAATAAACATCCCTATCATATTTTACTGGGCAAAGGTCCAAAGAACACCATGATGACATCCTGCTGGAAGACCAGAACTGCATCATCATGAGAACATCTTATCAATATCCTGCCAATAGCAAGCCATGCTGCCCAGACTCCTCCCACTCATACCTATAAGTAACCCCACTCTGTAAGCACTTGTGGGCTCTTGCATTAGGCTGGTCTCCCACTTCTGCAGGCTTTATGCTATCCATAAAGCCTGTATTTGCTGTTGAGTTGCCCTCTTTCTACATGTATGTCTTTCTTTAACCCTTGCCTTCCTTCCAAAACCTAACATTTTGGTGCCAAAACTCAGGATGGGGATTGGGTTCTAATGGGTAACTCTCCTCTTGCAACCTGGAAAGCAGCAATCAACAAAAACTAGACCTGGACTTGCTTCCATGTCCTGAGAGGACTCCCTGTTCCCAGCTCCATTCCCTTATTCTCTTTACTTCTCCAGCCCTAGGTTAACCTCCAGATGCTAATCAAACTCCTCTTTTTCCTTCCTTCCCTTTTTCAGGCTGCTTCAGGAAGGATTAATCCTATTGCTGGACATCACATCCAACACAAGTCTCCAATTAGTGAGTGAGTCTCCCTTCCTCCTTTCCAGATTTCTCTGTATTTTTGGTTTCAGAAAATCTTAGCACTAGGTGAGAGGTCTCCCCAGTCACCAGGTTACTGTGGCCTGCCTTCTCAGGGGACATCTTCAGAACACACACCACTCTGGCTGCTCCAGTCACTGGGGGAGAGCAAAGAGCTGCAGGGATGCCCCAGATCTTGAATGGGGTACTCACTCCCATCCTCTAAAATTTCTTACCCTTCCAGCCACAAATACAGGGCAAGGCTCCTTAAAAACTCCACAAGACACTACACTCAGATGTCTCATCTGGAAACTCTAAGAGTTTCTCTACTAAAATGCAAAAAAAATTAGCTGGGTGTGGTAGTGCCTGCCTGTGGTCCCAGCTACTCAGGAGGCTAAGGTAGGGGAATCACTTGGACCCAGGACATGGAGGCTGTAGTGAGCTGAGATCATACCACTGCACTCCAGCCTGGTGACAGAGCAAGACTCCATCATATAAAATTAAATTAAATTAAATTAAATTAAATAAATAAAATAAAATAAAATAAATAAAATAAAATAAAACAAAACAAAATAAATAAAATAAAATATAAAATAAAATAAAATAAAAAATAAAATAAAATAAAATAAATAAAATAAAATATAAAATAAAAAGATAAAATAAAATAAAATAAAATAAAAAAACCTAAACACTTTATTCACTCCTGTCACATGTCTCATCTGGATCCTCCAACCCTGTGGCTTGGCGGAGTCCATTAAAACTGAATGCCTTGCTTTGCCTTGCTTTCTTTTGTACTTTCCTCTGTAATATTGGCTAGCCCAATGTAAACTGGACATAATAGTCAATGACCAAAAAGCAAAACTTTCAACTTCCAAATTCAACATAATCTACAAAACTTCCTTCAATGCAATGGGAAATGATCCAAAGTGCTTTGCTTATGTCCACTCATGGCTCTCTTTCTCTCTTTGCCAATCCTGTTCACTTTCTGAAATCCTCATCTTCAATTAAAAAAAAAAAACCCAACCCACAAAAATGTCTCATCCTCTGGACAAGCTTCCCCCTCTAAATTCAAACCAGCCAGCAAACAATGTCTCATGTCCAACCCGCTTCTGCCAAAAACCAGGCACATGCCCAGAGGCCCTCCAAAGTCCTCCCATTATGGGAGGTGGCAGGGCTGAAGGCATAATCTGAATTCGTATTCCCTTCTCCCTAGCCAGCCTCTTCCAGCTAAAAAGAGACTTGGCTCATTTTCCATGGATCCTACATCCTTCATCAAGGGATTTTTGTATGCCACTCAATCTTATAAACTTATTTGGCACGCCATATGTCATCCTCCCTTCCACCCTCACCTGCAGGATAGGGAACACATCTGGACAGCCACCCAGGCCTATGCAACTACCCTCCACCAAAAAGATGTTGCCCATAACCCAACAGTTCTGGGATCCTAACTGTCCCCAGAACTAATCCCAATTGGGGTTATCAGGCATCTTCCACAGACAGACAGAAACAAGACCATATAATATCATGCCTCCTACCTGGCATGGATAAAGCTGCCTCTGCTGTTTTTGTCTCCTGCCATTCAAAGGCAATGAATAAATATACCACCTTAAACCCTAATACAAGTAAAAGCAGAATCAACCTCCATTTACACTTTATTTTCCAGGCAGCCCCTGATGTCTAAAAGAAACTTTAAAAACTGGAGTATGGCCCTCAAACTTCCTAAAGAGATTTACCCCAAGTGGCCTGTAAGGCTTTTAACAATAGAGAGGAAAATCTGAAAACCCAGATGCTTAAAGAACCCAAGCTAAATACAAAATGCTGGCAGCTGTGATACAACAGGGTTCCCAACACATACAGAAATCCTCAACCTTGGAACAAACTTTGTCAAGAAGCCTGTCTGAAGTATGTTTAACAGGGTCACTGGTCAAAAGCCTGCCCTAATCCCAGGTGACCCTCAAAACCTTACCCTATCTGTGATATAAAGGAACTCTGAAAGCCATCCTGTGCTCAGCAAAACTCTATCTTGCTTCACCACCATTAACTGAAGACTGATGAGGCCTGGAGTCCACCCCCACCACCATCACCACCTCAGAACTCAGGGTAACACTTTCAGTCACTGGTAAGCCTCTGTCTTTTCTCTTTCACATGGGAATGCAGTTTCACCAGAATATTGTGGACCTCTCCTCAGTTCTATCTCTATTGTGGGCATCAATGGAATCCCCTCTAGGCACAAAGAGACTGGTCCTCTATTATGAAACCTATTCAACACCCTCTTCTTGGTTATCTCTCAATGCCCTACCCCTACCTTGGGGTGGGACATACTAAGTAAATTCTGGACCTCAACACAATTTGCTTCCTGCAGTTCTAACCCTTTTGTTTTCCTCTGCCAACTGAATGCTTCCCTCTCCTTTCCCTCATCATCATTTATCCACCCTTTTACCTTCTGTTAATCATAAAGTTGGAACATTTCTAAACTCACAGTAGACGCACATCACATGTCAGTTAATAGAACCCTCCAAAGACCAGGGGCAGTGGCTCATGCCTGTAATCCCAGCACTTTGGGAGCTGAGGGGCTCAGATCACGAGGTCAGGAGTTTGAGACCAGTGTAGCCAATATGGTGAAACCCTGTCTTTACTAAAAAAATACAAAACCTAACCAGGCATGGTAGCATGTGCCTCCAGTCCCAGCTAGTCAGGAGGCTGGGGCATGAGAATCACTGAAACCAGGAGGCAGAGGTTGCTGTGAGCTAAGATCATGCCACTGCACTCCAGCCTGTGTGACAGAGCGAGAGTCTGTCTCAAAAAAAAAAAAAAAAAATAGAACACTCTAAAACCCCTCAATATTCCCTTGTCAGTCTCAATATCTCCTTAACACAATTGGCCTTCGGGGCCTTAAACTTATTATCTGTAAACTTTTACAAGCTCAAATTCTCAAGCCTGTCAACTCTTCCAACAACAACCACATCCTGGCTGTCAAAAAACAGATGGGTCTTACTGCTTGGTCCATCATCTCCCAAGTTGTTAACCAGGCAGCGGTGCCAATCCACATGGTCCCGAACCCATATACTTTACTCTCCCAAATGCCCCCAGAACTACATGCTTCTCAGTGTTGGATCTAAAGGATGCCTTTTTCACTATTCTGTTAAATCAAGCTTCCCAAAATCTTTTTCCCTTCAACTGGTCAGATCTCTATACTCATATTTCTACCCAATGAACATGGACCATAATACTCCTGCAGGGACTCTGGGATACCCTCCACTTATTCGGACAAGTCTTCACCAAGGATGTAGCTGAACTTCCCCTTGCTTCTAGAACTCTGCTCCAATATATTGATGACCTCCTCCACTGTAGCCCCTCCCTTAACCTGTCCATCCACACACCACTCAACTTTTAAACTTCCTCCATAGTCAAGGATATAATATCTCACCCACAAAGGCTCAGGTAGCCCAAATCCAGGTCTCTTACCTTGGACTTGTTCTAACCCCAAATTCTCAGGCTATCCCAGACCAATGAAAGGACCTAATTTGGGCCATGCCCCTTTGCCACAGAAAGACCTCTTCTCCTTCTTGGGGCTTGCAGGCTACTTCTGGCTGTGGATTTCCAACATTTGCCTGCTGACCAAGCCACTTTACACAGCTTTACATGGTCCCATTTTGGAATCCCTAAATTCAGCTTGTCCCATCAATTCCCACTTAAAAAAACTAAAAAATGTCCTTTTAATGGCTCTGACACTGGGACTGCCAAACCCCACCAAGCCCTTTATTCTGCATGTACATTCTAACCAAGGCCTTGCTCTTGGATTACTCTGCCAAACATACAGCAACTCCCCACAAGCCATTGCATACCTCTTAAAACAGCTGGACTCTGTCATTCAAGGCTGGCCACCCTGCTTAAAAATCTTGGTTGTGGACATATTGCGGGCCTCAGAGGCTGAGAAACTCACACTCCACCAATACATTAGTATTGCATCTTCCCATAACCTACAGAATCTCATAAGCCATCAATATCTTCTATCCCTGCCACCTACCCACTTACAACAGGTCCATGCCTTATTTATAGGAAACCCTCTAATCACCTTCCAGAGATATAAAGCTTTTAACCCAGACACCCTCTTCCCTGTAGACACCTCTGACTCTAAGCTCTCTCATACCTGCCTGGAACTCTCAAATTCTTCTTCCCTCTCTTCCCACTTCCAACACATTTTGGGAGCCCCTTTACAAGGAACACCTACATGGTTCATTAACAGAAACTCTTTTCAAGAGCCATGTCCAGCTTTATCCCACTTTATCACCCAAAGACTAAACACTCTCCCAAGTAACCAGCCAGAAACACATTGATACCATTCTTCTCCTCTGCCAGGTCTGGTATCAGTGCCTCCAGGAAAGCAACTCTGAAGCTGAACACCCACTGCTTCAAAACCCAACTATGAGTACATGGCCCCTATTCAGCTGTAAAAGACAGATACTCAACAATGACCCCCTTCATTCTTAAACTAAAAGGCAAGAATGTTAGTCCAAACTGCAACATTTTGTAAGCTCCCTTCCTTCTTGCAGACTTTGCAAGAATATTAGTCCCAACTGCACCATTATGTAAGTAAGCTTCCTGCTATTGTGCAGACCTTGGCCAAAATGAAACATTTCATGGGGTTTCAGGCCATGAGAAACATCCTGATTAACTACCTGACCACAAGGCAGACAAAGGTCCAACTAAAGAACCATCCCTGTCATATCTTGCTGGGCAAAGTTCCAAGGAATACCACAATGTCATCCCACTGGAACAAGGACCAGAACCACCTCACCATGGGAATATTTTATCAATATCCTGCCAGTAGCAAGCCATGCTGCCGAGAACCCTCCCACGCATAGCTGTAAGTAACCCCCACCTGTAAGCAACAGTGAGCTCTGGCATTAGGCTTGTCCCCTATTTCTGTAGGTTTTATGCTGGACATAAATCCTGCATTTGCTGTTGAGCCATCCTCTTTCTGTGTATGTGTCTCTCTTTAACCATCACTTTCCCTTCAAAACTCAACACTGCTACTCAGAAGGCTGAGGTGGGATGGTTACTTGAATTCAGGAGGCTGAGACTGCAGTGGTTCATGATGACAACATGAACTTCAGCCTGGGTAAAATAACAAGACTCTATCTCAAGTAAATAAAATAAATAAATGAAATGAAAATGAAAATAAAATTCTGTTATTTGCAACAATAGAGATTAACCTGGACATTTCTTCAGTTAAATAAAAATTAGGCAGAGAAAGGCAATTACTTCATAATCTCACTGCTTTGTGTAATCTGAGAAAACTAAATTCATAAAACGAGAGTATAATACTGGTTACCAAGAAGGAGAAATCATGAGGAGAGATTCCTGTCAAAGATTACAACATTTTGGATGCATAGAATAAACAAACTTAAGACATCTGTTGTATAAGCATGACTGTACTTAGTAATATATTCCTGAAAATTGCTGAAAGTAGATAAATATAGGAAGCAATGCATATGACAATTAGTTCTATGTAGCCATGTACAACGTACAGTAATTACTATCTCAAATGTATTTCCAGAATATAATTTTGTACACAATACATATATGTAATTTTTCTTAGTCAATTAAAGCCCATAACAGTAATTTAAATTAAAAAAAAACCTCAGTGGAATGAGGTTATTTTTGCATCTAAAGCAAGAACTAAAGTTGGTGAGTTTTTCAAATGCATGTGGGACTACTCTCTCAAAATGATCATCCTTCACCTTTCATTTGGGGTTTTCTAAGAATTCCTGATTTCTGAGGCTCCCAGAAAGTTATTTTTTTGACAGATACGTTGTAAAATTATTATTGCTCTAAGGAGATACAGGCAGGAGACCTTGTATTCTGTCATCTTGTTTATGTCACTTTTACATTCTTCTAGTTTTAAGGACAATTTTATCAAATATGGTATTCTTGCTTAGCATTAGTATTTTCTCTTAGTGTTTTAACTATATCATCCAATACCCTTTTCAGCTGCAAAGTTTTGCTGAGACATAAACTGGTAATGTTTTAAAAATTCATTGTATGTAAAGAGCCTCTGTTCTCTTGGTGCTTTCAACAGTTTTTGTGTGTGGTTTTTCAAAATTTAATTATAATGTGTATCAATTTGCGTCTCTGGATTTATTCTAGTAGGTGCTATTTGAGCTTCTTGAGACTTTATATCCATTTATTTTATCACATTTGGGACATTTTCAGGCATTCTTTTTTAAAAGTTAAAGCCTTCTTCTTCAACTCAGGCTGCAGTGCATTGGCATAAATATTGGGGCTGCATCTTCAAATTCCTAGGCTCATGCAGTCCTCACACTCAGCTATTTGAGTAGCTGAGAATGTGGGCCTCTCCCTCCATATCTATTTTTATTTTTTTAAATGAGGCCCTGCTATATTGCAAATGCTGATCTCAAACTCCTAGCTTCAAGCAGCTCTCCCATTTCAGCCTTCAACTCCGTGTGTTGACAGGATTGAGTGTCTATGCTCAAGTCCTGTTTTTTCAAAAAAATCTCAGCTTTTTCTATTTTCCTTTTGGAAGTACTACAATGTATACATTGGTTCTATTTGATTATGTCTCATAAATACTTCAAGCTCTCTTTATTTGTAATTATTTTTTTTCTCTTCTGAGTCTATATTTTAAATGGCCTGTTTCAAATTTTATTGATTGTCTGTTTGATGAAATTGGCTGTTGAACTGCCCTAGAATTTATTTTTTATTAATTATTATTATTATTTTTCGAGATGGAGTCTTACTCTGTTGTTCAGGCTGGGGTTCAGTGGCACAATCTTGGCTCACTGCAACCTCCTCCTCCTGGGTTCACATGATTCTCCTTCCTCAGCCTCCCGAGTAGCTGGGACTACAGGAATGCATCAACATGCCCAGCTAGTTTTTGTATTTTTTAGTAGAGACAGGTTTCACAATATTACAGGCTAGTCTTGAACTCCTGACCTCGTGATCCACACACCTTGGGCTCCCAACATGCTGGGATCACAGGTGTGAACCACCATGCCTGGCCTCTAGAAATTTTTTTAAATTCAGTTGTTGACATCTTTATCTCATCTAATTTTTAAATAGGTTTTATTTATGTATGAATATTCTTATATTCAAATATCTTTTTTACTTCACTTTTTTCTGTGTTTTTAAGCTTATTCCCCCTTAACTGACTTTTTTGAAGTCCTTGCCAAGTAATGTGTAGATTTTCCATTTTTAAGGTTGATTATTAAAATTTATTTTACAAATAAATTTCATGACAAAGAAGCAGTTTCTGCTTTTTTTGTATGCCTGTAATCTTTGTCAAGACTCAGGCATTAGGAAAAAAAGCCACCTCCTCTAGTCTTCACAAATTTTCCCTGTGCAGGAAAAAGCCATCATTAACCAGCCCATCTACAGATTTTGAAGATTTTTTCAAACTTTTCAAAGGAATGCATCTTCTCTATGTTTGTGTATTTCCAGTTAAAGAGGGATGCCCAAATTTTATTCTTGGGAACCTGTAGCATTATTATTTCTCTGAATTTTGTTCATGGTACTATAGTTTTCTCAGTATCTGCCATATCATGGGATCTATTGTTCTTGGCAGTACCCAAACTGTCTTTCAAACCTTGCCACTGTCCCATTTGCTATCTTTGGGAAACAGAGATATAAACTATTCCTTAGGAGAGTCTCAGCAAGCTAGAACACTGCAAACACATTTGATTTTTATTATTAAAAATTAAGAGATACATCTTTGCTAATATGAGGGAGAAAGCCAACAGACATGTGCAGAAAATACAGAAATCTTCAATAAAATTTTACCCAAAGGGAAAAAAATTATAAAGATAGACAATAATCAAACTGTCAAAAACTTAGGTCAAAGAAAAACTTCTTAGATCTACAAGAAATAACAAGTATGTCACATATAAAGAAGTCCCAATATGACTATCAACAGACCTCTTTGTAGAAATCCTACAAGTCAGGAGACTTGCATAACATACTCAAAGTGCTGAAAGAAAAAATGAGGAAAACTACCCTTTTAGAAATGAGGGGAAAATGAAAACATTGTAATGCAAACAAAACTGAAAGACTTAATCACCACTAGGCCTGCCTTCCTGTAATTGTAGCTGTAATGATTAGGCTAAACATAATTTTATCTTTAGTTCAAGGTTAAAGGGGAAAATTACTTATAACTATAGCTAAAATATATTATCAAAGGATGTGTATTACAAAATAATGTAAGTATAGACATCAAATATATTAAAAATGGGTAAAGTAAAAGATAGCATTGTTAAATGGAGTCAAACTTAAGTTGTTATCAACTTGAAATAGAATGTTGTAGATAAAAGTTGTTCTAAGAAAGCTTTATGATAACCAAATAAAATATCTACTGAAAATTCAGGAAACAAAAGTTTAAAAACATTCAAAATTTATACTACAGGAAATTAACACCACAAAAAAAGCAAGAGAGAAAGAAAGAAACAGTTTATCTGCAAATAACAGAAAACAACTAAATGGCAGAAGTCTTTATGTATCAATAATTACTCTGATGTAATGGAACAAAATGTCAAACAAAAAATACAGCAAATCAATGAATAAAAAATAAAACCAAATCACATACTGCTTATAAGAAACTCAATTCACTTTTAAAAACACACATAGACTGAAAGTGAAACTATGAAAAAAGAAAATGGAAACCAACAGAAAATGGTTTCCAAAAAGAAGTCAACAAACAGCAGGAATAATTATGCTTATATCAGATAGAATGTATTTTTATCCAAAACAGTAGAAAGAAACAGAAGGAGCAGTATATGATGATACAAAGTAATTAAGGTAATATTAAAATTATAAATATATATTTATACATGACATTTGTATATAACATTAAAGCACCTAAATATAAATAGTAAATATTTAAAACCTGGGAAACTTCTGGCTGACAACTGTGAATGCAGCTTCAATATGGGAAAGGGGAAGATAGTGTCCATCTGTAATCCACCTTTCCACTGGATAACTGTGAAAATCACCTGAAGAGAACCTTGTTTTTCTCAAAACCTGGAGGTCACTTGGGGGGTGGCTGAAAAACTGTGAGAAGGAAAACCCTGGGAAAGGGCCTAGAAATACTTCCAAAACAAGGACCCAATAGAAGGGTGTCATTTTCAACCCTGACTTGTACTAATCTTAGTGAGATTTGTCAACTTACCAACAGATGCTGCTGTGGGCATTACAAGAGTCTTGAGTCAGAGATTGGACTGTTGGGTCTCAAGCAGGGATGAAACCCCATAGAAAAAACTCAGTGGCAACTGTGAAGTGCACTGCAGAATTAGCATTGGAGATGGGCTCCTGTTGCTTCATGAGATCAGAATGGAAAAAGATTTGCTAGAGAGCCTTGGTTTTTCCCAAAAAACAAATCACTGTGGGTGATGATGAATATGAGATATAAACCCAATCTTCATGTGACTTTACTGAATATCCAGCTCACACTTCTCTTGGACCCCCTCTTCAGAGCTGACCCTTATACTCACCAATAGGGGGCCTAGTGTATGATTTAAAAACATGAACAAACTGTAATCTCACATTACTGCTCTGTTCTAAGATGCAAATAGGAACAGCTCCCATCTGCAGCTCCCAGGGTGATCAACGCAGATTATGGGTGATTTCTGCATTTCAAACTGAGATACCCAGTTCATCTCATTGGGACTGATTGGACAGTGGGTGCAGCCCACATAGGTGAACCCAAAGCAGGTTGGGGCACCGCCAAACTCAGGAAGCACAAGGGGTCAGTGGACTTCCCTTGACCATGTCATATTATACCTGGAAAAATGGGACACTTCTGCCAAAATACTGCACTTTTCCCATGGTCTAAACAATGGGAGATTCTCTCCCATGCCTGGCTTAGCAGGTTCCAAACCCACAGAGCCTTGCTCACTACTAGCAAAGCAATCAGAGAGCAACCTGCAAAGCGCACCATGGTGGGGGAAGGGGCATCCGCCATTGCTGAGGCTTGAGTAGGTAAACAAAGTGGCTGGGAAGTTCAAACTAGACAGAACCCACCACAGCTCAGCAAGGACTGCCTCTGTAGACTCCACCTCTGTGGGCAGGGCATAGCTGAACAAAAGGCAGCAGAAACCTCTGCAGACTTAAACATCACCATCTGACAACTCTGAAGAGACCGGTGGTTCTTCCAGCATGGTATATGAGCTCTGAGAATGACAGACTGCCTCTTCAAGTGGGTCCCGGACCCCCACGTAGCCTAACTAGGAGACATCACTGAGTAGGGGCTGACAGACACCTCAAACAGGGAGATGATCCTCTGGGATGAAGCTTCCAGAGGAATAATCAGGGAGCAATATTTGCTGTTCCATAGTATTTGCTGTGCTGCATCCTCCACTGGTGATACCCAGGGAAACAGGGTCTGGAGAAGGCCTCCAGCAAACTCCAACAGACCTGCAGCTGAGGGACCTGACTATTAGAAGGAAAACTAACAAACACAAAGGAATAGCATCAACATCAACAAAAAGGACATCCAAAAGAAAACCCCATCTGTAGGTCACCAGTATCAAAGACTAAAAGGAGATAAAACCAGAAAGATGGGGAGAAACCAGAGCAGAAAAGATGAAAATTCTAAAAACCAGAGTGCCTCTTCTACAAAGAATTGTAGCAATGGAACAAAGCTGGATGGAGAATGACTTTGACAAGCTTACAGAAGTAGGCTTCAGAAGGTCAGCAATAACAAACTTCTCTGAGCTAAAGGAGCTTGTTCTAACCCATCGCAAGGAAAATAAAAACCTTAAAAAAAGGTTAGATGAATGGCTAACTAGAATAAACAGTGTATAGAATGATCTGATGGAGCTAAAAATCATGGCAGAGAACTTTGTGATGCAAGCACAAGATTCAACAGCCAATTCAATCAAGTGGAAGAAAGGATATCAATGATTGAAGACCAAATTAATGAAATAAAATGAGAAGACAAGATTAGAGAAAACAGAGTAAAAAGAAACAAAGCCTCCAAGAAATATGGGACAATGTGAAAAGGCCAAATATATGTTTGATTGGTGTAACTGAAAGTGATGGAGAGAATGCAACCAACTGGGAAAATACTCTTCAGGATATTATCCAGGAGAATGTCCAACCTAGCAAGGCAGGCCAACTTTCAAATTCAAGATATACAGAGAACACCACAAAGACACTCCTTGAGAATAGCAACCCCAAGATATAGAATTTTCAGGTTCCCCAAAGTTGAAATGAAAAATTAAATCAAGAGGAGCGAGAGAGAAAGGTCGCATTACCCACAAAGGAAAACCCATTGGAATAACAGCTGATCTATTGGAAGAAACATTACAAGTCAGAAGACTGGGGGCCAATATTCAGCATTCTTAAAGAAAAGAATTTTCAACCCAGAATTTCATATCTAGCCAAACTAATCTTCATAAATGAAGTAGAAATAAAATCCTTTACAGAAAAGCAAATTCTGAGAGATTTTGTCACCACCAGGCCTACCTTACAAGAGCTCCTGAAGAAAGCACTAAACATGGAAAGAAACAACCAGTACCAGCCACTGCAAAAACATGCTATATTGTAAAGTCCACTGATGCTATGAAAAAACCGCATCAATTAACGGGCAAAAATACCAGCTTACATCATAATGATGGGATCAAATTCACACATAAAAATATTAACTTTAAATGTAAATGGCCTAAATGCCCAAACTAAAAGACACAGACTGGCAAATTGGATAGAGTCAAGCCCCATCAGTGTGCTGTATTCAGGAGACCCACCTCACGTGCAGAGACACATAGGCTCAAAATAAAGGAATGGAGGAAGATCTACCAAACAAATGGAAAACAGAAAAAAAAAAAGCAGAGGTTGCAATCCTAATCTCTGATAAAACAGACTCTAAACCAAAAAAGATCACAAGAGACAAAGAAGGCCATTACATAATGGCAAAGGGATCAATTCAACAAGAAGAGCTAGCTATCCTAAATATATATGCACTCAATACAGGAGCACCCAGATTCATAAAGCAAGCCCTTAAAGACCTACAAAGAGACTTAGATTCCCACACAATAATAATGGGAGACTTTAACACCCCACCATCAATATTAGAAAGATCAACAAGACAGAAAGTTAACAGGGATATCCAGGACTTGAACTCAGCTCTGCACCAAGCAGACCTAATAGACATCAGCAGAATCCTCCACCCCAAATCAACAGAATATACATTCTTCTCTGCACCACATTGTACTTATTCTAAAATTGCCCACAAAATTGGAAGTAAAGCACTCCTCAGCAAATATAAAAGAACAGAAATCACAACAAACTATCTCTCAGACCACAGGGCAAGCAAATTAGAACTGAGGATTAAGAAACTCACACAAAACCACACAAATACATGGAAACTGAATAACCTGCTCCTCTATGACTACTGGGTAAATAACGAAATGAAGGCAGAAATAAAGATGTTCTTTGAATCCAATGAGAAAAAGGACAGAATGTACCAGAATCTCTGGGACATATTTAAAGCAGTGTGTAGAGGAAAACTTATAGTAGTAAATGTCCACAAAAGAAAGAAGGAAAGATGTAAAATCGACACACTAATATCACCATTAAAAGAACTAGAGAAGCAACAGCAAACAAATTCAAAAGCTAGCAGAAGACAAGAAATAACTAAGATCAAAGCAAAACTGTAGGAGATAGAGACATAAAAAATCCTTAAAAAAAAAATGAATCCAGGAGCTGCTTTTTTGAAAAGTTCAACAAAATTGATAGACCACTAGCAAAACTAATAAAGAAGAAAAGAGAGAAGAGTCAAGTAGATGCAATAAAAAATGATAAACAGGATATCAGCACCAATCCTACAGAAATCCAAACTACCATAGAGAATACTATAAACACCTCTATGCAAATAAAGTAAAGAATCTAGAAGAAACAGATAAATTCCTGGACACCTACACCCTCCCAAGACCAAACCAGGAAAGAAGGTGAATCTCTGAATAGACCAATAGCAGGCTCTGAAATTGAGGCAATAATTAAGTGGCCTATCAAACAAAAGAAGTCCAAGAGCAGACAGATTCACAGCCAAATTCTACAAGAGGTACAAAGAGGACCTGGCATCATTCCTTCTGAAACTATTCCAATCGATAGAAAAAGAGGGAATTCTCCCTAACTCAATTTATGAGGCCAGCATCATCCTGTTACCAAAGCCTGGCTGAGGCACAACAAGAAAAAAGTATTTTAGAAGAATATCCCTGAAGACCATTGATGTGAAAATCCTGAACAAGATACTAGCAAACCAAATCCAGCTGCACGTCAAAAAGTTTATCCACCATGATCATGTCAGCTTCATCCCTGGGATGCAAGGCTGGTTCAACATATGCAAATCAATAAACGTAATGCATTTCATAGACAAACCAATGAGAAAAAACACATGATTATCTCAATAGATGCAGAAAAGGCCTTTGACAAAATTTCACAGCCGTTCATGCTAAAAATCTCAATAAACTGGGTATTGATGGAATGTATCTCCAAATAATAAGAGCTATTTATGACAAACACACAGACAAAATCATACTGAATGGTCAAAAACTGGAAGTATTCCCTTTGAAAGCTGGCACACGACAAGGATGCCTTCTCTCAACACTCCTATTCAACATAGTGTTAGAAGGTCTAGCCAGGGCAATCAAGCAAGAGAAAGAAATAAAGAGTATTCAATAAGGAACAGAGGAAATCAAATTGTCCCTGTTTTCAGATGACATGATTGTATATTTAGGAAACCCCATTGTCTCAGCCCAAAATCTCCTTAAGCTGATAAGCAACTTCAGCAAAGTCTCAGGATTCAAAATCAATATGCAAAAATCACAAGCATTCCTATACACCAATAACAGACAAACAGAGAGACAAATCATGAGTGAACTCCCATTCACAATTGCTACAAAGAGAATAAAATACCTAGGAATCCAACTTAAAAGGGTTGTGAAGGACCTCTTCAAGGAGAACTACAAACCGCTGCTCAATGGAATAAAAGAGGACACAAACAAATGGAAGAACATTCCATGCTCATGGATAGGAAGAATCAATATCATGAAAATGACCATACTGCCGAAGGTAAATTCTGGATTCAATGCCATTCCCATCCAGCTACCAATGAGTTTCTTCATAGAACTGGAAAAAAACTACTTTAAAGTTCAAATGGAACCAAAAAGAGCTTGCATTGCAAAGACAATCCTGAGCAAACAGAACAAAGCTGGAGTTATCAGGCTACCTGACTTCAAACTATACTACAAGCTACATTAATCAAAACAGTATGGTACTTGTACTAAAAGAGATATATAGTCCAATGGAACAAAAAAGAGGCCTCAGAAACAACACCACACATCTGCAACCATCTGATCTTTGACATAACTGAATAGAACAAGAAATGGGGAAAGGATTCCCTATTTAATAAATGATGCTGTGGTAACTGGCTAGCCATATATAGAAAGCTGAAACTGGATCCCTTCCTTACCCCTTATACAAAAATTAATTCAAGATGGATTAAAGACTTAACTATTAGACCTAAAAACATAAAAACCCTAGAATAAAACCTATGCAATACCATTCAGTACATAGGCATGGACAAGGACTTCATGACTAAAACATGAAAAGCAATGGCAACAAAAGCCAAAATATACAAGTGGGATCTAATTAAACTAAAGACCTTCTGCACAGCAAAAGAAACTACAATCAGAGTGAACAGGCAACCTACAGAATGGGAGAAAATATTTGCAATCTACCCATCTGACAAAGGATTAATATCCAGGATCTACAAAGAACTTAAACAAATTTACAAGAAAAAAAAACTACCTTATCAAAAATTGGGCAAAGGATATGAACAGACACTTTTCAAAAGAAGACACTTATGCATCCAACAGCCACATGAAAAAATGCTCATCCTCACTAGTTATCAGAGAAATGCAAATCAAAACCACAATGAGATACCATCTCATGCCAGTTAGAATGGTGATCATTAAAAAGTCAGGAAACAATGGATGCTAGAGAAGATGTAGAGGAATAAGAATTTTTTCAGCGTTGGTGGGACTGCAAACAAGTTCAACCATTGTGGAAGACAGTGTGGCGATTCCTCAAGGATCTAGAACTGGAAATATCATTTGACGCAGCCATCCCATTACTGGGTATATACCCAAACGATGATAAAGCATGCTGCTATAAAGACACATGAACATGTATGCTTATTGCAGCACTATTCACAATAGCAAAGACTTGGAACCAACCCAAATGTCCATCAATGATAGACTGCATTAAGAATTGTGGCCCATATATACCAAGGAATACTATGCAGCCATAAGAAAGATGAATCCATGTCCTTTGCAGGAACATATATGCAGCTGGAAACCATCATTCTCAGCAAATCTGTTCTCACTCAGGTGGGAACTGAACAGAACACTTGGACACAGGGCATGGAACATCACATACCAGGGCCTGTCAGGGGGTGGGGGGCCAGGGAAGGGATAGCATTAGGAGAAATACCTAATGTAAATGACAAGTCGATGAGTGCAGCAAACCAACATGGCACATGTATACCTATGTAACAAACCTACACGTTGTCCACATGTATCCTAGAACTTAAAGTATAATAATAGTAATAAAGAAACTCATATTACTAATAAATACACTTATATAGTTAATGCAGAGAACTGGAGAATGGTATCTTCAGAAATGAAAACCAAAACTAGCATAAATAGCTACAGTTATATGAGATAAAACACACTTCAAATTGGAAACAGTTGGCCCAGCACAGTGGCTTGTACTTGTAATTTCAGTGGTTTGGGAAGTCAAGCAGGAGGTCCATTTGATCCTATGAGTTTGAAACCAGTTTGGGGAAGAGGTTCATACAGACCCACTTCTCTACAACCAAACAAAAAATGATTTTAAATTTAGAATTAAGAGCAGTGAAAATCGAAAAACACAATTAGATATTATCTCAAATCATTACTGGATATATACCCAAAGGAAAATAAACATTTGACCAAAAAGACACATACTTCTATTTTTATCACAGCAAAGAAATGGAATCAACCTTATCTTCATTAATGGTGGATTGCATAAAGAAATATGATACACATACACAACTCAACACTATGCAGTCATAAAAAGGAATGAAATTATGCTTTTGTAACATGAATGCAGCTAGGGACCATTATCCTAAGGAAATTAACACAGAAACTGAAAATCAAATATGGCATGTTCTCACTTATTTAGGACTCAGGCTGACCTATACTGCCTAGAAGAGCAAGCTCTCTTGGGTATATGTTTTATTACACAATCTGCCCCTGACATTAAAAAAAAGCTACAAAAAGCCATCATGGGACCTCAAACCTCTATGAGTCAACTGTTAAATGTGGTCTTTAAAGTTTACAACAATAGAGATAAAGTAAAAGATGTGATAGTAGACCCAGAATTAATAGCTCCAAAGTGCAATTATTAACAAATCCTTTAATCCCTTTTCACCATCAGAGTTATCTACCCTTAGAAAGTACCACAAGATCAGCCACTGGGATGTCTAGACAGTAGTCCCTGACTCACCATACCCTGGGCCAGGATCACTGGGCCTACTATAAGCAAAAGGGCCTTTGACAATGATAATTTCCTAACTGTCCCTGAAAACAGAAAGAGAAAAAATCTCCCTATTACTTCTAGAGCTAACAGACTTCATCCACTAGCCCCAAAGAGGTGTCTTGCTCAAGTAAGTTTACTGGGAGTCTTGGACCCTTGACCTGACGGAAAGCTTCTTGCAGTAGAGGACAAGTGAACAGTTTTTTGTCAGAGTCTCTGCTGCTGGATGAGCTCTCAGGTTGCTCAGAGACCCCGAAGTCTCCCATTGAGCACTGCTGTTCACCCCTTCCCTTTCCTTTTTCTTTCTTTTTTTTTTTTGAAATGGAGTCTTGCTCTGTCACCCAAGCTGGAGTGCAGTGTCACAATCTTGGCTCACTGCAACCTCTGCTTCTTAGGTTCAAGATATTCTCCTGCCTCAGCCTCCTGAGTAGCTGGGATTACAGGTGCCCAAAACCACACCCGGCTAATTTTTGTATTTTTAGTAGAGATGAGATTTCACCATATTGGCCAGGCTGGTCTTAAACTTTTGACCTTTTGATCTCAGCCTCCCCAAGTGCTGTGATTACATGCATGAGCCACTGTGCCCAGCACCCCTTCCTTTCTTATCTGATGCTGTAAAATCCCCTTCCTTGTCTCTTCCTCTTTTCCATGCCTATTGGGGCAAAAAACAAAACAAAACAAAAAACTGGCCATATATATGGGTTCCAATTTTGCAAATAATTTGAAATCTGTTGTCTCCTGTAGGTTAAAACAATAATTAATGTGCTTGTTTAAGTGTGTACACAGGTATTTTGGTGTATGTTAGGTCTAACATGCTATCAAATTGGCTTATAAATTAAAGAGGACTCATAAATTTCTAAACATATTATAAAAAGAATGTTGTGTCTCCTAAAATGTAACATAAATATTTTTACCGAGGTAAATTATTAATGTCTTAGATTTTAAAATGGTTGAAATGGTTTTAAATGGGGACTAGCTCTGTGTGGTATCTTGTTTTTTGGAGGTTGTCTACATAAAAGTGTTGTAAGTGAAAAAGTTAAACACATATGAATAGAACAGATGCTTAAATAGTGAGTTTTTGTATAGTTAAAAATCTTAAAATTATCAAATGATTTTCATCTATAGAATTCCAATGCCTGGTGGACAGTTCAGGACTTCTTGCTTCCTAGGTTTTATATAAAATGTCCCAAGGAAATGTATTCTTTATTAGGAAAATGATTTCTGTCTAATTCCAAAGTTATTAAAATGGAAGTTCAAAATATGATGAGATCAGTGGTAGAAAAAAGAGATATTGAGAATTTTATGAATAGAAAATGTGATTTTTTTTTTTGCTAGGAAGAATATATGAAGAAGGAGTAATTTGTTATAAGGATGGATACTTACAGTAAACTCTCGTTCTAGAGTAGAAAGATTGGTTTTAAGAAAGAGGTAGTATAAGAGAAGTCAGAAAGTCCAAACATGTTGTATATGATCCGTGTAAGTTGTGATAAGGTTCATAAAGTGGAATTTATAAAAGTAATTTTGTGTGTGATTAAGCTAACTATACCTAAAAGGAAATTGTTTATAACAGTCTCTCTTAAAAAAAAAAGTTATATGTGTTAAAACCAAACTTTCTTGACATTAATTTTCTAAATTGCCAATTTTACTTTTCAATCTTTTAATCTATTTCTTTTTTAAAAAAATTGTCAGATTTATATAACTCTCCTTTAGCTTTTTGTCAGCTCCTGTGAGTTTTTCTCTGATTTTCATTGTTTTTATTGCCTGGTGCTAAGGTGTTTTGTCTTAATTTTATGCCTACATTCACAAGGTTCCCCAACATAAAAATAAAACATTGCTCTTCTCCACAAGGGAAAGAAATGGTTCCCTGTTCAACCAAAAGAGTTAGTTTTACTAAAAAGAAGAATCCTTGTTGATCAATTTCAATAAAATTGTAATTTCCACTGGGTATTGTTAAATATCATCCCCACTGTTACACATCAGAAAATAACTACTTAGATAGACCTATCAATGATTAAACCTGTTTCTTATGAGTCATAGCCACAGAAGGAGGATGCCACAATCTATCTCAGCAAACCTCAGGAAAACTTTCCTTACCTGTTTTAAAGAATCAGCACTCAGCCAGAGTGGTAATGTGCTGCTGCGTGTGGGAATAGAGACATTATTTTCATGTCTTCATGACTGTAATACTTCTTTTCTATCACTTTAGCCAGCCACCTCTTCCTGGGAAATGCCTCTCTTCTTCTTAGATGTTGAGACCACCTAAGGCTCAAACAGACACTATGCTACCACTGTTAGTGTTCTATGCTGTCTCAATTATCTTGATTCAGGGTGGGTGGAAACTGCCAAGACCAGCTTAGTCATGGAGACCCTAACTTAGTGGTGCTAGAGGAATTAAAGACACACAGAAATATAGCCATGTGGAATGGGAAAATCAGGAGACCCACAGCCTTCAGAACTGAGAGCCCTGAACAGAGATTTACCCACATATTTATTGACAGCAAGCCAGTGATAAGCATTATTTCTATAGATTATAGATTAAAAGTATTCCTTATGGGAAACAAAGGGACAGGCCAAAACAAAGAGATTGGCTTTTGCTAGTTATCTGAAGCAGAAACATGTCCTGAAGGCACAGATCGCTCATGTTATTGTTTGTGGTTCAGGAACACCTTTAAGCAGTTTTCTGCCCTGGGTGGGCCAGGTGTTCCTTGCCCTCATTCTGGTAAACCCACAACCTTCAATGTGGGCATCATGGCCATAATGAACATGTCACATTGCAGCAGAGATTTTGTTTATGGCCAGTTTTGGGCCCAGTTTATGGCCAAATTTGGGGGCCTGTTCCCAACAGACAGAAAACTTTAGAATAAATATTTCAAAAAATTGTAGTGACAGGAAATCATTTTTATGGTTGCTAGGTTTGTTATTAGCATCCCCAGGATAGAGAGTTCTATCTTCTGACCTATTAAAAACATCTCATAGCCATGTTCCCAGATTTCCTAACTAACCAGAGTGATCCCAGAGCACACAAACCTTTAGTACTTAAGTGGAAATCTCCCTAACTTAATGGCTTCTACCTGAAACCCTCCCCACCACCATTACTTGTATCTGGAAAATTAGGTATTTATATCTCCAGTGCAGTAATGATTCTTTTGCACCAATGTTGTCTCATTAAAACAAAAGTAGAAGCTTCTCTGTGATGCTCTGATCCAAATATAGGTGACCAGTTTGCAAGGCCACAGTGTAGTAAATGGAATTCCACTTGTGAGGAGACCATATGCAGTGCCTTCTCCCAGAGTTAGAAAATACAAGTGAAAAACAACTACTTATTATGGGAACATGAGAGTATTGCCCTCGTTAAAAAAAATAAATAAAAATTGTTACAGCACTCCCAGTGAAATGAGAAAAATATCTTTATGGATTCAACTTGGCCTAGCAAAGGATTAGCATCACACCCTGCAGGCCATCTTTTTATATCCCAATTTGGCTCCTTTTTCTTTGTGGCCATGAATAGGAAGGAGTCATGCTTTGTGACTACTTCCAGCTGCCTGGGGAGTCACATGTTCTTTTAGATGTAGCTTTCACTTATATTTGAAAACTTCAAACAGAGGAAAATGTAATTGGCTACCTTTGCCCCTCTGGGTGTCATTGTCTGTTACCCCATAGGACCTTAGAAAACCAAAAGTAAGCAAGCAATAGGGTTAATTCTGGCAGAAATTAAGGCAGCAATACGACTAGTGGCACACTGGGGTTGCTTTGCTTGCCTCAAGATAACTCTCAAGAACTTTATTTAAATCCTTTAGATTCTAAATCCTAGAATCCTTAGCCACCAACAAAAATCAGGCACTACAGGGAATTCAAGAGTGCTTAGACTCTTTGGCAAATGTAGTTCTTGATAATGGAGTACTGTTGGATTGTTTACTGACATGACAAACTGAAGTCTGTGAAGTTAAAAAACTGCTGCACATATATTAACAACTCTGAACAGGTTAAGGTTAACATTCAAAAGATCTATGAGCATGCTACCTGGTTACATAGATATAACCAGGACACTGACCCCAAATATGTCATGTTAACTGTCAAAAATCACTTTCCTAGTCTCACCTGGACTTTACATCTCCTAGGACCTTTGATAGCTGTCTTGCTGTTACAATTCTTGACCCTTACTTCTTTAACTTCTTAGTAAAGTTTATGTCTTCTAGATTATAACAGTTCCAAGTAAAGGCAATGCAGGCACAAACCTGCCAAACAACCCTGCCTGCTGTCTGAGAGTTTCCTGAAAGTTTTCTGCTTCCAGGCCCCTTAAATTAGGTATCCAGTGAGTTTTGCTTCTCTGAGAGTAGACAGGGTCTACATCCATAAACGCAGCAGGAAGCAATTACAGAAGACAGACCCCTGCCCTTCTGTAGCCCCTTTAAGATTAAGGAGGAGTTTCTAATCTCTGGAGAGGGAATGAGGCAAGAGGCAGGACTAGAATCCAGAGGCTCAGGCACTGGACCAAGTTAAGGACTAGCTAAAACAGGGATGGGGCAGAAGCAGTCTTCCATAACATATGACCCCAGTGTGCAATATCAGTTTACCATTGCCATGGCAATGGGACTGGGACATATCACCTCTTTTCAGGGCAGTGACCAGATGACCCAAAAGTTACTATCACTTCCTGGGAAATGTCTGTATAAACCACTTCTTCATGTACATGTAATAAAAAGTAGATATAAATATAACTGCAGAACTGCCACTGAGCTGCTACTCTCAGCATACTGCCTATGGGGTACCCCTGATCCATGAGGATCAATACTTCGGCTGCTACTGTGCACTGCCACTTAAATAAAAGTTGCTGTGTAAAACCACTGGTTTGCCCTCGAATTCTTCCCTGGGAAAAGCCAAGAACTCTCTTGGGTAAACCACAATTGTGGGGCTTACCTGCCCTTGAATTAGTATTACTTTAGGTCTCTTTTCATTAGTGATTTATTTGGATATGCTTTTCCTCTTGTTTAGCCTACTTAGGGGTATATCAATTTTATTTATTTACTTGAGCCACCAACTTATTTTTTCATAACTTATTTCTATTTTCTTTGCTTTTACTATGTTCTTTTTACTTGTGTTAATTTTGTTTGCTTTGTTTTGGCTTTCTTAGTTTCTTAAGGTGCATGGTTAGGTGATTTATTTGAAACCTTTCCATATTTTTGATGTAGGTAATAATTGCTGTAATCTTCCTTCTTACCACTGTTGTTATATTACCATGTTTTGCATAGTTTCCACAGTTTCTTTTCATGTTAATTTCTAGTTTTACTTCACTGTGGTCAGAGAAGATACTTCATGTAGTTTGAATTGAAAAATTTTTGTGCAGACTTGTTTTGTGGCCTAACATGTGGTCTATACTTTGTAAAGTGCCAGGTACTAAAGGGAGGAGAGTATATTTTGCAGTTGTTGGGCCTAATGTTCTACAATTATTTCTTAAGTTTATTTGGTTTAGAGTTCAACTTACATCCATTTATTTCATTAACTTTTGTCCAATGATTTGTCTAATGCTGACAGTCGGGTTTTGCATTTTTAAACTGTTTTTGACTTAAAGTTTGTTTTCAGTGACATAAATGTAGCTACCTCTGCTTGCTTGTTGTTTTAATTTTTACATCCCTCCGTCTTCAACTGGGTGTTTTTGTATGTGAAAAGAGATTTTTACAGGTTTCAGAAAATTGCATCATGTTTTATTTCCATTCAGGTAGTATATATATTTTTAAGTGAAATATTTAATTCACTTATGTCTAAGGTTATTATTGATCTATGAGTTTTGTTAGCACTATGTTGTAAATTGTTTTCTAATTGTTTTGTTCTCCAGTTTTTCTCTTACTGATTTTCATTCTGGTTTGGTATTTTAGTGTAATGGGATGTGTTGAGTTCTTTATTTTTTTCATTTGTGTGTTTTACTTACCTATGAGTTTTAAACTTTTTGGTGTTATCATGATAATAAATATTATAAATATTTTTCTTTCTCTTCCACATGTAACACTCTGTTTTGCATTTCTTATAGGGACAGTCTAAAGAAGATAAACTCTTACATCCTTTTTTTTTTTTTTTTTTTTGAGACAGGGTCTTGCTGTATCATGCAGGATGAAGTGTAGTGGCATGATCTCAGCTCACTGCAACCACTGTCTCCCAGATTCAAGCAATTCTCCTGCCTCAGCCTCACAAGTCCTGGAACTACAGGAAGGTGCCACCGTGCTTGGCTAATTTTTGTATTTTTGGCTACTTTTTGTATTTTTAGTAGAGTCAGAATTTCACCAGGTCAGCCAGGCTGGTCTCAAACTCCTGATGTCAAGCGATCTGCTTGCCTCCTCCTCCTAATATGCTGCTATTACAGGCATGAGCCACTCTACCCAACTGTACATTGCTTATTTGCTTGACAAAAGCTGTTCATACTTTATTTATAAATATTTGTTTTGCTGGATATCATATCCTTGGGTGGTAATTTTTTATTTTATTTTATTTTTTATTCCAAGCACTTTGAATATATCATTTTATATTCTCCAGCTTGTAAGGTTTCTGCTAAGCATTCCACTTTTGGCCTAATGAGATTTCCTTTATAGGTGACTAAATGAGTGTACTTATCTTACTGTCTTTTGCTTTGACTTTAGACAGTTGTGCTATAGAATTTAATCTTTCTGAATAATATCTCTTTGGGGATCTTCAGGCCACTTGTATTTGGGTGCCTAGATTTTTTGCCTGACTTCAAAAATTTACATAGAATTTTTTTAAATAGGTTTTTAAATCATTTTATTTTCTCTTTGCCCTTTGTTACACAAATAATGCCGATATTTATTTTCTCTAGGTTTTCTCAAATGTCATAAATTCTTTCCTCAATCTCTTTTAGCTTCAAGTCTTCCAAAAGACTTTAAGTTTTGAGATTCATCTGCTTGATATACTCTATTGTTGAAAATTTTGGACATTATTTTTAATTCAATGAGTTCTTTACTTTCAGTATTTGTTTCTTTGTTTTATGTTAAAAAACTCTCTAGTAAATTTCATACATATATTCTCAATTGGTTTTCTGATTTCTATGTCTTATTTTTCACAACATGTATCTCAAAAGCTTCTATAAAATCAGCCATTTGAATTACTTATCTGGAAGATAATTATTACTATTAGTTATTGTTATAGATTTGGTGTGTACAAGTGTACTTTTCTTACATGGATATATTGCATAGTGCTGAAGTCTGGGCTTTCAGTGTACTCACCATCTGAATAGTGAATATTGAACACAATAGGTAGTATTTCATCATTCATCCCCTTCCCAAATTCTTATCTTTTGGAGCCTTCAACATTTATTATTCCACTCTGTGTGTCCATGTGTACTCATTTATTAGCTTCCACTTAAAATAAAAAATGTGTAGCATGTGGCTTTTGTCTCCTCCTCATTTCATTAGAACAATGGCATTCCTTCCATCTATATTGCTGCAAAACACATAGTTTCATTCTTTTATTATGACTGGGTACTCTTCCCTGATGTGGGTATGTTTGTAACATATTAAAATCCAATTATTTATTAAGAGATGTCAGGCTGATTTTATAACTTTACTATTCTGAATGGTGCAGTTGTCTTTGTGACATAATGATTTCTTTACTTTTGGGTAGATATTCAGGAGTGAGATTGATGAATTGAAGGATTGCTTTATTTGCAGATTTTTCAGGAGTTCTCTGTTTTATTTTCCACAGAGAATGCACTAAACTCCAACAACTGCTGTATATGCATTTTCTTTCTTTCATATGCTTGCCAATATTTATTGATTTTTGACTAATAATAATGAATGTTCAAACTGGTGTAACATAGTATTTCATCATGATTTTAATTTGGATATCTCTGACAGTTAATGATGCTGAGCATTTTATTTATTGGTCACTTGTATATCTTCTTTTGAAAAAGAATGTTTGTTTTCCTTGACTACTTTTTTTTAAATTATACTTTAAGTTCTAGGGTAAATGTGCAAAAGTGCAGTTTCTTTACATAGGTATACACGTGTCAGGTTAGTTTGCTGCAAACATTATTTCATCATTTACATTAGGTATTTCTCCTAATGCTATCCCTCCCCCTGTCCCCTACCCCACAACAGGCCCCAGGGAGTGATTTTCCCCAGCCTGTGTCCAAGTATTCTCATTGTTCAATTCCCACCTATGTGTGAAAACATGCAGTGTTTGGTTTTCTGTCCTTGTGATAGTTTGCTGAGAATGATGGTTTCCAGCTGCATCTATGTCCCTGCAAAGGACATGAACTCATCCCTTTTTATGGCTGCACAGTATTCCATGGTGCATATGGACCACATTTTCTTAATCCAGTCTATAATTGATGGACATTTGGATTGGTTTCAAGTCTTTGTTATTGTGAATAGTGCTGCAACAAACATATGTGTCCATGTGTCTTTATAGTAGCATGATTTTTAATCCTTTGGGTATATACCCAGAAATGGGATTGCTGGGTCAAATAGTATTGCTAGTTCTAGATCCTTGAGGAATCACCACACTGTCTTCCACAATGGTGGAAGTAGTTTACACTACCACCAACAGTGTAAAAGTGTTCCTATTTCTCCACATCCTTTCCAGAACCTGTTGTTTCTTGGCTTTTTAATGATTGCCATTCTAACTGGTGTGAGATGGTATCTCATTGTGGTTTTGATTTGCATTTCTCTGATGACCAGTGATGATGAGCAGTTTTTCATGTGTCTGTTGGCTGCATATATGCATTTTTTGAGAAGTGTCTGTTCATATCCTTTGCCCACTTTTTTTTTTTTTTTTATACTCTTAAGTTTTAGGGTACATGTGCACATTGTGCAGGTTAGTTACATATGTATACATGTGCCATGCTGGTGCGCTGCACCCACTAATGTGTCATCTAGCATTAGGTATATCTCCCAATGCTATCCCTCCCCCCTCCCCCGACCCCACCACAGTCCCCAGAGTGTGATATTCCCCTTCCTGTGTCCATGTGATCTCATTGTTCAATTGCCACCTATGAGTGAGAATATGCGGTGTTTGGTTTTTTGTTCTTGCGATAGTTTACTGAGAATGATGGTTTCCAATTTCATCCATGTCCCTACAAAGGATATGAACTCATCATTTTTTATGGCTGCATAGTATTCCATGGTGTATATGTGCCACATTTTCTTAATCCAGTCTATCATTGTTGGACATTTGGGTTGGTTCCAAGTCTTTGCTATTGTGAATAGTGCCGCAATAAACATACGTGTGCATGTGTCTTTATAGCAGCATGATTTATAGTCCTTTGGGTATATACCCAGTAATGGGATGGCTGGGTCAAATGGTAAACCTTTGCCCACTTTTTGATCGTTTTTTTTTCTTGTGAATTTGTTTAAGTTCTTTGTAGATTCTGGTTATTAGCCCTTTGTCAGATCCCATTCTGTAGGTGGCTGTTCACTCTGATGGTAGTTTCTTTTGCTGTGCAGAAGCTCTTTAGTTTAATTAGATCCCATTTGTAAATTTTGTCTTTTGTTGCCATTGTTTTTGGTGTTTTAGTCATGAAGCCTTTGCCTATGCCTATTTCCTGAATGACATTGCCTAGGTTTTCTTCTAGGGTTTTTATGTGTTTAGGTCTAATATTTAAGTATTTGATCTATCTTGAATTTGTTTTTGTATAAGGTGTAAGGAAGGGATCCAGTATCAGCTTTCTACATATGGCTAGCCAGTTTCCCCAGTACCAGTTATTAAATAGGGAATCCTTTCCTCATTTCTTGTTTTTGTCAGGTTTCTCAAAGATCAGATGGCTGTAGATGTGTGGTGTTATTTCTGAGGACTCTGCTTTGTTCCATTGGACTATATATCTCTTTTGGTGCCAGTACTATGCTGTTTTGATTACTGTACCTTGTAGCATAGTTTGAAGTCAGGTAGCCTGATACCTCCAGCTTTGTTCTTTTCACTTAGGATTGTCTTGGCAATGCAAGCTCTTTTTGGTTCCATTTGAACTTTAAAGTAGTTTTTTCCAATTCTGTGAAGAAACTAATTGGTAGCTTGATGGGAATGGCATTGGATCCAAAAATTGCCTTGGGCAGTGTGGTCATTTTCACTATATTTATTCCTTCTATCCATAAGCATGAAATGTTCTTCCATTTGTTTGTGTCCTCTTTTATTTCGGTGAGCAGTGGTTTGTAGTTCTCCTTGAAGAGGTCTTTCACATCCTTTTAAGTTGGATTCCTAGGCATTTTATCCTCTTTGTAGCAATTGTGAATGGGAGTTCACTCATGATTTGTCTCTCTATTTGGTATTGGTGTATAGGAATGCTTATGATTTTTTCACATCGATTTTGAATCCTGAGACTTTGCTGAAGTTGCTTATCAGCTTAAGGAGATTTTGGGCTGAGATGATGGGGTTTTCTAAATATATAATCATCTCATCTGGAAACAGAGACAATTTGACATCAAGACCCTTTATTTCTTTCTCTTGCCTGATTGCCCTAGCCAGAACTTCCAACACTGTGTTTAATAGGAGTGGTGAGAGAAGGCATCCTTGACTTTTGCTGGTTTTCAAAGGGAATACTTCCAGTTTTTGAACATTCAGTGTGATTTTGACTGTGGGTTTGTCATAAATAGCTCTTATTATTTTGAGATACATTCAATCAATACCTAGTTTATTGAGATTTTTAGCATGAAGAGTTTTTGAAAGTTGTTGAAGGCCTTTTCTGCATCTATTGAGATAATAATGTGGTTTTTGTCTTTGATTCAGTGTATGTGATGGATTACATTTATTGTTTTGTGTATGTTGAACCAGCCTTGCATCCCAAGCATGAAGCCAACTTGATAGTGGTGGATAAGCTTTTGGATGTGCTGCTGGATTCGGTTTGCCAGTATTTTATTGAGGATTTTTGCATCTATGTTCATCAGGGATATTGGTCTAAAATTCTCTTTTTTTTGCTGTGTCTCAGCCAGGCTTTGGTATCAGGATGATGCTGGCCTCATAAAATGAGTTAGGGAGGATTTCCTCTTTTTCTATTGATTGGAATAGTTTTGGAAGGAAAGGTACCAGCTCCTCTTTCTACGTTTGTTAGAATTTGGCTGTGAATCCATCTGGTCCTGGACATTTTTTGGTAGGTAGGCTATTAATTATTGCCTCAATTTCAGAGCCTGTTATTGGTCTATTCAGAGATTCAACTTCTTCCTGGTTTAGTCTTGGGTGGGTGTATGTGTCCCGGAATTTATCCATTTCCTCTAGATTTTCTCATTTATTTGCATAGAGGTGTTTACAGTATTCTCTGATGATAGCTTGTATTTCTGTGGGATCAGTGGTAATATCCCCTTTATCATTTTTTATTGCATCTGTTTGATTCTTCTCTCCTTTCTTCTTTATTAGTCTTGCTAGTGAGTTATTTCTTGTCTTCTGCTGGCTTTTGAATTTGTTTGCTCTTGCTTCTCTAGTTCTTTTAATTGTGATGTTAAGGTGTCAAATTTAGAGTTTTCCTGTTCTCTCTTGTTGGCATTTACTGCTATAAATTTCTCTCTACACCCTCCTTTAAATATTTCCCCAACATTCTGGTACATTTTGTCTTTGTTCTCATGGTTTCAAAGAACATATTTATTTCTGCATTCATTTTGTTATTTATCCAGTAGTCATTCAGGATCAGATTGTTCAGTTTCCATGTAGTTGTGCAGTTTTGAGTGAGTTTCTTAATCCTGAGTTCTAATGTGATTACACTGTGGTCTGAGGGATGGTTTGTTGTGATTTCTGTTCTTTTATATTTGCTAAGGAGTGCTTTATTTCTAACTATGTGGTCAATTTTGGAGTAAGTGTGATGTGGTGCTGAGAACTATGTATATTCTGTTGATTTGGATGAAGAGGTCTGTAGATGTCTATTAGGTCTGCTTGGTGCAGAGCTGAGTTCAAGTCCTGGATATCCTGATTAACCTTTTATCTCATTTTTCTGTCTAATATCCACAGTGGTGTGTTAAAATTTCTCATTACTATTGTGTGGGAGTCTAAGTCTCTTTGTAGGTCTCCAAGGACTTGCTTTATGAATCTGGGTGCTCCTGTGTTGGGTGCATATATATTTAGGATAGTTAGCTCTTCTTGTTGAATTGATCCCTTTACCATTATGTAATGGCCTTCTTTGTCTCTTTTGATCTTTGTTGGTTTAAAGTCTGTTTTATCAGATACTAGGATTGCAACCCCTGCCTTTTTTTGTTTTCCATTTGCTTGTCGATCTTCCTCTATCCCTTTATTTTGAGACTACCTGTGTGTTTGCACATGAGGTGGGTCTCCTGAATACAGCACACTGATGGGTCTTGACTCTATCCAATTTGCAGTCTGTGTCTTTTAGTTTGGGCATTTAGGCCATTTACATTTAATGTTAATATTTTTATGTATGAATTTGATCCTGTCTTTATAATATTAATTGGTTATTTTGGCCATTAGTTGATGCAGTTTCTTCCTAGTATTGATGGTCTTTACAATTTGGCATGTTTTTGCAGTGTCTGGTACTGGTTGTTCCTTTCCATGTTTAGTGCTTCCTTCAGGAGCTCTTGTAAGGCAGGCCTAGTGGTGACAAAATCTCTCAGCATTTGCTTGTCTGTAAAGGATTTTATTTCTCCTTCACTTATGACTCTTTGTTTGGCTGGATATAAAATTCTAGGTTGAAAATTCTTTTCTTTAGGAATGTTGAATATTGGAACCTACTCTCTTCTGGCTTGTAGAGTTTCTGCCAAGATATCTGCTGGTAGTCTGATAGGCTTCCTTTTATGGGTAACCTGACCTTTTTCTCTGGCTGCCCTTACTAATTTTTTCCTTCATTTCAATCATGGTGAATCTGAAAGGCATATGGGTTGCTCTTCTTGAGGAGTGTCTTTGTGGTGTTCTCTGTAATTCCTGAATTTGAATGTTGGCCTGCCTTGCTAGGTTTGGGAAGTTCTCCTGGATAGTATCCTGAAGGCTGTTTTCCAACTTGGTTCCATTCTCCCCATCACTTTCAAGTACACCAATCAAACATATATTTGGTCTTTTCACAAAGTCCCATATTTCCTGCAGGCTTTGATCATTTCTTTTTACTCTAATCTTGTCTTCTCACTTTATTTCATTAATTTGATCTTCACTGATATCCTTTCTTTCACTTGACTGAATCAGGTATTGAAGGCAGTGCATGCATCATATAGTTCTTGTGCCATGGTTTTCAGCTCCATCAGGACATTTAAGGTCTTCTCTACACTGTCTATTCTAGTTAACCATTTGTCTAATCTTTTTTCAAGGTTTTTAGCTTCTTTGCAATGGGTTCAAACATTCTCCTTTAGCTCAGAGAAGTTTGTTATTACTGACTTTCTAAAGCCCACTTCTTTCAGCTTGTCAAACTCATTCTCTATGCAGCTTTGTTCTATTGCTGGCAAGGAGCTGCAATACTTTGGAGGAGGAGATGCACTCTGGTTTTTAGAATTTTTAGCTTCCCTGCTCTGGTTTCTCCCCATCTTTGTGGTTTCATCTGTCTTCATTCCTTGATGTTGGTGATCTACGTATGGGATTTTGTTGTGGATGTCCTTTTTGTTGATGTTGATGCTATTCCTTTGTGTCTGTTAGTTTTCCTTCTCACAGTGAGGTCCCTCAGCTGCAGGTCTCTTGGATCTTGCTGGAGGTCCACTCCAGACTCTGTTTGCCTGGGTATCACCAGTGCAGGCTGCAGAACAGCAAATATTGCAGAACAGCAAAAATTGCTGCCTGATCCTTTCTCCGGAAGCTTCATCCCAGAGAGGCACCCAGCTGTATGAGGTGTCAGTCAGCCACTACTGGGAGGTGTCTTCCAGTTAGGCTACATGAGGGTCAGGGACCCAATTGAGGAGGCAGTCTGTCCATTCTCTGAGCTCTAACAGCATGCTGGGAGAACCATTGGTCTCTTAAGAGCTGTCAGACAGGGACACTTAAGTCTGCAGAAGTTTCTGCTGCTTTTTGTTCAGCTATGCTCTGCCCTCAGGGGTGGATTCAATGGAGGCAGCAGGCCTTGCCATACTGCAGTGAGCTCCACCCACTTCGAGCTTCCTCAGACACTTTGTTTACCTACTCAAGCCTCAGCAATGGTGGACAACCCACCACCTGCCCAGCTGCTGCTTTGCAGGTTGATCTCAGACTGCTGCACTAGCAGTGAGCAAGGCTTCTTGGGCATGGGACCCACTGATCTAGGCATGGGACCCACTGATCTAGGCATGGGATATAATCTCCTGGTTTGCCATTTGCTAAGACCATTGGAAAAGTGCAGTATTTGGGCAGGAGTGTCCCATTTTTTCCAAGTACCATCTGTCATGGCTTCCCTTGGCTAGGAAAGGGAAATTCCTCAACCCCTTCTGCTTCCTGTGTGAGGTAATGCCCAACCCTGCTTTGGCTCACCCTCCATGGGCTTCAACCACTGTCCAACAAGTCCAGTGAGATGAACCATGTACCTCAGTTGGAAATGTAGAAATCAAACATCTTCTGCATGAATCACAGCTGCAGACTGGAGCAGTTCCTATTGGCCATCTTGGAACAGAATCTCCCTCTGACTACTTTTTAATGGGATTAAAAAAATTTTTTTTCTCAGTGGTTTAAATGGAAAGACCTCTTTTCCAGCTCTAAACTTTTTCTTCTGCCTGGTCTAGCATATTGTTAAAGTTGTCAACTCTATTTGTAATTTCTTCAATACATTTTTATTTCCAGAAGTTTTGGGTTTTTTATTAATAATATGTATTATTTTTCGGATTTCTTTGTGTTAGTTTTTAACTTTATCTTGTATTTCATTAAGCTTCCTTACAATCTATATTTTCAATTTTCTATCTGTCATTTTGGGACTTTAAATTTTGATTAGAGTACACATTGTTAGAGAGTAGGTATGATCTTTTGGTTGTGTCATAACACACTGATTTTTCCTACCATCAGGATTCATATTATGGTTTCTTTTCATCTAGGCAAGCTGTAATTTTTTTATATATTTCTATTTACTTTTGTTTGGATAAGATGTCATTTTCTCACTTTAGAGCATGATTGTCACGTATGTTGTGTATGGTCATTTGGTTTCTATCCTATGTGCTGTTTCAGCAAAGGCTACTGGATGAATTTTTTGCTTATAGGTAGCTTTCATGAAGTGGCTTCCATAAATGTTGGTTGTAATAATGATGCACGCAGCGTATAAGCAGGGTCACTGCCTTCTGTAAAACTGGGGTTGTGAAGGTCTTAGAAAGCTGATTTTATTCCTTACCATTGTGTTTTTTTGTCAGCACGTTTTATATTGAATTGTAGAGTTTAACCTCCATGCTGGTAGGTGGTGCTTATAGGGAAGAGCCATTGTGGCAGAAGCAGATGGGATCTGCTTGATCTTTGTTTACTGGGAGGTGTTTTCTCTTGTTCCTGGTGATGCACTTGTTTGTGGAATATATGGTGTTATGAATTTCCTGTTCAAGGCATGCAGGGGTGGGGAGAAAGTCAGCTGGACCTGGATTTCTATACTTGTCTTTTAATGTCCCAATGTCAAGTAAAGGCACCAGCTATAATCGGGGGGACAGGCAAACTCCTGATGAGTGGAGGACACCACCAGCAGGGGGACTGCATCGGCTCCACGTTCTCAGAAAGCAGAAATGTGGTTGATTCTCTGTATCTCCCCTGTCCCAGGGCTCCTGACTGTCAGTTCAAGCAGAAACTGACATCTACTTCCAGGGCACAATGTAGCATACCATGAAAAATACCTGCCCTGTTGTTCTCTGCAGAAATGGCTCCAAGGTAAAATGTCTTTCCTTAGCCCAATACAGACAGAGATGTTGTTCTATTTTTCAATGCAGATATGCTGTTGCTTCATGCAGAGAGGGAGAAGACCGCCATTTTTTGGTATGTGTGAATGTGTGTCAGCTATGTGATATGAGCTTGTTGGGTTTGCCTGATGTCAGACGCTAGTAGAGGCAATCAGGTGCCAGTCGTGGTGGACTAGGTTAGGCAATCTTCCAGTTTCTACCCTAGATGACCCTCTGGATGGTATGCAGAAGTCCTAGAGGGACATAATTGGGACTGAGTTTTCCTAAGATACCCAGGGTTTAGGTGATGTCTGTAATGGGAATGGATAGACTAATTCTCAGGACACTGACAGAAAGCTCAGGCATGGTCAGGGTGCCTGTGCTGTGGACATGGCACCAGAGAATGCAGGCCCCACCCAAGGGAGGCAAACATCTCTGAGCCATGTAACCTGCTCACACCTCCATCCAACAACAACAGCAGTATCTGACCCTGGCACACACAAAGGCATCCAGTCTCTTTGCTCTCTGCTCAGACTGGTGGTGGGAGCAGTGTTACAGCTGGCAGCCCTAGGGCACACTGGAAGCATTTGGGGCCCAGGATCTCAGAATGGCCCAAGGATGCAGTTAAAATGCTTGGTGGGTTGGGGGGTGGGGGTGGTACTAAACAGCTGTTCTGAAAGTCTGCTACCAGTGAAGGTGGTCCCCTCTTAGTGAGACCTATGAGATGTGCACCCTGTTTATGGAAATCTGCCATCAAAGAAGGCAGGTCTCTCTCAGTGGGAGCAGTGGAGGGAGACAGCTATGAGACTCACAGTTTTCTCATGCCCTTATCTCACAACCGTAGCAACAAAATGAATTGCTGATGAATATGAAGCTACCCGGGCTCTCAACTTTCTCTTCAGCCTGGCAACAATGGCAAGGGCAGCAGTGAAAGCCCCTGGAAGGCCACAGGACTCCAGGGTCTGAACTCTTAGGATTGCAGCAGTTTGCTGCTGAAAAAGTTAAGTAGGGGAAAGGATTCTGTGTTGCAGGCCCATCAACAGAGAAGGCTGGCCTCCTTGGTGGAAATAGTGGAGGCAGGCATAATTGGTGTCCAGTTCACGAATTCCTCCATCCTCCAGCATCAGGGTTGGTATCTGTCCTTCAGGCTTGCAAAGGAGCTCAGTCTCCCTACTCCCTCCCTGGTTCAGTGGTGGCAGCCACAGTGACTTTGCTGGTGGCAGTGGCCTCAGGGAAGAATGCAGGTCTCTTGGGGTCCATGCCATAAGAATGGCACCTGACAGTGGCTGCTTAGGCTTTGAAAGCCTGCCAGGAGTATGCAATAGAGGGGAGACTTAAGAGGCTCTCCCTTAGCTGGGATTGTAAAACTCCAGTAAAACACTGATGTCTCAGGAGTTCATCTCTTACACCTTCCCTGTGTCAGACAGTCTCTCCCAGCTCTTTGCCAATCCTAGCCCAGCAAGCTGCCTGGCTTAACTCTTATTTGCCTTCCATAATTCTCATTGCTTATCTAATTAAATCCAGTGATTTTCTTAAACTATCTGTTTGAAGTGTGAATATTTGCTTGCTGTTTTGATCTTCTCCATGGAAGAGGTGCCATTAGCTGCATCTAGTCAGACATCTTGAACTGGAACAATTAATTATTTGTTTTTACTGGGATCTGTTGCTTGAGAGCTATTGTGTTTCTTTGTGTCATATTTTCTTTTTGAAGGAATATTTTCTTTGTTCTTATGTTGAGATCTGTGCATCTGATGAAACAATCATTTCTTCTAATATTTTAAATTTGCTTTTGTAGGGGAGGATGCTTTTCTGAAGGTGTACACATGTTGTTGGTTTGGTAAGGCACTTTGGCTTTAATTTGGGTTTATGCAGTAGTGTAATCTCTATAAATTTTTGGCTGTAAACAACAGTATCTATGATTTCCTTGGTGACTTAGCATATATTTATTAGTGAAGGCAACAATGACGTTTTGTTGGGGACTGTGATGCCAGGTTGGGCAGTCTTGGTGCTTCAGTGGTAATAGTAAGCTAGTCATGCCTGTCCTTGGATCTTAGAGTGACGTATGCTGGCACTAATGTTAGTGGGTCTAGGTGGGCTGATTCTTCAGCCTCCAAGTGGATTCCTTGGATGACACAGTGGCTGTGGTAGGCCAGGCATGTAGGTAAGTTTCTATGCTCCTGGGCAAATATTATGTAAGTGATGGCAGTAGTGGTGGTAAAAGAATCCACTAAAACCCAAGAAGTCTGTGCTTATCTGGGCAGTCATTACAGCAGGCTGTGTGAATTAGTCTGTTGATAGCAGATGCAGGTAGGTACCAGCTGTAGTGATATTATCAGGTTGGGATGGCCTGATCTCATGCCGCAAGAGAACTGTTCATGTGCCAACAATGGTAGACTGAGTTGGGTAACTTTCAGGCCCAGGGATAATGTGCTCAAGAACCGGGTGGAAAATACCAGGCTGGGGAACTTGCCCTCTGGCACTCTGCTGGTGTTTTTATTTGTTAACTGTGACAGTCAGTGATGGAGTGGTCCCCAGGATGTTGGCAGAATGCTCAGGTGGAGGCAGCAGTGGTCTCACTGAATCAGCTCCAAAGCAGCCCATAACAACAGTAATGGGATTTCTTCACAAGGCATATGAAAGTGGCAGCCTTCACCTCTCTTTACCTGGACTGCTGGTGGCAGTGGCAGCATTAGCCATGGCCCCAGAGCAGAATGCAGCCCTTTGGAGTCTGTACACTCAAATTGCAGTTGGATTTTAAAATACCTTTTTCATCTCCCCCAGTCCCAATGCCAGAGAAGTAGCCTTAACTAGTAATACAGTGAACAGTGAGTTTTACCTCAATCAGGAGAAAAGTCAGCAGATTTAAAGTAGACAGAGAAAACATTTAGAGATAGGCAGAGAATTTAGAAGATTACATGTTAAATTTATAGTTGCGGAGGTTTGGTTTGCTTGTTTAAATAATGACTATTTGAGCTCTGAATTTTTCTTGATGCAATTTGGCCATCAGTTTAAAAATATGTGCTAAAACATGCTGTAATATATAGCTACTTGTAGTCCAAGAAAACCTGTCATGACTTCATGCTTAAGAGTCTTGTTTATTATTTTAAAGTAAAACCCCATGAGAAAGCCCTTCCAATCTAGGGAGATACTTGCAAGTAAGTAAGGGTACTAACTGGAGGTTGGTTGTCCAGTGCCCTTATTGTTTCAGTTTTGGATGGTTTATTTCCTACTGTAAGATATTAGCAAAGCAGAAATGCTAATAACAAATAGCGGGCCATATGTGCTACATTGAGCAGCTATTGCTAATGGCTGTTATTCGCCTTATGTTTTTTTTTCTCTCCCTTTGACTAAGGTAAGTGTGGAGGCTCAGAGGAGGTGGGGTGAACAACTCATATTTGTGCCCCGGGACAAGTTAATTACTAATTATTTGTCACAAGGAGTCCCTTATAGGACCACTGCATATCACAAAGATTATGTCTCTGACATTTTCACGAGACCTCTGGTCACCTGGAGATGGCAAATCAAAATCTGACTGGAATAAGAAAATGCCTTTTGTTTTTGTATTTTTTCCTAGGCTTAAACCTAGGAAATTTTTAATAAGTCATGTGTTGCTGAATCTTATTATAAATTATATTACAAGAAAAAGCAGCAGTACAACCTGGCCAACCAGATTACCTTACATAACTGTTCCTTTCTAGCATCTTTCAGTTAGGAGAATTTAATTTCTTGAGATACAAAAATATTCTGGAAAAACTTTATCTTTTATAAAAGAGTATAAACCACTGGTAAATAAAACTCATGACCATCAATCAAGTGGGAGGTCTGAGATTTTCTCAGGAAGGTTTCATTCAGTCATCTGCAGATATGAAGGAAAAATTGGGGTTCAAAGGGCTGATGTTGGTATCAAAGAACTCAGTTCCTGTAATGTTCCAGATGATCTTGGGATGTGTACTCTGAGGTCCCTGCATGATTGTTAAAATTGTTAGCTATAAAAAAGGGGGGTCTTATATAGAATTAAAGTTAGCTTTTTTTCAGAGTCTTACTGAGCATTGCAATTCAAGAGAGTATTTGCTCCAGGTAAGATTCAGCTCATATCCACCTGTGGTGGCTACAGGGTAAGACTCCTTCTCTTTGAGAAAAGTGAAGGGTAAAGTAAAGGACTTTGTCTAGCACCTTAGGTATCAGCCCAGCCACAGTGGAGTTATGGGGTCTATGATTTCAGGCCTTGGCTCTAGGATGGCATTTCTGGACCTTCTAGGTCCAGAAGAGAGCCCACTGCCATGAAAGGTAAGTCACAGGTTTGGCAGCATTCTCTACTAGTTGACTTAAGACACCTTGGGCCTTAAGGGAACATCAGTGGCAGTCTGACAGTGTTCCATGTGGACCTGTGTTGGTGGTAGCCATGGAGTGAGGTTCCTCTGTCTTTGGAAAGTGGACAGAAGAGAGAGAAGGACTGCAGTTTGTGGTTCAGCTCAGCTGCAGTACAATAAAACACCAGGTAGCCTTTAATATTTTAACATTAGTCCCTGGCTGCTGCGTGGCACCTTTGGAACTGCCTAGGTCATGAATAATTTACCACTCTGAAGGGAAGGACCCAGTACTGGCTGGCTTCATGACCTACTGATTGTAGAGCCCCAGGGCCTTGAGCCACCCTAGGTGGTAGGTAAGAGTGGTTAGAGCAGGCCATGTGTAAGATCCAGTGCCGTGTTGGCGTCTGGTCTGACCCAGCACAATTCTGCTGCTGGTGCCCACAGCAGTCCTTCTGTTATTACACTCCTGGCTCCAAGTGGCTTATGAGAGGAAAAGACACACATACACACACACACACATTCCATTTGGTAAGAAGCAGTGTTTGTGTTATTACTCTCCTGGCTCCAGGTGGCTTATGAGAGGGAAGGACACACAGACACACACACACACACACACACACCATTTGTTTGGTAAAAAGCAAGAGAGGAGAACAAGAGTCTCTGCCTGGAAATCCAGAGAATTCTTCTGTGTCCTGTCTGAGACAATCAGGTGTTACCTCCATAAGTCTGAAAGAACCATAAGACCACAGGACTTGGGGTGACCCCTAAAGCCAATATATGTTAGAACACAATACTCAAGTGTTTTTAAATATCTGGAAGCCTTCCCAAGAAAGAGAGGTACAAATAAGCCCAGACTATGAAGACCATAAGAAATATCTAATTCTGGCCAGGTGCTGTGGCTCATGCCTGTAATCCCAAAACTTTGGGAGGCCGAGGTGGGTGGATCACCTGAGGTCAGGAGTTCGAGACCAGCCTGGCCAGGGTGAAACCGTGAAACCCTGTTTCTGCTAAAAATACAAAAATTAGCTGGGCATGGTGGCAGGCACCTGTAATCCCAGCAACTTGAGAGGCTAAGGCAGGAGAATCACTTGAACCTGGGAGGTGGAGGTTGCAGTGAGCCTACATCATGCCATTGCACTCCAGCCTGGAGGGCAAGAGTGAGACTTTGTCTCAAAACAAACAAACAAAAAAAAGAAATACCTAATTCTTCGATACCCAGATACAGACAAACATACACAAGTACCAAGATGATCCAGGAAACAAGACCTCTCAAAATCAACTAAATAAAGCAACAGAAACCAATCCTGGAGAAACAGATATGTGACCTTTCAGATAATTTAAAATAGCTTTTCTGAGGAAACAAAATATTCAAGATAACATAGGAAAATTCAGAATTCTATCAGATAAATTTAACAAAGAGATTGCAATAACTAAAAATAACCAAACAGAAAATCTGGAGCTGAGAAAATGAGTCTTTAACAGCAGAATTGTTGAAATAGAAAAAAGCATTAGTGAACTTGAAGACAAGCTATTTTAAAATACACAGTCACAAGAGTCAGAAAAAAAAGAAAGAACAATGAAGAATGACAACGTGACTTAGAAAATACATCAGAAGGGCAAATATAAAGGTTATTGGCCTTAAAAAGGAGGTACAGAAAGAAATAGGGATAGAAACTTAATTCAATGGGGGCTTATGCCTGTAATCCCAGCATTTTGGGAGGCCAAGGTGGGTGGATCACCTGAGGTCAGGAGTATGAGACTAGCCTGGCAAACATAGAGAGAAACCCCTTCTTTACTAAAAAATACAAAATTTAGCCAGGTGTGTTGACAAGCACCTGTAGTCCCAGCTACTTTGGAAGCTGAGGTAGGAGAATTGCTTGAACCCAGGTGGTGAAGATTGCAGTGAGTTGAGATTGTGCCACTGCATTCAAGTCTGGGTGTCAGAGTGAGACTCCATCTCTCAAAAGAAAAAAAAATGAAAGTTTATTCAAAAAGATAATAACAGAGAATATCTTAAACCTAGAGGAATATATCAATATCCACATACAAGAAAGTAATAGGATATTAAACTGATTTAACCCAAAGAAGACACCTTAAGGCATATAATAATCAAACTCCCAAAGGTCAAAGATAAAGGAAGAGTTTTAAAAGTAGCAAGAGAAATGACACACAAAAAAACATGCAATGGAGCCCTAATAGTTTCAGCAGTGGACTTTTCAGAGAAAACCTTGTGGGCTGAAATTCTTAAAATGCTGACACAAACAAAACAAACAAATAAAAAATACCTTTCATCGTAGACTGGTATATTCAATGAAAATATCCTTCAAACATGAAGGAGCAATAAAGACTGTCAGAGATGAAAGCTGAGGAATTTCATGAACATCATACCCGTCTTACAGAAAAAAAACATGTTTAAAAGGAGTACTTCAATCAGAAAGCAAATGACATTTATGAGCAATAAGAAATCATCTGACAGTACAGAACCCACTGGTATAGTAAGCATAGAGAAAAACTACAAAATATTATAATATGGTAACTGTGTTGTGTGAATTACTCTTAATTAGAAAGAGTAAACAATGAACCAATCAAAAATAATAACTGCAACAACTTTTCAAGACATAGTCCCTAATACAAAAATAAACAAGAAAAAGTTAAAAGTGAGGTGACAAAGTTAAGGTATAGAGCTTTTATTATTTTTCTTTTGGCTTGTTTGTTTATGCAGAGAGGGTTAAATTGCTATCAGCTTAAGATGTTTGGTTATAAGATAGCATTTGAAAGCCTTATGGTAATCTCAAACCAAAAAACATACAATGGATGTGGATTAAAAAAAGAAATAAACCAAAAACTAAATCATATCACCAGAGAAAATCACCTTCACTGAAAGCAAGACAGGAAGGAAACAAATAAGGAAAGAAGACCATAAAGCAACCACAACACAAATAAGAAAATGGAAAATGGCAAGAGTAAGCACTTAGCCATCAATAATAAAATGGACTGTAAATGAACTAAACTCTACAATCAAAAGACATACAGTGGCTGCATAAATAAAACAATAAGATCTAATGACCTGTTGCTTAAGAAACACAATTTACATACAAAAACACACATAGACTGAAAATGAGGGACGGAAATAGTTATTTCATGCAAGTGGAATCCCCCCACCACCAAAAAAAGAAAAAAGATCAGGAGTCATTATATCAGACAAAATAGATATCAAGACTAAAACTGTAATACGAGACAAAGAGGTTCACTATATAATAATAAAGAAGTAAATTTAACATGAGGATATAACATTTTTAAATATGTATGTACTCAACCCTGGAGCACCTGACATATAAAGCAAAGATTATTATAGCTAGAAAAAGATAACCCCAATACAATAATAGCTGGAGACTTCAACACCTCACTTTCAACATTGGACAGGATTTCCAGACAGAAAATCCATAAAAAACTTTGGACTTAATCTGCACTAGAGACCAAATTGACCTAACAGGTATTTACAGAACCTTTCATCCAATATTCTGTAACATGGATGACCATTTCATCCAATACATTTTTTTCTTAGCACATGGATTATTTTTCAAAGATAGATCACATGTTATTTTACAAAACAAGTCTTGAAACTTTCCAAAAATTGTAATAATATTAAGCATCTTTTCTGACCACAATGGAATATTACTAGAAATAAATAACAGAAGCAGTTTTGGAAACTATACAAATACATTGAAATTGAATAATATACTACTGAATGACCAGTAGGTCAAGAAAAGGATTAAGAAGAAAATTTAAAAATTTCTTGAAACCAATGATAAAGGAAGTATGGCATACCAAAACCTATGAAATGCAGTGAAAGCAGTACTAAGAGTTCTACCATACTAAGTATATGGCTATAATAAGTGGCTACATGAAAAAAGAAGAAAAACTTCAAATAACAACCTACCAATTCCTCCTGAAGAACTAGAAAAGCAAAATCAAAGTGAACCCAAAACTAGCACAAGAAATTATAAAGATTAGAGCATAAATGAAATTGAAATAAAAAATACAAAGAACAATGAAGCAAAAAGATGTTTTTTTTAAAAAAAATACAAAATTGAGAATCCCTTAGCCAGACTAAGAAAAAAAGAGTGAAGATCCAAATAACTCAGAGTTGAAAAAGGAGACATTGAAATTGATTCTGCAGAATCTCAAAGTATCATTACTGGCTACCATGAGCAACTCTATTCCAAAAAGTGGAAAATCTAAAAGAAATAGAAAAATTTCTAGATACATAAAACCTATCATG
Organism: Homo sapiens; assembly: GCF_000001405.40. Classification (NCBI taxonomy): domain Eukaryota; kingdom Metazoa; phylum Chordata; class Mammalia; order Primates; family Hominidae; genus Homo; species Homo sapiens. The sequence goes on from NC_000024.10 coordinate 20,705,866, forward strand.
AAGAATGAATCATGAAGAAATCCAAAACATAAACAAACCAACAACAAATAGTGACATCAAAGCTGTAATAAAAATCCTCCCAGGGAAGAAAAGCCGAGGACCTGATGGCATCATTGCTGAATTTTATCAAACATTTACGGAAGAACTAATACTTATTCTACTCTATTCTGAAAAACAGAGAGGGAGAGAATACTTCCAAACCAATTCTATGAAATCATTACTACTCTGATACCAAACCCAGACAAAGACAAATTAAAAAAAGAAAACTACAGACGAATATGTCAGATAAGCATTGATGAAAAAGTCCTCAATAAAATACTATTATAGCAAACTGAATTCAGTGATACATTTAAAAGATTATTTGTTGTGACCAATTGGGAATTATGTCTGGAATTCCAAGATGGGTAAGAATGCACAAACCAATCAATGCAATATATCATAGTCACAGAATAAAAGACAAAGATAATATGATCATTTAATTCATGCTAAGGAAGCACTTAATGAAATTTAGCATCTCTTCCTGATAAAAATCCTAAAAAAAAAAAAAAAAAAAAAAAAAAACAGGGAATAGAAGAAATAGACCTCAACATAACAAAAGCCACATATGACAGACCCATGGCTAATATCACACTGAGTGAGGTAAAGCTGATCTTTCTCAAAGATTTGGAAAACAACAAGTATGTCTAAAGTCACCATTGTTATTTAACACAGTAAGAGAGGTTCTAACTAGAGCATTCAGGCAAGAGAAAGATAGAGAGGGCATCCAAATTGGAAAGAAAGGTGTCAAATTATCATTGTTTGCAGATGATATTATCTTGTATTTGGAAAAACCTAAAGATTTCACCAAAAAAAAAACTATGAGCACAGATAAGCAAATTCAGTGAAGTTGTTAGATACAAAATCAATATACAAAAATCATTAGCATTTGTTTATGCCAACTGTGAACAATCTGAAAAGGAAATGAAGACTGTAATTTCATTTATAATAGCAATAAATAAATACCTAGGAATTAACTAAAGTGAAAGATTTCTGTAATGAAAACAATTAATCACTGATGAAAGAAATTGAAGATGACATACAAAAAAAAAATAGAAAGATATTCCTTGTTATTGGTTTGGAAGAATCAATATTGTTGCAATGTCCACATTACCCAAAACAATCTGTAGATTCCATGCAAGCCCTATCAAAGTACCAAGAAAATTCTTTATAGAAATAGATAAAGTGATTCTAAAATTTATATGGAAACACAAAAAACCCAGAATAGCCAAACCTTTCCTAAGCCAAACTGAGAAATTACATTAACTGACTTTAAATTATACTGCAGAGATATGGTAACCAAAACAAAATGGTACTGTCATAAAAAACAGACACATAGACCAATAAAACAGAATAGAGAACACAGAAACAAATCCATACACCTATATTGAAGTGATTTTTTGATAAAGATGCCAAGCATATATACTGGGGAAACGATAGTTTCTAATAAATTGTTCCAGGAAAGCTAGATATCCATATTCAGAAAAATGAAAATAGATCCCTAACTCTTGCCATATGCCAAAATCAAATGAAAATAGATTAAATAATCAAGTCTAAGACCTCAGACTATGAAAATACTGGAAGAAAGCATAGAAGAAACTCTCTAGGACATTGATTGGGGCAAAAACTTATGAAGTCATACTCCACAAGCAGTGGCAACCAAAACAAAAATGGTCAAAGGGAATCACACCAAGTTAAAAAGCTTCTTAATGGGTGCAGCACAACAACATGACACATATATATATATGCACCCAACCGGCACGTTGTGCACATGTACCCTAGAACTTAAAGTATAATAATAATAAAAACAACCTTCTGTACAACAAAAGACACTCTTAAAGTGAAGAGACAACCTAAAGAATATAGAAAATACCTGCAAACTACATATCTGACAAGGGATTAATAACTAGAACATATAAGAAACCCAAACAATTCTATAGGAAAAAATCAAATAATCTAATTTTTAAATGGGCAAAATATTGGAATTGCTGTTTCTCAAAAGAAGACATGCAAATGCCAAACCTGCCTATAAAAAGGTGCCAAACATCATTAATCATCAGATAAATGCAAATCAAAACTAGAATGAGATACCATCTTACTCCAGTAAAAATGGTTTATATCCAAAACAAGGGCAATAACAAATCATGGCAAAGATGTGGAGCAAAGGAAAACCTCATAAACTATTGATGTAAATGTAAATTACTACAACCACTAGGGAGAACAGTTTGGAGAGTTCTCAAAAAACTTAAAATAGAGCTACCATATGATTCAGCAATCCCACTGCTGGGCATATATACCCCCTTAAAAGAAAACAAGTACATCAAAGATAACCTGCACTCTCATGATTTTTGCAGCACTATCCACAATAGCTGAAATTTGGAAGCAATTTGTGTCCAACAACAGAAGAATGGATTTTAAAAATGTAGTACATACACCCAACATAGTACTATTCAGCCATAAAAAAGAATGAGATCTAGTCATTTGTAACAACATAGATTGTACTGATTGTAATTATGTTAAGTGAAATAAGTCAGGCACAGAGAGATGAAAATCACATCTTCTCACTTATATGTAGGATTTAAATGTCAAAGCAATTAAACTCATGGGAATAGAAGGTACAAGGCTGGTTACCAGAGACTAGAAAAGGTAGAGAGAATTAGTGGAAAGATGAGTTTGGTTAATGGGTACAAAAAAATAGAATAAATAATACCTAGTATTTGCTAATACAACAGGGTGAATACAGTCAATAATAATTTAACTGTAAATTTTAAAATAACTAAAATAATATAATTAGATTGTAATACAAAGTTTAAATGTTTGAGGGCATAGATATTTCATTATTCCATTCTGATAATGTGATTATTTCATATTACATGTTTGTAATGAAGCATATATCCCATAAATATATACATCTATCATTTACTCACAAAAATTAAAAATATAAAATATTTAAAAAAACACAATGGAATATTTTGCATAATAAAAAACATTGCCCTAAAATTTATATAGTCTCAAGGAACTGTTAATAGCCAAAACACTCTTAAGAAAACAAAATTGGAGGTCTCACATTTCCTTATTTAAAAACCTATCACAAAACAACAGTAATAAAAGGTATTACTTGTGTAAATGTAGTATAAAATAAGTAAAATATATAAAGAACTCACAAATAAGCCTTCTAGTGAGTTGGTTTTTGACAAGAGAGATAAGACAATTTAATGGGGAGAAATAGTTTTTTTTTAACAAATGGTGTTGAGGAAAGTAAGTATTGACAGGGAAAAACAACAAAAATTAAATTCTTACTTTATACCATATATAAAAATTAACTCAAAATCGGTCAAAAACCTAAAGTTAAGGCCTAAATGTGTAGAGTTCTTAGACAAAAATAAGAAAAAATCTTCATGATGCTGAGTACATAACAAAATGAAGGAAGAAATAATGGCATTCTTTGAAACCAATGAGAACAAAAAGACAAAATGCCAGCATCTCTAGGACACAGCTAAAGCAGTGCTTAGAGGGAAACTGATAGCACTAAATGACCACATCAGAAAGTGGGAAAGATAAAAAGTTGGCACCCTAACATCACAATTGAAAGAACTAATGAAGCAAGAGTAAAGAAATTCAAAGCTACCAGAAGACAAGAAATAACTAAGATGAGAGCAGAACAGAAGGAAAAGAAGATATCAAAGGTTTTTCAAAAAAAACAATGAATCAAGAGTTGCTTTTCTGAAGATTCAAAAAACAGATAGACTTCTAGCCAGACTAATAAAGAAGAAAAGAGAGAAGAATCAAATCCTCGCAATAAACAATGATGAAAGGGATATCACCACTGATACCACAGAAATACATACTACCACCTAGATCCTGCAGAAATACAAACTACCATATTAAACACTTCTACACAAATAAACTAGAGAATCTAGAAGAAATGGATAAATTCATGGACATATAAACCCTCTCAAGACTAAACCAGGAAGAAGTCAAGTCCCTGAATAGACCAATACCAAGTTCTGAAATTGAGATAGTAATTAATAGGCTAGTAACCAAAAACAGCCCAGAACCAGACAGATTCAGAGCAGAATTCTACCAGAGATAAAAAGAGGAGCTGGTAACAGTCTTTCTGAAACTATTCTAGACAATAGAAAAGTCGGTCTCTGCCCTAACTCCTTTTATGGGGACAGCATTATCCTGATACCAACACCTGACAGATGCAAAAAAAAAAAAAAATAAGATAATTTCAGGCCAATATCCACGATGAACACTGACACAAAAACCTTCAATAAAATACTGGCAAACTGAATCCAGCAGCACATCAAAAAGCTTATCCACCATGACTGAGTCAGCTTCATCCCCGGGATACAAGGTTGGTTCAACACACACAAATCAATAAATGTAATCCATCGTATAAACAGAACCAATGACAGAAACCACACAATTATCTCAATACATGTAGAAAAGGCCTTCGATAAAATTCAACACCACTTCATGCTAAAAACTCTTAGTAAACTAGGTATTAATGGAACATATCTCAAAATAATAAGAAGCTATTTATGATAAACCCACAACCAATATCATATTAACTGGGCAAAAGGTGGAAACATTCCCTTTGAAAACTGGCATAAGGATGCCCTCTCTCAACACTCCTATTTAATACAGTTTTGGAAGTTCTGATTGCCAGAGCAATCAGGCAAGAGAAAGAAATAAAGCATATTCAAATAGGAAAAGAGGAGGTCAGAGGTTAAATTATCTCTGTTTGCAGATGACAGGATTGTATACTTAGAAAATCCCATCGTCTCAGCGCAAAAACTCCTTAAGCTGATGAACAACTTCAGCAAAGTCTCAGAATACAAAATCAATATGCAAAAATTACAAGCATTTCTATACACCAATAATAGACAAGCAGAGAGCCAAATCATGAGTGAACTCACATACACACTTGCTACAAAGGAAACAAAATATTTAGGAATACAATGTACAAGGGATGTGAGGGACCTCTTCAAGGAGAACTACAAACCACTACTCAATGAAATAAGAGGACACAAACAAATGGGCATACATTCCATGCTCATGGATAGGAAGAATCAATGTTGTGAAAATGGCCATACTGCCCAAAGTAATTTATAGGTTCAGTGCTATTCCTATCAAGCTACCACAGAATTAAAACAAATTAAAGCTAATTAAATTAAATTAAAGCTAATTAAAACAAAGCTAATTAAAACAAATTAAAGCTACCACAGAATTAAAACAAATTAAAGCTAATTCTCCACAGAATTAAAACAAAAATTAATTTCATATGGAACCAAAAAAGAGCCCATATGGCAAAGACAATCCTAAGAAAAAAGAACGAAGCTCGGGGCATCCCACTACATGACTTCAAACTATACTACTACACTACAAGGCTACAGTAGCCAAAACAGCATGATACTGATACTAAAACAGATATATAGACCAATGGAACAGAAAACAGAGGCCTCAGAAATAACACCACACATCTACAACCACCTGATCTTTGACAAACCTGACAAAAACAAGAAATGGGGAAAGGATTCCTTTCTTAATAAATAGTGCTGGGGAAACTGGCTAGCCATATGTAGAAAGCTGAGACTGGATCCCTTTCTTACACCATATACCAAAATTAACTCAAGATGGATTAAAGACTGAAAAAAAACCCTAAAACCATAAAAACCCTAGAAGACAACCTAGGCAATATCATTTAGGGCATAGGCATGGACAAAGACTTCATTACTAAAACATCAAAAGCAATGGCAACACAAGCCAAAATTGACAAATGGAATCTAATCAAACTAAAGAGCCTCTGCACAGCAAAAGAGACTATCATCAGTATGAACAGGCAACCTACAGAATGGAAGAAAAATTTTGTAATCTATCCATCTGACAATGGTCTAATATCCAGAATCCTCAAGGAACTTAAACAAATTTGCAAGAAAAAAACAACCCCATCTAAAAGTGGGTGGAAGATATAACACACAATTCTCTAAAGAAGAGATTTATGAGCCAATAAACATAGGCAAAAAGGCTCATCATAACTGGTCATGAGAGAAATGCAAATGAAAACCAAAATGAGATACTATCTCATGCCAGTTAAAAGGATGATCATTAAAAAGTCAGAAAACAGCAAATGCTGGCTAGGATGTAGAGAAATAGCAATGCTTTTACAATGTAAATTAGGAATGTAAATTAACTCCACCATTGTGGAAGACAGTGTGGCAATTCCTTTAGGATCTAGAAACAGAAATACTGTTTGACTCAGCAGTCCTGTTAGGGGGTATATACCCAAAGGTTTATAAATCATTCTACTGTAGAGACACATGCACATATATGTTTATTGCAGGACTATTTACAGTAGCAAAGATTCATCAGTGATAGACTGGATAAAAAAATGTGGCACATATACACTATGAAGTACTATGCAGGAATAAAAAAGAACGAGTTCATGTCCTTTGCAGGGACGTGAATGAAGCTTGAAGCCACCATCCTCGGCAAACTAACGCAGGAACAGCAAACCAAACACCGCGTATTCTCGCTCATAAGTGGGAGTTGAACAATGAGAACACATGGACACAGGGAGGGGAACATCACACACTGAGCCTTTTGGGGGGTGGCAGACAAGGGGAGGGAAAGCATTAGGACAAATACCTAATGCATGCAGGGCTTGAAGCCTAGATGATTGGTTGATAGGTGCAGCAAACCACCATGGCACACGTATACATATGTAACAAACCCACACATTCTGCACATGTATCCCAAAGCTTAAAGTTAAAAAAAAGTAAAAGAAAGATTTAATTTTAAAAGTAAATAAATAAAATAAAATACATTATATCTATTTTTTTAAAGGCTTTCCTGAGCACGCAACACACAGTGAGGCTGTGCTCTCCAGGAATGCACAGCAGATGACCCAGTGAGTTCCCAGTTGGTGCAGGTCTTGGTTAGAGTGAGGTGGGGTGAAAGGGAAGCACTTTCCTGATGTTTCCCTGTGTTCCAATGTACTTCACATTCTAGGCCTCTGAACAGGGGCTCTCAGTTGAGTGAGTGGTTCTCATCTCCTGCTGGCCTGGCATTTCATTGTTCTGGAATTTCTGCCCAAGTGGAGACTGAGCTGTGTGCTGTGCCAGCTTCCTTCTGATGCATCTGTGAGCTGCTGTTGTGAGGTTGGTGGCACGAGGGAGAGCTGAACCGAAAGACATAACCCCTCCTACCGAGGCTGACCTCACACTCTAGGGGAGTAGCACAGTGTCCTTTAAAAGACCTTAGTGGAAACTTTCTTTACCTGGTGAAAATACGTGGTAGTAAAATAATTTACTGTTTTAACATGAGCCCTCCTGCTTGGAAAAGCTTTTATACAATCAGAAATTACACACTGAAAATAATAGTCGAATGAAATCCCTTTATAAAATGTTTAAATGGCTCATCAGGTGACCAAATGTACCTGAAGAATTTGTAAGTTGTCACACCAATGTATTCAATTTGAATGTTTTTTATCTTTTCCATGCTGAGCCACAGAATGCAGAACTTCTAATAATAAAAGATTTAAGGACTCAGGGGGGACAAGGTGGCCATCCTGGTTCTCCATGAGTCAATGCTTAATAAACATTAGACTAATATCTTCTTGAATGCCAGTTGTTTTTCCAAATTAGGTGCATAGCACTGATAATTGATGGTTTATCATGGGTAATGTGACTGAGACCATGAGGTTTACTTACATTGTATATTTAAAGAATTTCAATATCAGCTGGTTTCACATGAAAATCTGACAAAGTATTTTCTTGATATTTAATAATTTTTTGTTCTACTTAGATTAGTAGCTTTATAGAGGGAAATTTGGTTATTTACGTGGTTTACAATATCTTAACATAATAACTCTACTTAGAAATTAGAATTCTAGAGTATCAAGGATCACGCTCCTCATGGCAGATGAGAGGCAGGAGTAGATTGCAGCTCTGGAGAGAGCATCTAAAACATGAATTTTAGCTCCAGATTGACCGCAAGAAAAAAACGGCAATCTTGAGAGGACCACAGATTCTCTGAAGGAAGTGGACTGTTCCTGCATGACCTAGGAGACACACCAAATATTGTAAGTGCCCAACTGTGAAAGCGGAAAAGGGAGACCCTCCTCTCCCAAACACACACCACCACTAGAGAAACTGATGATGTGTTTGCAAGAGAATTTTCTGACTTTACCTGGAGCTGAGTCAGTTTAGAGAGCCAAGTCAAATGCAGGGGTCAAGGAAGCAGCAGAAAGGCCCTAGGAACTAGCTGGATTCCCTAGCAGGCAATTCCTGCCTGGCACCACAGGGATCCATCCAGAGGGTGGCCAAAGGAGCAGGAGGTAAAACTTAACAGGGAGAAAAAAATCTCTAGCTGACCTTTGTAAGTAATAATTTGAAAGGGGCAAGAAGCCTCCTGGCCAGAACTCACAGAAGGGGCAAATCTGGTGTGGAAATTCCACAGGTGGAGAAAGAACCAAGCCCCCTTTTTTCGCACCTGGGAGATGGGTATCCTCGGGCAAGTTTTCAAGCCTGTCTCACCCTCTACCTGGAAACAAACTCAGGGATGTTGGAGTGGCATAGTGAAAGTGAGATTGGCCCTTCAGTTTGCATGGGAGGTGGGTGAGGCCTGTGACTGCTAGATTTCCCCTACTCCCCTGGAAACCTGCATGACTCAACACAGGCACTGAGTCATGCAGGCACTGGTATCCACAGCTGACAGACACATAGTTCATACCACAGAACTCTGGGTAGACTCTGTGTAGACAACCCCCAGTACTGACCTGGAAATGGGTAGACTTATTGGGTGGCTAGACCCAGAAATGAGGCAACAATCGCTGCAGTTTGGCTCACAAGAAGCCGCATCCATAGGAAAAGTGGGAGAGTGTTACATCGAGGGAACACTCTGTGGGAAAAAATAATCTGAACAACAGTCTTAAGCCCTAGATCTTCTCTCTGACAGACCCTACCCAAATAAGAAGGAACATAAAAACCAACCCTGGTAATATGACAAAACAAGGCTCTTCAACACTCCCAGAAAAATCACACTAATTCACCAGCAATGGAACCAAACAAAGAAGAAATCCTTGATTTACCTGAAAAATAATTTAGGAGGTTAGTTACTAAGCTAGTCAGAGAGACAAAAGAGAAACGCAAAGCTGAATGCAAGAAAATTAAAAAAAAAAAAAAAAAAAACCCGATACAAGAAGTGAAGGAAGAAACAGTTGAGGACATAGATAGCTTAAAGAAAAGAAAAACAATCAAAAATTCAGGGAACTTTAGGCACAATTCTAGAAATGCAAAATACTCTGGAAAATCTCAGCAACAGAATTGAACAAGCAGAAGGAAGAAATTCAAAGCTTAAAGAAAAATTAAAAATTAAAGAAAAAGGTCTTTGAATTCACCCAATGTAACAAAGATAAAGAAAAAAGAATAAGAAAATATGAACAAAGCCTCCAAGTAATCTAAGATCATGTTAAATGATCAAACCTAAGAATAATCAGCGTTCCTAAGAAGAGAATTCTAAAAGCTTAGAAAATATATTTGGGGGAATAATCAAGGAAAACTTTTCTCATCTGGCTGGAGACCTAGACATCCAAATACGAGAAGCAAAAAGAACACATGGGAAATTCGTTGCAAAAAGATAATTGCCTAGGCACATTGTCATCAGGTTATCCAAAGTTAAGATGAGGGAAAGAATCTTAAGAGATTTGAGACAGAAGCTCCAGGTAAACTGTAAAGGAAACCCTATAAGATTAACAGCAGATTTCTCAGAAGAAACCCTACAAGCTAGATGGGATTGGGGCCCTATCTTCAGCCTCCTCAAACAAAGCAATTATCAGCCAATAATTTTGTATCCACTGAAACTAAGCATTATGTATGAAGAAAAGATACAGTCTTTCAGACAAACAAATGCTGAGATAATTCACCATTACCAAGCCACCACTACAAGAACTGCCGTAAGGATCTCTAAAACTTGAAACAAATCCTGGTAACACATCAAAACAAAACCACTTCAGAGCATAAATCAAACAGAACCTATAAAATAAAAGTACAACTTAGAAAACAAAAACAAAAACAAAACAAAACAAAACAGAAAAAAACCCTGAAAAACAAACACACACACACAAAAAAACAAAGTACACAGGTAACAAATAGCACAATGAATGCAATGATACCTCACATCTTAATACTAATGTTGAATGTAAATTGCCTAAATGCTACACTTTAAAAAGATACAGAACCACAGAATTGATAAGAATTCATCCAACCATCTTCTGCCTTCATGAGACTCACCTAACACATAAAGACTCACAAAAACTTAAATAAAGAAGTGGAAAAAAGCGTTTCATGAAAATGGGTACCAAAATTGAGCAGAGGTAGCTATTCTTAGACAAAACAAACTTTAAAGCAGAGCCATTAAAAGAGACAAAGAGGGACATTATATAATGATAAATGGGCTCGTCCAACAAGAAAATATCACAATCCTAAACATACATGTACCTAACACAGGAGCTCTCAAATTTATAAAAACAATTACTAATAGACCAAAGAAATAAGATAGACAGTAACACAATAACAGTGGGGGCATTTCAATACTCCATTGACAGCACTAGACAGGTCATCAAGACAGAAAGTCAACAAAGAAACAATGGATTTAAAGTATACTTTGGAAAAAATGAACTTAACAGATATGTACAGAACATTTCATCCAACAGCTGCAGAATACACATTCTATTCAACACAGCATGAAACTTTCTCCAAGATAGACCATAGAATAGGCCATAAAATGAGCTTCAATAAATTTTAGAATATTAAAATAATATCAAGCACTCTCTTAGACCACACTGGAATAAAACTGGAAATCAAACCCAAAAGGAAACTTCAAAACCATGCAAATATATGAAAATTAGATAACCTGCTCCTGAATGATCACTGGGTCAAAAATAAAATCAAGATAGAAATTTTAAAATTCTTTGAATTGAATGACAATAATTACACAACATATCAAAACTCTGGCATGCAGCAAAGGCAGTTTTAAGAGGAAAGTTCATAGCTCTAAACCCCTACATCAAAAAGACTGAAAGAGCACAAACTGACATTTTACAGTCACACCTCAAGTAACTAGAAAAACAAGAATAAACAAAACCCTAATCCAGCAGAAGAAAGGAAATGACCAAAATCAGAGCAGAGCTAAATATAATTGACAGAAGCAAAACAATACAAAAGATAAAACAAAAAGCTGGTTCTCTGAAAAGACAAATACAATTGATAGGCTATTAGCAAGATTAACCAAGAAAAGAAGAGAGAAATCCAAATAACCTCATTAAGAAACAAAACAGGAGATATTACAACTAACACCACTGAAATACAAAAGATCATTCAAGGCTTTTATGAACACTTTATGTACATAATCAAGAAAACCTAGAAGAGAAAAATAAATTCCTGGAAAGATACAACCTTCCTAGTTTAAAGCAGGAAAAATTAGATACCCTGAACCGACAAATAAAAAGCAGCAAGATTGAAATGGCAATAAAAAGTTACCAACAACAAACAAGTACAGGACAAGACAGATTCACAGCAGAATTCTACCATACATTCAAAGAAGAATTAGTACCAATCGTTTTGATGGGTAGAGAAAGAAGGAACATTCCCTAATTCATTCTATGAAGCCACCATCCCTCTAGTACCAAAACCAGGAAAGCATGTAACCAAACAAGAAAACTACAGACCAATATCCTTGATGAACATAGATGCTAAAATCCTTAACACAATACTAGTTAACCAAAACCAACAATATATCAAAATGATAATCCACCATGATCAAGTGGGTTTTATGCCAGTGATGCAGGGATGGTATAACATACACAAATTAATAGATGTGACACACCACATAAACACAGTTAAAAACAAAAACAAAAGATTATCTCAATAGGCACAGAAAAAGCATTCAACAAAATTCAGCATCCCTTTATCATTAAAACTCTCAGTAAAATTGGCATACGAGGGACATATATTAATGTAATAAAAGCCATCTATGACAAACCCACAGCCAACATAATACTGAATGGGAAAAAGTTGAAAGCAATCCCTCTTAGAACTGGAACAAGACAAGGATGCCCACTCTCACCATCCTCTTCAACATAGTACTGAAAGTCCTAGCCAGAGCAATCAGACAAGAGAAAGAAATAAAAAGCATCCAAATCAGTAAACAGAAAGTCAAATTGTCACTGTTTGCTGACGATATAATTGGGTACCTTGAAAACCATAAAGATTCTTCCAGAAAGCTCCTAGAACTGATAAAAGAATTCAGATGAGTTTCTGGATACAAGATTAATGCAACAAATTAGTAGCTGATCTAAACACCAACAGTGACCAAGCAGATAATCAAATCAATAAGTCAACCCCTTTTACAATAGCTGTAAAAGATATACAAAATACTAAGGAATATACCTAACCAAGGACGTGAAAGTCCTCTACAAAGAAAATTAGAAAACACTCCAGAAAGAAATCATAGATTACACAAACATTTGGAAACACATCCCTTGCTCAGAGATCGGTAGAATCATTATTGTGAAAATGACCATACTCCCAAAAGCAATCTATAAATTTAATGCAATCCTCCTCAAAAGCCACCATCATTCTTCACAGAATTAGAAAAACAATTCTAAAATTCATATGGAACCAAAAAAGAGCCCACATAGCCAAAGCAAGAGTAAGCAAAAAGAACAAATCTGGAGGCATCACACTACCTGATTTCAAACTACGTTATAAGGCCATAGTAACCAAAATATCTTGGTACTGTTATAAAAATAGGCACCTAGACCAATGGAACAAAATAGAGAACCCAGAAATAAACCCAAATACTTAGAGCCAACTGATCTTCGACAAAGCAAACAAAAACAAAAAGTGAGGAAAGGACAACCTTTTCGACAAATATTGCTGAGATAATTGGCTAGCCACATGTGGGAGAAAAAAATTGGATCCTCATCTCTCACCTTACACAAAAATCAACTCAAGATAGAAGGACTTAAATTATGGTAATTATGTGCTAGGTGCTGAAAAGGGCTAATTATTTCCAGCACAGCTAGGGGTGTGGCCAGCTCCACATGTCCCCAGACCTTACATAGCTGGAAAGCAGGTAAGTTAAACAATTCTCAAGAGCCAAATAAGCAGTTTATGATCTTAAAGCATTCAGCCAACCTAATATTGAATATAATTTAGACCACATACTTACATTTTGAACAGAATTGTATCTTACCAATAATCTCTTTCTTTCTTTCTTTCTTTTTTTTTTTTTTGAGATGGAGTCTCACTCTGTCACTCAGGCTGGAGTGCAGTGGTGCAATCTTGGCTCACTGCATGCTCCGCCTTCCAGGTTCACACCATTCTCCTGCCTCAGCCTCCTGAGTAGCTGGGACTACAGGTGCCCACCACCACGCCTGGCTAATTTTTTTTTGTATTTTTAGTAGACACAGGGTTTCACTGTGTTAGCCAGGATAGTCTTGATCTCCTGACCTCATGTTCCGCCCACCTCAGCCTCCCAAAGTGCTGGGATTACAGGCATGAGACACTGCACCCGGCCATATTTTACCAATAATTGTTAGAATCATCTTTATTTTCCAAAGATTGCTGTAGTAACATGAACTAAATAAAAGGCATCACACTTTTTACTTTTCTGACAAAATATTTGATTTAAGCTTATATTATTATTAAACCAATTAATTAAAGCTCTTTTGAATTAACTAAAGTTTTCAGAGGACATAAACAGTGACTTTTACCTTTCATTTAACCAGTTTGCACATACAAAGAGACCAGAGACTGACTGGAAAGAAACACTCACACTTTTGCTGGCATTCCAGGTTTCTGGGTTCTCTCTCCCCGAGCTGCCCTGGCAACTCTGCTTGACTGTATGCAAACAAGCATATTTCCATAAATTATGAATATTCACCAATAGTTTACAAATTTTGGAGAAATTAGGCAGAGACAGAGAAATATTACTCATATTTTATTTATGAGCTTATACTCAAAACTTAAAGTATCTGCAAGCCTCAAATCAAGAAATTTCATTTAAAGATACAAAGATGGTGTGCTCTCCTCAGCAAATGTAAAAGAACAGAAATCACAACAAACTGTCTCTCAGACCACAGTGCAATCAAATTAGAACTCAGCATTAAGAAACTCCATTAAAACCACAAACTACATGGAAACTGAACAACCTGCTCCTGAATTATGCTGGGTAAATAACAAAATGAAGGCAGAAATAAAGATGTTCTTTAAAACCAATGAGAACAAAGATGCAACATACCAGAATCTCTGGGACATAGTTAAAGCAGTGTGTACAGGAAAATTTATAGCATTAAATGCCCAAAAGAGAAAGATAGAAAGATCTAAAATTGACATCCTAACATCACAATTAAAAGAATTAGAGAAGCAAGAGCAAACACATTCAAAAACTAGCAGAAGGTAAGAAATAACTAAGATCAGAAAAGAACTGAAAGAGAAAGATATACAAAAAACCCTTCAAAAAATCAATGAATCCATGAGCTGCCTTTTTCAAAAGATCAACAAAATTGATAGACAGCTAGCAAGATTAATAAAGAAGAAAAAAGAGAAGAATCAAACAGATGCAATAAAAAATGATAAAGGGGATATCATCACTGATTCCAAAGAAATACAAGCTACCATCAGACAATACTATAAACACCTCTACACAAATAAACTAGAAAATCTAGAAGAAATGGATAAATACCTGGACACATACACCTGCCTAACACTAAACCAGGAAGAAGTTCAGGTCTCTGAATAGACCAATAACAGGTTCTGAAATTGAGGAAATAATTAATAGCCTACCTACTAAAAAAAGTCCAGGACCAGATAGATTCACAGCCAAATTCTACCACAGGTAAAAAGCAGAGCTGGTACTATTCCTTCTGAAACTATTCCAATCAACAGGAAAAGAGGGAATCCTCCCTAACTCATTTTATAAGGCCAGCATCATCCTGATATCAAAGCCTGGTTGAGACACAACAAAAAATATAAGTTTAGACCCATATCCCTGATGAAGATCAATGCGAAAATCCTCAATAAAATACTGGCAAACTGAATCCAGAAGCACATCAAAAAGCTTATCTACCACTATCAAGTCAGCATCATCCCTGGGATGCAAGGCTGGTTCAACATACGCAAATCAATAAATGTAATCCATCGCATAAAGAGAACCAATGACAAAAACAACATTATTATCCAATAGATGCAGAAAAGGCCTTCAACAAAATTCAACAGCCCTTCATGCTAAAAACTCTCAATAAACTAGGTATTGATGGAACATATCTCAATACAGTAAAAGCTATTTATGACAAACCCACAGCAAATATCACACTAAATGGACAAAAACTGGAAGCATTCCCTTTGAAAACAGGCATAAGACAAGGTTGCCCTCTCTTAACACTGTTATTCAACATAGTGTTGGAAGTTCTGTCAAGGGCAACCAGGCGAGAGAAAGAAATAAAGTGTATTCAATTAGGAAAAGAAGAAGTCAAATTGTCTCTGTTTGCAGATGACATGATTGTATATTTAGAAAATCCCATAATCTCAGCCCAAAATCTCCTTAAGCTGATAAGCAACTTCAGCAAAGCCTCAGGATAAAATTTCTTTAAAGTTCATATGGAACCAAAAAAGAGCCCCCATTGTCAAGACAATTCTAAATTAAAAGAACAAAGCTGGAGGCATCATGCTACCTGAATTCAAACTATACTACAAGGATACAGTAATCAAAAAAGCATGTACTTTTACCAAAACTGATATATAGACCAATGGAACAGAACAGAGGGCTCAGAAAAAACACCACACATCTATAACCATCAGATCTTTGACAAACCTGACAAAAACAAGCAATGGGGAAAGGATTCCCTATTTAATAAATGGTGCTGGGAAAACTGGCTAGCCATATGTAGAAAGCTGAAACTGGATCCCTTCCTTACACCTTATACAAAAATGAATTCAAGATGGATTAAAGACTTAAACTATAAAAGACCTAAAACTATAAAAACCCTATAAGAAAACCTAGGCATTACCATTCAGGACATAGGAACAGGCAAGGACTTCATGTCTAAAACACCAAAAGCAATGGCAACAAAAGCCAAAATAGACAAATGGGATCTAATTAAACTAAAGAGCTTCTGCACAGCAAAAGAAACTTACCATCAGAGTGAACAGGCAACCTATAGAATGGGAGAAAATTTTTGCAATCTACCCATTCGACAAAGGGCTAATGTCCAGAATCTACAAAGAACTCATACAAATTGACAAGAAAAAAACAAACAACCCCATCAAAAAGTGGGCAAAGGATAGAACAAACATATCTCAAAAGAAGACATATATGCAGCCAAAAGACACGTGAAAAAAATGCTCATCATCACTGGACATCAGAGAAATGCAAATCAAAACCCCCCATCTCACACCAGTTAGAATGGCAATCATTACAAAGTCAGGAAAAAACAGATGCTGGAGATAAAGTGCAGAAATTGGAACGCTTTTCCACTCTTGGTGGGAGTGTCAATTAATTCAACCATTGTGAAAGACAATGTGATGATTCCTCAAGGATCTAGAACTAGAAATATCATTTGACCCAGCCATCCCATTACTGGGTATATACCCAAAGGATTATAAATCATGCTACTATAAAGACACATGCACATGTATGTTTATTGCAACACTGTTCACAATAGCAAAGACTTAAAACCAACCCAAAAGTCCAACAATGATAGACTGGATTAAGAAAATGTGGCCCATATACACCATGGAATACTATGCAGCCATGAAAAAGGATGAGTTCATGTCTTCGCAGGGACATGGATGCAGCTGGAAACCATCATTCTCTGCAAACTATCCCAAGGACAGAAAACCAAATACAGCATGTTCTCACTCATAGGTAGAAATTGATCAATGAGAATACTTGGACACAGGGCAGGGAACATCAGACACTGGGGCCTGTTGAGGGCTGGGGGGTTGGGGAGGGATAGCATTAGGAGAAATACCTAATGTAAATGATGAGTTGATGGATGCAGCAAACCAACATGGCACACGTATACCTATATAATAAACCTGCATGTTGTGCACATGTACCCTAGAACTTTAAGTATAATAATAACAAATTTTTTTTTAAAAAAAGAAAGGTGTTGTGCTCCATTAATTCCTGTGGGCTTGACAAAGGTAGCTTAGGAATTCAAGATAAATGGAATGAATGCATAGTAATTCCTTGCTAGAAATGCATAGGAAACAAAGTAACTATTCACAGAACCAAATAAAAGCCTTCCACTAAGAACTAAAAATGTCATGGTTTTATATATATATATATATATATGCACACCCAAGCAAAGCCAGAGGAGAATAAACAGTAAAGAATAAAAACTAGAAGCAAAACTGAGCAGGAAACAAATGCTAAAGATTCCTACTCAATTTATCCTGAAGACTACAGTGTTACATAGGACCTCCAAAACCCACTTATTGAATATTTTATTACTGATTCACAATTTAATACTCTTACATTTACCAGTATCATTATACATCCTATGCAATTGAGAAATTCACTTTAGGCACATGACCAATAAGTACTCTAGCACTATCCTTGCAAAACAGTAAACACAGTGTGAAGCAATGAAAGCATGTATATAAAATTTGGCTCCCCACTAAATCCGGCTTCATGCTAAACTATATTAAAGAAGAATTGCCAAATTGTCAATGCATTTCTTTACAATACATCTTATTTTATTTTAATCAAGACCAAGAGCTTTAACTATGAAAATGTTAATTGCCAAATGTCTCTAATTCTCTACAAATTTTAAAGAATATTTTAATATTTAAACTTTCTCCACATCTTTCTCCCTTACCTAATGATTCCTTACTGCATTGTTTCATAAATAACCTCTTCACATCTGTAATTTAAGCTAACTTTTAGATTACTTCAGAATTAACCAAAATTATTTTCTTTTCACTAATAACCTAACCCTTTCTGGCACATTGTATATAGAGGATTACATGTTAACTAGAATTTTTATCCTTAGTAACATAAAACTTTAGTGAAACCCTAAAAAGCAAGAAATCTTGAACTATCAGATATGGGCATTAATAGATAAGAACAATTCCACAATTTTAGAAATATATTATCTCCCTATTACAACCTTTTTTTAATGGAAATGCCTCAGATATTAAATGAGCATAAAAATAACTTTGAGATTTTGATTTACAGAAAAAGTTTACCTAAAACAATTATCTGATTCACTTGTACTTAATTTTTTCCTTCAACAAGGGAGACATGAGACATTAATCAACATATGTGAAATGAAATTTGTTTGGTCCAGAAAAGTGGACAACTCGAAGCAGGAAAGGGGCTTGGGGCTTTCATGGCACAGGTAACAAAGACAAACATAAAATGCAGAGAAAATGTATGCTGACAATTCTGAAGGTGTTTATATTTTTATTCCATGAATAATTTTAAAGCTACCTTGTTTAGTAAAGTTATATTTCATGTGAACTTGAAAACTGCTTGGACTTATTTACTAATTTATGAGAGCTCTTTTACTTATAAAACAATTTGGTAGACACAACACTTAAGAATAAGTGTACATACAAATAAACACATCTAGAAATGTATACACATACATAAAGAGATCCAATAGCTTGGAACCTTAGCCAAGCGATAGCAGTACAAGCTTACCAGTTTTACTGTGCCCCAATAGATAATCCAATGAAAGCTGTGAACCAAAATTTCGGGTAAAACACTCCATAACAATTTGAAACTATTGACCTCAGACAATTGCCTTCAATTTCCAAGGAGCCACAAGGAAACAGCCACTGAAAGACTGAAAAAAGAAAGAGGGGAAAAAAAAATGAAGAAGACACTGGTCCCTTTAGTGAACCAGGTAGTTGCAGTTAGGCACTTCCACATGGAAACCCCTTCATTTTCACTGACCACAGCCAGGAACCTACAGTTGCTTTAATGTTTAGGCACTGCCCAACAAGAGTCCCGAGTTGGAAAGTAAATGAAAAAGAGAGAGATTCCCCTGTATGGAGCAGAAAGGAAAGAGAAAAATGAATCCCAAACTTTGGGTCTAGCTTTTCCTGAATTTTCTCCAGGCTGGCTCACCTAAATATGTTATTGGTGGAGGTTGTCCAGGTTCTTGGCATCTTGAACAAAGAACTGGATAAAATGCACAAACGAAGCAAGGAAGGAATGAAGGGATTTATTGAAAATGAAGGTGCACTCTACAGTGTGTGAGCAGGCCTAAGCACAGGAGCTCAAAGGCCCTGTTACAGAATTTTTGGGAGTTGAAGAGTTTAAATAGTCCCTAGAGTATTCTATTGGTTACTTGGTGTATGCTCTATGTAAATGGAAAGGATGAGGTATAGATACAAAGTCATTTACTCGGCATACGGCCTATGGAGAGGAAATTTCCTGTCATAGCTGAAGTGTGAATTGGCCTTATGTTTCCTGTCTCCAGATCCTATTTTTCTGCCTCAAAAGGAGAACATATATTTGAGGCTAGGCAGATCTTAGGTGTCAGGGTGCTGTGACTCCATTTTCCTCTGCTCATTGCCTTCCTCCTCTCCGTTGTTGAGAAGCTTTCATAGCTTCCTTTCCTCGGCACTCCAGATTCCAGCAGTCTGAGGGCCAACAAAAGACAGTCCCATTTGTCACAGTGGTTTCTAGGCATTAAAAAGACAGGTCAGGGGTGGTGGCTTACATTTGTAATCCCCATACTTTGAGAGGCCAAGGTGGGAGGATAGCTTTCAGGAGGAAGGGGGTATGGAAGCGTCTTGTCCAATCAGTCACCATTGCCCACTCCATGGCCAGAATCAGGGCCAAGAGTGGCTGAGGAGGTGATGTGGCTAGTTCCTTTTTTTTTTTTTTTGAGACAGAGTCTTGCTCTGTTGCCCAGGCTGGAGTGCAGTGGTGTGGTCTTGGCTCACTGCAAGCTCCATGCAGCTAGTTCCTTACATAGGTTGTATTGTTTTCCTTATTTCGAATATTGTCTTATAATCAGAAATCATTTGGGGTGATGTTTCATTTAGTTATTCTTCAGCTGAAATATGAGCTTTTCAATTCTTCAATTCTTCCTTGTTTCCGAGGTCTTCAAGTTTAGATCACTTTGCAGGGACACGGATGAAGCTGGAAACCATCATTCTCAGCAAACTAACACAAGAACAGAAAACCAAACACTGCATGTTATCACTCATAAACAGGAGTTGAACAATGAGAGCACATGGATACAGGGAGGGGAACACAATGGGGCGTGTCAGGGAGTTGGGGGCTAGGGGAGGGATAGCACTAGCAGAAATACCTAAAGCAAATGACGGGTTGATGGGTGCTGCAAACCACCGTGGCATATATATACCTCTGTAACAAACCTGCACATTCTGCACATGTACCCCGGAACTTAAAGTATTAAAAAAAAAGTTTGCGTATGTACCAGACACTACCACAAGGCACATTGAGTTTCAGGTGATTTGTATATTTGACATGCTTCACAAGTAAAGAACTTCCTCCTATATTTTTAAACACGTGTGGAAAGTTTTTTGTGGTAGATGGAAATCACAGAATCAAAAACAAAACAAAACAAAAGAACATGAATCAGAACGAAATAATGTTGTTAACTATTTTATTAAATCCCCTGGACAGATGGACTTGGAATCCAGGCCTAAATGGTGTGGGCATCTCATTTGGGCTCGGCTTCTGAAGTGTTACCCTCCCATATAATGGATGGTCATTTGCAGAGATTTTGCACACTTGCCATAGCACCTGGGCAGGCCTTCTCCAGTAGAGCACTCAGTATTTGGGGCTGCGTGATTCTCTGTAGTGGGGCCATCCTGGGCACTGCAGGGTGTTGAGCCTCATCCCCGGGCTCCACTCACCAGATGCCAGGACCACACATCCTCTCTTAGTTGCGACAACCAATAGTGTCTCCAGACATTGCATAATATCCCCCAAGGAGGCACAGTCACACCCCTGTTGAGAATCACTGCATCAGGGATAACACATTTTGTCAAGAATAAATGGCCTTTTTGTCCTGAATGCCGCAGCTGGGTTTGATACTCAGAACAGCGGTCACACCTAGTTCTTAACAACAGTTCGCCATGTTCTTCGCCGTTTGCCCACCATGGAATCATTCACCCCAGGCTCCCCGGCTCCGGGTCCCTGTTGCTTCCGCCGCGGCCCCCTGGCTGCTGAGAGCCAGCTGTTTATGCTCCACTTCCCGGAGCCCTTCCTGCCCAGAAAGTAGAGACTGTTCCCAGAACGCTCACCCGCGAGAGTTGATGGCTGTCCCTTGGGTTGCTTCCCCTGGATGGTGGTGTTCGACAGCCGACCCATAGAGTCCCTGTCCCTGACAGACGCCGTGACTCCTGACGTGGTGCAGACGCAGCAGCAGAAGTTCGGAGAGAAGCTCTCTCAGCAACAAGCCAGTGCAGCAGCCGCAGAGGCAGCAGCCATGGCAAAGGTGGCAACCATGACACCAGATGCCCTTTCCCAGCAAAATCCACCAAAGAATGGAGAGGCAACAGTAAATGGGGAAGAGAAAGGAGCACATGCAATCAGTGAGTGTGCAGGCTCTTGAAGTTCGTTGGGCTTCTCTGTGTTGATTCTTTTCTTCTAAATCTCGGCCAATCCGAATGCCTTCTTAAAGTCTGCTATCAGCGTCTTCGAAACTGCTCTCTAGTGTTTGCTTAAGATCAAGCCGGAAAAGCTTCCCCTTCCATTTTTTCAATCACAACCCTTCAACCTGCCCCTCTTTATTCTCATCTTCAACTTTAGGAAATCGCGTGCACTGCTAATCTGGGAACACTCCTATAACGCATGGTTATTGCCCATCATAAACAAAAGGGTTTAATTCGTGGACACGTTTGGTCTCAGCCTCTCGCCTTCCATGTTGAGTGTTTTTGGCCAAATTGTGGTATAATCGTTGAGCTCACGGTTTCTGCCGACTGCACTGGGCCCCAAACACTGGACATCAGGTTATTTAGTCTTTGCAAAATCCGAGAACATCATTCCCTGTTAGGTGATTGCCAGAGAGTACATGGCAAGTCAGTCAGTGAGTCTGAACTTCTATCCAGAGAACCTGCTCCACTTGTACATACTACTCCTCTATAAACCTGTAGAGATGCCACTTCAGCATGTATGTAAGTTCAGAGCATGCATATGTTCCATGCATGGTGCACTCGTGTGTGTGTGCACGTGCGTGCAGGCACGTTTGTGCACCAGCAAACAGATTTTTTTTTTTTGAGACAGTTTCACTCTTGTTGCCCAGGTTGGAGTGCAATGGCATGATCTCGGCTCACAGCAATCTCCACCTGCCAGGTTCAAGCGATTCTCCTGCCTCAGCCTCCCAAGTAGCTGGGATTACAGGCCTGTGCCACCACACTCAGCTAATTTTGTATTTTTTATTAGAGATGGGGTTTCTCCATGTTGATCAGGCTGGCCTCGAACTCCTGACCTTAGGTGATCCACCTGCCTCAGCCTCCCAAATTGCTAAGATTGCAGGCCTGAGCCACTGTGCCCGGTAAGGCCTGAGATCAAAGTGAGGGCAGAGATGGTTTTTTTCTTAGGTCTCTCTCCTTGGCTTGTAGATGCTGTCTTCTCCCCGTTTCCACACATGGTCGTACCTCTGTAGGTGTCTGTGTCCTAATCCCCTCTTTTCATGAGAACAGCAGTCGCGTTGGGTTAGGGTCGACTGTAGTGACCTCATTTTACACTGCTTAACCTTTGTGAAGTCCCTGTCTCCAAATATAGCCTTATTCTGAGATCCTAGAAATTGGGGCTTCAAGATACAAATTTTATGGGGACACAGTTTAACCCATAACAGTCGCGATAGGTAATGTGAAAACATGTGGAGTGCCACTCACACTATTTATGCAGAAACAGCTGGTGGCTAGATTTCATCCATGAGCTATAATTTGCTGGCCTCAATTACAAAGAGTAAATAATTGTTTTCCTGGGGAGCATTTAGAGACAGGGTATTGCTCTGTCCCCTAGGCTGGGTGCAGTGGTGTAATTATGCCTCACTCTAACCTCTACATACTGGGCTTAATCAATCCTCCCGTGTCAGTGTCTTGAGTAGCTGGGACCATAGGCATGTGCCACTGTGTCTGGCTAATTTTTCAATTTTTTGTAAAAATGGGGTTTGCCAAGTTGCCTGTGCTGGCATTGAACTACTGGCCTCAAGCAATTCACCATCCTTTGCCTCCCAAAGCACTGGGATTACAGGTGTAAGTTACCACACTTGGTCAAAATAACTTTTTGTTTTTTGGTGAAGTTTAGAGACTGTGAAATTATAAAGAAATCTGATATATTTTCTAAATTGCACAAAAGCCACAATTTAGTTAGACTCATTAGAAGTAGTATTACTTAGTACATAAAAACAAGATATTTCTGGAAACAAAAGTGCCCTTTAAATGCCTTCCTCTTGTATTGCCACATGTCTCTTTATGTCTCCTGTGACGGATAATCACTGAAAGCCAATGGAAATAGATGGGTATGTTGAGATTCCTCCCAACAAAGCCACAGTCCTTTGGGCCCATGAGTCTGAGGTGTTCACTTGTGCCTGGAACTGTCAGTGATTTGCTAGCTTCCAAGTAAGGAAGTCAGGATTGGGGCACTCCAGGGTCAGGGAGATGCAAGCTGCTTGCCCTTCTCTGGAGTTCTGCCTTAAGGAACATGCACTCCCCTTCTTATCCCAGTTTGGATGGACCCAGAAATGGGTGACTCTATGAGCCACTTCTCTATGGGTCTCATATTGTGCAGAAGCCATAGTTCAAGTCCTTTTCTCTGTGGGGTGAAGAGTAACACAAGGCAGTTAAAATTACCAAATGCAAAGATGGCAAGGACAGAAACAGGCATCCAACGGTATGAAAAAAGGCAGAAGAGCACATGCGGACAATGTCACCTGGCCAGAGAGCAAGCTGTGGTGAGCTTTTCATCCCATTTCAACCAAACGCCAGAGCCTCCTGTGTTTTTATTCTGCAGATCTGAAGACTCAACTGCAAAGATATGGAACCTGAATGAGAATGGCAACAGGGCCTCCACCCAGCTTATGTTAAGGCACCGTATACCAGAAGGGGCCATGACATCCCAAGTAACAAAGATGTCAGATGTCATTTCACTGGACTGGAACGTAAGCATCTTCCACCCCCTGGGCACTTTGAAATTGGTAAAATCTGCCAGCCAGGCATGGGTTGCAGTGATGGAATGTGTGCAGACATAGGAGACAGGTGGTCCTATGTACTTAGGCCCAACCTGGGGGGCTAGCCACAGAGGTGGTCTTGGCTTCTAAGAGCTCTTAATAAGGCCACGTCAGGCAGACAGTGAGCTGGTTGTTTGGTAGCCATATCTTTGCATCGTGAACATGTCTTAGCAAAATGAGCCTCTGGTCTCATGGTGGGGAAATAGGCTGGGAGCTATGAGGTATTTCTCCTGGGGAGACATGAGGTGCAGCCTAGGAAAGGTGCCTCTTCACCTTAGGATTTCAGCAACAAGTGTCATGTGCATTGACACATGGGATGCACACAGTTCCACTGCTTTTTATTTTCTGCAAAGCGTCATGATAACTTTCATCATGGTGTTTTTAGTTCCGTCACTCATTAGAGAACACAAAGTGGTGAATGGTTCCATTGTGTTTTCATTGCTCCCTTGTCTCCTTGGTCTTCATGCCGCATATTTGATTTAAGAGCAGGGTGTGCTAACATTGCATGGCACCAACTATTGCCTGAAGAACCCTCTGGACTTGGGATCCTGAGAGAGGCTCTCTGAGCTTTTTTGGTGCTCCCACTCCTAAGCTGTTTTTGTGAGTTTGTATCTCTTTCTGGCCCTCAGAGTGATGGAACACTATTGGCTACGGGTTCATATGATGGTTTCGCAAGAATATGGACAGAAAATGGTAAGTCCTGCACCCCTCCTGCATGGGTCAGGTAAGAGGAGCTGCCATACATAACCCTTGATTGAACAGACCATGACAACAGAACCAACATGTTTGTTTTTATTAACAGGTAACCTGACCAGCACCTCAGGCCAACATAAAGGCCCTATCTTTGCCCTGAAATGGAGCAAAAAAAGGGAATTATATTTTGAGTACTGGTGTGGACAAAGTGAGTATTAGCTTAAAATATGCCCCTTTGGCCTGTAGGTGCTTATTTATTTGTTTGTCTTTTACTGTTTTGTGGGGTAGGGAGAAAGGATCACTCTGTTGCTCAGGCTGGAGTGCAGTGGCACCATCTTAAATCACTGCAACTTCCGCCTCAGCAGGGTTCAAGTGATCCTCCTGCCTCAGCCTCCCAAGTAGCTGGGATTACAGGCATCTCCCACCATATTTGGCTACTTTTTTTATTTTTATAAAGACAGGGTTTTGTCATATTGGACAGGCTGGTCTTTAATTAGTAGGCTCAAGTGATTCTCCTCTGTCAGCCTCCCAAAGTGCTGGTATTCCAGGTGTGAGCCGCAGTGCACAGCCACTGATTTATTTATTCCTTTCTTTCTTTCTTTCTTTCTTTCTTTCTTTCTTTCTTTCTTTCTTTCTTTCTTTCTTTCTTTCTTTTTTTTTTGAGACGGAGTCTTGCTCTGTCACCCAGGCTGCACTGCAGTGGCACCGTCCTGGCTCACTGCAACCTCTGCCCCCTGGGTTCAAGCGATTCTCCTGCCTCAGCCTCCTGAGTAGCTGGGATTACAGGCATATGCCACCATGCCCAGCTAATTTTTGTATTTTTAGTAGAGACAAGGTTTCCCCAAGTTGGCCAGGCTGGTCTCAAACTCCTGACCTCAGGTGATCCACCTGCCTCAGCCTCCCAAAGTGGTGGGAATACAGGCATGAGCCACTGTACCCAGCCAATTTTTTTAGATCTAAAAATCATGTCTTTTTGGAACTTTTAGGTTTTGTGCTTCCCCTTAAGAAATGGAAAGGGTTGGTTTAGGCTTTGTTTTTATGAGTTTGATCTTTTTGTTGATTTGTAGCACATAATCTCTTAATATATTCTGCTGTTCTCTAGACCCTTGTGCAGTTTCCTTTTATGGGAGGTACATGGTTCAGTGATTGATAGAGAGAAGAAAATATCCACATTGCATCTGTCAGTTGCTGGAAGGAGCCATGTGATGTGGGGAGTGCACTGCCTAAACTTTCACCCACTGAGGAACTTGAGTAGCACAGGCTGTGAGTGTTTCTCAGGCTTCAGTTGTCCTAATTTGATTAACTGCTACTTCCCATTGTAGACGATAGATTTCTCTGAGCAGGAGTCAGCCTTCCTGGAAGAGTTATGCATTCCCAAGACTCACCAGGAATTCTAAGCCATGGCTTTGGGAAAGAAGCATTATCTAGAATTGAAAAAAAAAAAAAAAAAAAAAAAAAAAACTTACATGTTTTTACATCAACTTTTGTTTCTACAACTGGAAACCATTCCTGAATAACGGATGATGCTCAGGCTTTTATGAGACTTTGCATTTTGTGATAATGTCAGGATAACTTGAAAATCTTAAGTCACAGGTTTCTGTTGAAAGTTACTATAAAATGATAGACTTGACCTTTATACATTATCCTACTCTTAGAGAAGTCATAATTGCATTTGGCAAACTGTGGCACACACAGGACAAGTCTGGCACCTCATCTGTTCTTTTTTTAATAAAGTTTTATTGGCACACAGTCACATTCCTTTGTTGGGACTTGTCCACGGTTGTTTTCATGCTGCAACAGCAGAGATGAGCAGCTGTAAGGGAGAAGACATGGTCTTCGAAACCTGCAATTCCTACTACATGGCCCTTGACAGAAAAAGCTTTCTGACCCCTAGAGTAGGATATAACTAGGTCAAGAAATCATTCATTCATAAGATATCTCACTCTCTTTTATGTCAAGAAACCCTTCATTCAGACTTGGTAGCCTAGTGTATATTTTAAAAGCTGAGTTGTGGTTGATGCACTAAACATTCCCATTTAGCTACTATCAGATTTTTGTCAAGATGTTTTAATTTCAAGTAATGTACATACAAAGCAGTTTGCTGTGCATTCAGTAGGCTCTCAGTAATTGCTGCTTGAGTTATTAAAAATAACTCATGAAATTGACAGCACTTTTCTTTATCAAGCACTTCACTGTTGTGTTAACTCATCCAGTACTACCCAGATAGGAGACAGGCACAAGTATGATGAGTTTGTATATTCTCTGCAGTATTAGATTAGCTTTGGCATGGCTAAATAAAGTAGAGTTATATACTAACATCTAAAGAAATGTTAATAGGCCAAGGGCTGACCCAAAACCCATGATTACCAAGTTTCAAAGACACTTCTCAGTTTCTTCTAAAAATGCCCACAGTCAACAAACAATAGAATTCATTCTTCTTAAAGAAAAATCTTGACAGAGAAGTGTAGTTCCCAATTTTGTTGAAAATTCCAGCTGATGAACACAAAATTCCAATGCTATTCATTGAAGTCCTTCTCTAAATAATCTTCCCTACATCAGTATAAGTTCATAAGAACTAATATGGTCTACATTGCTTTTCTCCTTACTGATAGGCCTATACATTGATGCCTGGTCCCAGTGCATGCCAGTGACTCTGCCCCCATTTTTACTGCCCCCAGTTCATAGAGTCACAGGCAGAGGCATTTTGAGAAATGGCTTTTTTTTTGCAGCCTTGAACTTGGAAAAATTCCAAAAAATCTTTAGAGATGCTTTGTTCTAGGTTTTTTAACAGTTTTCTGCATTTGGGGATGAGGAAGAATTTTGGCAGTTTTTGCAAGTGTTGGTTAGGCATGCTCTGATCTTAAAACTGACACCAGCATCTCTGGCTGATGGGCTCATCAAATGTGGCTATCCAGATTTCTAAGTATAAAACATGCTGTACTTCAAAGACTGAGGATGGGAAGAAAAGAAAGCAGATAGTGCAGTAAGATTTTGATAATGCTTACATGTTGAGATGGTATCCTTTAGGGAATATGGGAGTAAAATAAAAGATTGTTAATGAATCTTACATTTTTTTTTTAATTTTTAATGTGGATCCTAGAGAATTAAAACTAGTCCATGAGGCTTGCTTTCTATCTGCATCGGATAGTGCTGATTTATAAGGAGAGAGGCTCACTGTCTTTTCTCGTAAGATACATGTTACTAGAGAAAACTTTGCAGGAGTAATTACTAACTTTCCCTTTGTTTGCAGAGCACAGACAACAATAATTTGGGATGCTCACACAGGAGAAACCAAACAGCAGTTTCCTTTTCATTCAGGTGAGTTTTTATGTTTGCATTTTATAATTTGAAAATAATTCAAAACTAGGCTGGGTGTGGTGGCTCACACATACAATCCAAGCACTTTGGGAGGCTGAGACATGAGGTTCACTTGAGTCCAAGAGTTCAAGACCTGCCTGGGCAACATAGCAAGACCCTATCTCAACCAAAATTACAAGAAAAGAAAGGAAAAAAAAAAAGAAAAGAAAAGGAAAGAAAAGAAAAGGGAAAAGGAAATGGAAAGGGAGAGGAAGAGGAGGGGAGGGGAGAAGAGGGGAAGGGAGGGGAAGGGAGGGAGCAAGGCATGGTGACACACACCTGTAGTCCCAGCTACCCAGAAGGCTGACGTCAGCAGGAGGATTGCTTGAGCCCAGGTGATTGAGGTTGCAGTGAGCTATGATTGCACTACTGCACTCCAGCCTGGTTGACAGAGGGAGATCTTGTCTCTAATAAATACAAACACATAATAACAATAATTTAGACTTATATGAAATGCCCCTTAAAGTAAATGTGAATACACAGAACACAGAGCCCAGGGAGCCTATTTGGTCAGAAGGAGACCCATTTTGTGGCAAGCATTGCTCATAAGGTTTGCAAGATACAGATGACTTTGGCACTTGTCTACTCACAACTCTCAAACACAGCAGTGAACCAGCCACAGAATCAGTGCAGCCCCCTTTCTTTTGTAATTCCAAGAGGGATGCTGCTTTGGGGGCTCCCCAAAACCACACCCAGGATTGCAACTTTGCTGCAAGGACTCCCAGGACTCAGCATATTCACAGCTAAGGTTCCTAATAGCACAATAATTTAGTGCAACATCAGTAAAGGGAAACAATACACATGGCCAAATCCAGAGCTTCAAAGGCTCCACTCCCAGTGGACTCTCACAGACCATGCTGAATTCTTCCAGAAATAAGTTGTAACTATATCTGTGAAGTGTTTTCTAGCAGGCAAGCTCCATAGAGCCTCAGTGCCTAGGGTTTTTATTGGGAATTGGTTACATAGGCACCCATGGCCCAGCGCAAGCCAAAACTGCAGACCCTTGAAGGAGAGAGGGTGTGTGACATAAACTCACTATTTGCACCAGTGTTGGCAGAGTGAGCTACTTGCCTCTGTTAGTCAAGGGCAGGAACTCTTCAGACACCTAAATTCTCAGTCACTAGCCAAGGACTGGCCTTGCAAGCAGGCCTTTGTACAAGAGCAACCTTAGGCCTATGGTGTTAGTTCCTTCTTGCACAGATGTGAGGCTGCTGCTCTGGACATAACCACATCCATTTGCATGTGGGGGCCAGTCCAGGCCACATGCAGCACCTGGAGTCTAGAATCTGCAGAGATTCTGATTTACCAGTTTCCTACGTGAGTCTGCATTTTCTTTCCCAAGTTTCTTATCTGTGTATCTCAGTTCTGTTGTTAGATGTGGCCTCTTACATTAAAACAAAGACTGGTGGCCACCCCTAGAGCTAACAGACTATTGGAAGACTTTAGACTTGTTTAAAGTGAACAAAAGGGAGTAGGTGCCACTTCCCTTATTGACAAATGCCTGATACATCTTGAGGGAATCAATCCCTCAATGTCTGGGAGAAAAGTTGATTATTATATCACTTGTCCTTGGAGCACTGTCCAGGAGGAGATCTAAGTGTCTTTCCTGTCGGACAGTTTGGAGTGCTTAAATGGTATTCTGAATGGGAGTGCTAACCTCAAAAACTGTCCAAGATGGTACAGCACAACTCAGTTCCTGGGGAGGGCTCCAAGCAGGGCACATGGGTCCTGCAGGAGACAAGACCATGAGCCAGAAGTCCTGTTAAGGCATAATGCATGGGCGTCCACGTCTGTCATTCCACATGGTACCACAGCAGGGACTCTTCCTCATATAGGCAGTGCAGAGAGTGAGGGAGACCCAGGGAAGACACTGTTTCTGCCCTGCTGCCCTGGAGAGGAAGAGAATCTCCTCTGTGGCCACTCCTGCACAGCTTGGGACCTTCATCAAACACACCTCTTAGGGCTGCCAGTGAAATTAGTTTTTGGTGTTGCTTTAATTGAACACCATTGATGAGGCAGAAGGTGCTAAGACAAATAGCTCCAAATGCAGGCAGTACATGGACTACCTCATTCAGGAAGTGTTTTTCACCCCAAAAGGGAAACTCTGAAGCTGCAGCAAACTGTGATCACACCACTGCACTTCAGCCTAGGCAATAGAGTGAGATCTCTTTAAGTTAATTTTTTAAAAAGGAAATTTGAGAACTAAGAAATATAATGTCAGCATTGAAAATGTTAGTAGGTAGGTGTATTGGGCTGTTCTTGGATTACTATAAAGAAATACCTGAGACTGGATAATTTATAAGAGGTTTAATTGGTTCAAAGTCCTGAAGCTGTACAGAAAGCATCTGCTTCTGGGCATGCCTCAGAAAGCTTACAACAATGACAGAAGGTGAAAGGCAAGCAGGAGTCTCACATGGCTAAAGCAGGGGCAAGAGACATGAGGGATCTGCCTCCATAATCCAGACACCTCCCACCAGGGCCCACCTCCAGCACTGGGAATTATAATTCAACCTGAGATTTGGGTGGGGTAAAATATCCAACCACATCAGTGGGTTTAACAGCCTGGGACAATATCAGACAGCCTAAAAGATATGTGCATAATGGGGAAAGAAGAAAGAATGAAGCAGAAAAATCATTTGAGGTAAAAATGACCAATTTGTTTCTATATTTGGTGGAAAACATCATCATTTAATTTGAGAAGTTCAGGAAATCCTAAGAGGAATAAATATAAAAAGAACCATACCTACCCACCTAGGCATGTGGTATAAAACATCAAAATCAATGACAAAAGAAATCCTAAAAGTAAGCAGAGGCTGAAAATGTTCCCACTATATACTGGGGAACAACAATATGAACAACAACAAACTTAACAAATTCTTCAGTATGGACTCTGAGGCTCTTTCTGGTCTTTCATCAAATCTCTCTCAAATTCTCCAATTTCTATGATCTCTACCTTACTTCTGCAATTGCCAGTATACTGTTAAACCATTTATTAGCCTTGACCTCCTGGGCTAGTGTCCAAAAATGCCCTGTGCCTCTGTCCTCCTAAAGGCAGGTGCAGCCAAGCACCTCAATCTGTGCTAAGATCTTCCTGGAACACTCCCTGACTTAGACTCTCACAGCAGCCCTCACTCTGACACATATGCTTCTCCACCCTCCAGGCCCATTTATGTGTCCTCTGCACACCCTGTGGAAGATTCATGGCACCTCCTGAGCTCCCACTGCCCTTGTGAATGCCACACACCTGATAGTGGCTGCTGGCCTGTATGCCTGCCTCTTCCAGAAAATATAGAGCACATCAACAGTGAGCCCAGGAGGGCTCACGGTGTCTCAACTTTTTCTCACCAGCGACTAGAATATCTTTCCATGGTTGGTGTAGTCCCCTGTTAAAGCAGGAAAGGATGATCACAGTCCCTGTAGATTTGTCATCATGCCAGTAACTTAAATGATGTAAATTCTTTTGTCCTCATTCCCCTACTGCCCACCTCTCCCTGCCCCTGTCCCAAGGGTCCCCACCCCAAAGGAAGGCACTTTTAGAGTACAGGAACATATTGTCCTGTTAATATCTCCTTGCTCCAAAGTGACTCTCTTTTACTGGTCTAAACTTATCTCCCCTAACCCTGGACTAGTCTCAGTTTTTATTTTTGTTTTTGTTTGTTTGTTTGCTTTGGGATGGAGTCTCACTTTGTTGGCCAGGCTGGAGTGCAGTGGCATGATCTTGGCTCACTGACTGCAAGCTCTGCATCCCAGATTCACGCCATTCTCCTGCCTCAGCCTCCCAAGTAGCTGGGACTATAGGTGCCCACCACCACACCCGGCTAATTTTTTTGTACTTTTAGTAGAGACGGGTTTTCACCGTGTTAGCCAGGATGGTCTCAGTCTCCTGGCCTCATTATCTGCCCACCTCAGCCCCCCAAAGTGCTGGGATTACAGGCATGAGCCACTGCACCCAGCCTATCCTCAAGGTTTTAATAGAGCTGCACACAGTATCCTTGGTTCCCAGCTGTCCTGCCCTGGACCTTGCCATCAGCATGGGACTTAGCCCTTTAAGTGGGTCTTACTGTGGCCAATGGCCCTAAACAAAGCTCCAGGTCAGTGGGGTTGAGTGGAGACCCATGAGCCAACTCTGGAGGCCACCCAGGAACTGGGACTTGGATTGGAGGCTGTAGGATCAACTCTCAGGAAAAAATTTGTTCCTTTATATGGGTTTGGATACAGAGAGGCCAAGGTGACCGGCTCCACATTCTGGGCCGATGGGTTTTCCTTTCCACAGCTGCAGTGAGAGCCTCCCTTGCTAGCCTAGCACCCACACTGACACTCACACATACTGAAGTATGCTCACACTCTCTCAGCTCCCTCTTCCGTGGACCCCTCCAGCCTCCCTGGTCTCTCCGGGCAGTCTGCTCCTGGCACAAACATTCGTGCTCACAGGCACCTAAGCATGTTCTCATCTCCCTCTTCAGCAGGCCCCTTCTGCCCTCCCTGGGCTCTTCTGGCAGGCTGCTCCTGGGTCATATATCCACGTTCATAGACACCTAAGCCTGCTCACACTCTCAACCTCTTCTCCAACCGGTCTGCTCCACCCTTTCCAGATTCTCCCAGCAGCCTTCTGGAACAGACATCCATGCTCATAGACACATAAGCATGCTCACAGCCCCCTTTTCAATAGGCCTTGTCTGCCCTCCTGGCCATCCCAGCAGTCTGCTCCTGGAAGACACATCCATTCTCATAGACACCTTTGCGGGCTCACACTCTGTCAGGCCCCTCTTCAGCCAGCCCCCTCCACCCTCCATGGGATTTCACAGCAGCCTGTTCCTTGGCCATCATGCTTCTTCCTCCATTTCCTGGGCCACCTATACCACAAAGAACACACAGGTGGCTTGTCACTGTCCTGTTCACACCCTTCAAAACTCAGTGTCCTTAGAAAGCAGAGTGACCATACAGTTTATCATCCAAACTGGAGCCCTCAGGAGTTTGAAAATATTTAGAAAATTAATTTTCCTTGTGAAATTAGTTAATTGGTAGGCCAGGACGATAGGCATCAGATAGTGGGAGTGTATGGGGCATATGGAACCCTATTGTCACTCCTTAGGAAGGATCTTGCCCCATTTCTCCTGTGCAGGCTGTTCCCCAGCTAAGCCTTTGCTGCAAGTGGTTCACTTATATGTGTCTGTTTCAGTGTGTCCTTTTCTGCCTTGGTCCCTGATGACTTTGAACTTTATCTTCCACGGTTTAGCCTCAGAGTGTCCAAGTGTCCGGACCTGTAGGTTCCAGTGCTCACCCTGCGCTTTTATATATCTGGTTGTTTGCAGTGGATCAGGAGCCCCTGGCCAGGATTTTGCCGGTGTTGTTTGTTTCTGCTGCTCAGCACTTGCCTTTCATTTCCTTTGCACGTGTGTATCTGTCTGTGTGCATTTTGGTCACCTGTCTTCCATCTAAGTCAGCCCTTACCCAGCTTGAACTCCACAAGAGCTGAGGCTTCACTTCTTGAGTTTATCCCTCCCTCCATTTCCACTCACCTTCAGGGACAAATGCCTTGTAAAGGGTGTAGGCGTGGGAAGGAATTGTTGGATTAAAAGTGCACAGAACTGGCTGGGCGCAGTGGCTCATGCCTGGAATCCCAGCACTTTGGAAGGCCGAGGCAGGTGGATCATCTGAGGTCAGGAGTTCAAGACAAGCCTTACTAACATGGAGAAACCCTGTCTCTACTAAAAACACAAAATTAGCTGGGTGTGGTGGCCCATGCCTGTCATCCCAGCTACTCGGGAGGCTAAGGCAGGAGAATCGCCTGACCCTGGGAGATAAGAGGTTGTGGTGAGCAGAGATCATGCCATTGCATTCCAGAATGGGCAACAAGAGCAAAACTCAACCTCAAGAAAACAAAAACAAAAACAAATAAATGCATAGGAGACCTGACATGGTGGCACATTCCTATAATCCCAGTACTTTGAGAGGCCAAGGCCAGAGGGTTGCTTGAGCCTGGGAATTCAAGACTCAAGACCAGCTTGGGAAACCCTATCTAGATAAAAATGCAAAAAAAAAAAAAAAAATTAGCTGGACGTGGTGGTGTCTGCATTTCATCCCAGACATCTTAGAGGTAGGGATGGGAAGACAGCTTGAGCCCAGCAGCCTGGCAGTTCAAGACTACTTTCTGCAACCTATCTCTATCAAAAGAGAAAAAAAAATTAGCTGGGCCTGGTAGTGCCTGCCTTTAGTCCCAGCAATTTGGGAGGTTGAGGCAGGAGGATTGCTTGAGTTCAGGAGGTAAGGCTGCAGTGAGCTAGGATCAAGCCACTGAACACAAACCTGAGCAACAGCAAAACCCTCCCTCAAAAATAAAATAAAAATAAAGAATGCTTAGGAAAGTAATTTTCAAAGCCCAGTTTTTTAAATAACTGGTTTTATTTGCTGCGTTTTAAGATACATGAATTATTCACTTGCCTTCCTTCCTTGCAGGGATGTTTTCTTCTTAAAGAAATATGGATGAGAGTGGCTGGTGATGTGTGGGATATGGATGTGGTTTTATATAAACAAAAAAGGCAAAGTGAGAAAAAGAGGAAACTAGAAGGCTGGTTGGGCTGTGCTCTTCGATTTCAGGCTGAAGCCAAAGGACTTCTGCAGCAATGGTGCTGCGCTGCTGTCCCCTGCTGGAAGGTGACCTCATCTACTCACAGGCCCTGATGTCTTTTTCAGATTCTGCTTTCTTTGAGAATGAGGTCAACATATCAAATGGGATCCTTCTGGAATGTTGCTGGCATCCTGCTCTGATGACATGACATTGAAGGTAGCGTTGGCATCGCAAGGAGTGGGCTGTTTATCCCAGACAAACCCTGGCACTCGACGCCAATCTCATGGTCATTCTTCCATGAGGATTATCTGTTACTGACCAGGGTGAGCTTTATTTGTTACTGGCCAGGCTCCCTTCCTCTGTTATCCAATGAACTCCGATTTCTCAGTGGGGTCCCGGTGAGAATCCAAGCCTTCCTGCTGGCTTTCTCACCACTGCGTACAACCCCGCCGTGGGCCAGCAGCCTTACGTGTGCACCCCAGAGGAATTATGCCACATCATTCCCGGGTGCAGGAATGGCTTTTGCTCCTGTTGTGGCCGGTGTGTCCTGTAGATCTGGAGTATGAAGCAGGACGCATGCATCCACGATCTTTAGGCTCACAGCCAAGAGATCTATACCATCAAGTGGAGCCCCACCGGGCCTCTGCCAGCAAGCCAAAACCTACATCACGTTGGCAAAGTAAGGGCAGGCAGCACAATTGATAAAGCTCTGCCCTACATAACGACGATGGGAAATTTTGCTAAATTGTGTCCATGCGCCTGTGTTCAAGCCCTTCAGAGGAAACAAAGTGGTAGCTCACTTTGAAGGGGCCAAAACCATCCTGCCTTTGAGATAACCATGGTTTTGGCCCAGGTGCGGTGGCTCACGCCTGCAATCCCAACACTGTGGGAGGCCGAGGTGGGTGGATCACCTGAGGTTAGGAGTTCGAGACCAGCCTGCCCAACATGGCGAAACCCTGTTTCTACTAAAAACATAAAAATTAACTGGGTGTGTTGGAGCATACGTGAATTCCCAGCTATTTGGAAGGCTGAGGTAAGAGAATCTCTTGAACCCAGGAGGCAGAGGGTGCAGTGCACACCATTGCACTCCATCCTGGGCAACAAGAGCAAAATTCTGTCTCAAAAAACAATAATTCCTGTTGCTTGAAGAATGTGTGTGTGTGTGTTTGTGTATATATGTGTGTGTGTGTATATATATATATACATAGAGAGAGAGAGAGAGAGAGAGAGAGAAGCGGGGGAAGGTGTCTCACCTTGTTGCCCAGGCTGGTTTCCAACTCCCGGCCTCAAAGGAGCCTCCCACCTCACCTTTCAAAGCACCAAGATTGCAGATGTGGTCCACCATGCCTGGCCTAAAAAAACTTTTTATATGTTTATTCTTAACTTAATTTGCCATTTTTCCAAATATGGTTCTCTGCATTAATTTAGTAATAATAGCTATTGTGTTTAAAATTGTAGGACCATTTTTGGCCAGGTGTGGTGGCTCATGCCTGTAATCTCAGCACTTTGAGAGGCCAAGACGGGCAGATCACAAAGTCAAGAGACCAAGACCATCTGCGCCAATGTGGTAAAACCCTGTCCCTACTAAAACACAAAAAATTAGCTGGGCATGGGGTGCGCACCTGTAGTCCCAGTTACTTGGGAGGCTGAGGCAGGGGAATCACTTGAACCTGGGAGATGGAGACTGCAGTGAGCTGAGATCTCACCAGTGCACTCCAGCCTGGCAACAGAGCAAGACTTCATCTTAAAAAATTGTAGGACCATTTTAATTAATTTGGTTAATATTCTTCAAAAATATTAACCATTCATATGTATAGAAAGTGCACAAAAATTAATGTGTATATATCAATTTGTTTCCCTAGTAAAAACATCAAAACTTTTGTATGTTTGTTTAATGACTATGGCTTTGTTTTTAATACATTTTAGAAGAGACAAAGCTCCTCAGATTATTATCTTTTGAAACATAAACGTTGGGAAAGACAACTCCTGGAGATCCAACGACACACGTTATGGAGAACTTTTTAAAACTGCCATATGTATGTGATTTTGCTTTTCCTCCCACCTTACTAGTGCTTCATTCAATTTTGCATTGAAACTGTGGGATGTGGAGCCAGGCATCTGAACCCACATGCTCAAGAAACATGATTCACCTCTGCAAAGGAGGGAATCAGATATGCATTTATCTCAGTGAGCAGAGAGGTGACTGAATAGAATGAGAGGCAGGTTTGCCCTAAGAAGTTCCCAGCTTGACTCTTCTCTTTAGTTTAGTGAGTTGGGGGCCCCAAGATTTATCTTCCTTTCACAGATCCAAGTGTGCTTGTGGCCATCACCATGACCTGGAGTTTTGCAGTGGCCAAATCCCAAATGCAGGTCTTGAATTGGCAAATGAAGACTCAGTGTTAAGCGAGTTATTGTCACATTTAGGGAAAATATGTATCCCATCTCCTAGTGTTGTCTGGAATTCATCCTGCTCATTTTCATTTTTCTCTTTACTTCTTGCCAAGTAGAGCAAGTGTGTTCCCAGGAGGTGAATTTGGGCACCCTGAGTGGTAGTGCAGAACCCTGGAATGCTCCAGGAAGAACTGCGTGGGAACTGGGCAGATATCAAACCATGTGGCAGAGTTCCCTGGGATAAATGCAGGCATGGCAGGCAGCTTTGGTGGCTCCCTGAAGAATGCCAGTGGCAAATGACTAGCTTTAAAGAGGTTTCTTTTTGCTGTACAGCAGGGGTCCCCAACCTC
Source organism: Homo sapiens (assembly GCF_000001405.40). Lineage (NCBI taxonomy): Eukaryota > Metazoa > Chordata > Mammalia > Primates > Hominidae > Homo > Homo sapiens. Next base: position 20,743,499 of record NC_000024.10, read on the forward strand.
TGGGGAACCAGCTGCACAGCAGGAGGTGCATAGGAAGCAATGCATCTTTACCACCTGAGCTCTGCTGCCTGTCACATCAGTGGTGGGGTTAAATTCTCATGGGACCAGGAACTCTATTGTGAACTGTGCATGTGAGGAATCTAGGGGGCGTGCTCCTTAGGAAAATCTAACTCTTGCAAAATTGCCCTTGTTTGATGAGATGAATGCGCAGGAATTTTGTCATGGTAGAAAAGGACCCTCTGGTCAAATTTTTTTCTGGGCATTTTTTGTGCTAAAGGTTTGACTTTCTCAAAACCGCTTTCCTAATACAGATGCTTTCATTCTTTGGCCCTCCTGCAAGAAAAAATGCCTTGAGCATTAAAAAACAAAGAAACAAAAACTGTTGTCATGACCTACTGCCCAGTCTGCTTTTGCTTTGCTTTCACTAGACCCCTTGGTAGACATTGCTTTGATTGTGCTTTGCCTTCAGGATTGTTACAGTAGGTAGTCAGACATGAGTATGGCAGGAAAAGGTCTCCCTCCCCAGGAATGCGACGTGACCATCAAGTGATTGTCAGATGGTTGGTAAACTGACCCTCCTTTAGGAACACTTGACTGGTAAGGGAGGAGACTGCCTCAAATGAGCATAGATACAACTCCAAGAAACACATTGCAGATATGGCCCCTCCCAAAGCTAACAGGCCACTGTGCAAGCAGACAGTGTGCCCCAAGAGAAGAATCATGGAAGAAGGGATGCAAGACCACAGAAACCATGCCAACATATAAGACCCCAGGTCAAGGGCTAAACAGTGCACTTCTTCTCTTAAGTTGCCTGCTTGGTGCTCTTCCAAGTGTACTTTACTGTGTTTCATTCCTGGTTCTAAAGACTTTTAATAAACTTTCCCTCTTGCTCTGAACCATGCCTCAGACTGTCACTCTGCCTTATGCCTCTCAGCGGAAATCTTTCCTCTGAGGAGGCACAAAGTGAGGTTCCTTCAGAACTGTGTGGATTTACAACACTGCTAACATGAGGAGGTTTGGGGGTTCACTCCAGGACACACTTCCTCGAGGAGGAAGTAGGCACTCAACTCTTTACCAGCCCCAGCCCAGAAGTCTTTTCCAAGGATGCTGTCAAGGGCTTCATTCCTGTTATCCTTTTCTAACCATTGCCCTTAACTGATTTCCTGTGCTGCACTCCCCGTTTTCTTTCTTGAGAAAAGACGATAGCCAAGTGCATTATGGGACTGGAGCCTCTTCAGTCTGCACTCAGTCCCTTCCCTCTCCTCTTTCCTCTCCCGTTCCTCACACACCTCCGTAGACCTCCAAGGGCACTTCTGCAGCCAACCCAGGAGGATCCCAGTACAGAAGTGAAAAGTCACCTAGTCCTAGTGCTGAGCTAACAAATGAAGGCACAGAACTTGAGCCAGCAGAGCCTTGCACATTTTCATTTATTGAACCTGCTCACTTTCTGCAGCTGTATTCTGCTGATATCTCTGAAGGATGACAAATAAAGTCAACTGTCCTGAATAATTCCAGGAGATAACATGTGTCACTGTCTAAGACTAAGGCATGGGGCCACTCCCAGTAGCCATGATCCCAGAGAACTTCCCTACTATTTACCTGTAGTCACTGTCTTTGGAACAGGATGGGGTTGGCCATGAGGACCAGCAGCAGGGGGCGGTATATGGTGCATAGTGGGGGATGGCATGGTTAGGCCCGGCTCACACCTGAGAGAGGAAAGTCAAGTCATTCTTCTCAGAAACAAAGCTTTGGCCACTTATCTGGAAGCCAAGATAAGAGGATAAGAACAACAAAGGAAATGCATAAACCTGCTTCTGACTGCCCAAAGGAAATATGAGTCATTTCTCATGTCTGGAACAAGCAGTTAATTGTAGGTAAGTAAGGGAGATCAACCATGTTTCTGTCTCAGAAATGGGAGGTCCTCTAAGGTGTTCCACTGGAGGGAGTTTTTGAAGGTCCCTGCTGGGAAAAGGTCTGAAAAGAAATGACACTCTGGGATGGTGGATTCCCTGCACTGGGTCTTAATGAAAAAACACAATTTAAGTAAAGACAAAGGCACTCCATTAAGTAGTTAGGTTTTGAGTGCTCACAACATGGCTTTGGGCAATAACATGAATAAGATACAGTTCCTGGGCTTGATCAACTCAAAATGTACCAGCTACATATTTCAGATAAAATGTGTTCTCATTGTTATAGATAACAATAGTTTCAGAAGCTCTTGTCAGGGAAAAGGAAAATGATTTCTACTGATGGGTCATAGGAGTCACTGGTCACCATAGAATGTCCCGAGGGCCTCACAAACATATGTTACCAAGGTTAACGACTATTAGCTGGGAAATGCTTCATGTAGGAGAGAAGCAAAATGTCACAGAGGAAGAGAGAACTGAAGGGAAAGGGGTAGGAGGAGTGCTCCAGCTCAACCAAGAGGGACGCAGAAAAGCAACTGACCAAACAGCCACATGGCCACAGAAGGAGAGATGACAAAAATAGATGAAAGCACTGTTAATATTCACAGAGTGGTCAAACCAGAAGAGTGAAGGTGGCAGAAAGTGTAAAAAAGAAAAAAAAAAAGCAGGTATGAAAAATGCAATACCCATCTCCTCTTGCCATATAGGAAGGATTACTACACCACCTCTCATCGCTGCCACCTTCTTTTAACAGGTGGTTTTATCCTCAGCTGTAGAGGCTAAAATTCAGCCTAAAAAGCCTTGAGAGGAGAAAGGGAAACAAAAAAGGAAGAGAAGTGACTCCGATGCAAAGACAGAAAGAAAATGACACATAGGAGAGTGAGGTTGTGTGTGTGAAGAATGCTGAAGGCCCTGGGTCATGCAATGTGAGGATGAAGAGATCATCACAGATAAGTTACTTAAAAGGTGCCACTCCCAAAGACCCTGGGAGCATCTCAGGGTTCCCTGTGAGCCCTGCAGTAATGGCACTCTCAGGCTCAGAAGCAACTTTGCCAGGAATCTCTAGGGTCCCACAGGCAAGGGAGTGCAACAGATACTCCCTTTCCAACTAGGTACATTCTGTTATAATAGCTGTTGATACTGCATCTGTCCTCTTAAAGTTCCCTAGGAAAACAGACCATACAGATGGATCTACCACTGAGCTCCCTGCTTGTATTTACGGTTGACATGACAATACCCATTTGGAGACATTTAATTGAGTTGCTGCAAGAAGCCAGAAAAGAGAGAGAGAGAAATAATCTACACCATGGGTCAGCATACTTTTTCTGTAAAGGAACATACAGTAAATATTTTTAGCATCATAGGTCAAACTGTGTTCTCTGTTGTGACTACCACTCAACTCTAACTTAGCGCAAAAGCAGCCACAGGCAGTACATAAAGAAATGGGTGTGGCTGTAATCCAGTAGAACTTTATTTACAAAAACAGATGTGGCCCAGGTTTGTCCTGAGGGCTGCCATGTGCTGATTCCTGTCATAAAATCACAGATAAAGACACTTGTTCATTGCTGTTTTCCACTTTTCCACTGGAAGTTAGAGTATATATCCTTGGAAGGACCTTGGCTTTACAACTGAGGGTTGCACAGACAGGAATGTAAACTTGAGGAAATGCCTTAGACAGTTACAGTGGTTACATCTACCTGTGTCTGTTGTTTGGCAGTTTCAGCGGCCACATCCCCCTCTCTGTGCACAATGGAAGAGAAGCTAGAAACCACAGGAAGAAGAGCTGTAGAATGAGCTTTTCACAGGGCTCCCCTTGGCTTCTTCCACATTATCCTACACTCATTCCATGAATGCTAAACTCACCTGATCATTCAGAGGAAGCGTGAAGAACAAAAATTTAAAAGTTCACAAATATGGATGCTGGGAATACACGAAAAATTCTGCATGCAGACTTACATGAAGGGAGATATGCTGAAAGCTTCATATGCATGCTTGTGTGCACAGGCACCTATGCACGCAAATAAGAAAAGCAGAAGCAGAGAGAATGATTCCAGGGTCCAAGCTACTGGAGTCATCCCTCCATGTCTGGGCTGTGAGTGTGGCCCTGAGACAATGGCCTGACCTTCAAGGAGCCCACTCTGTGGGTCAGGGTTCTGCATTCTCTGCAAGAGGTCCCCTGCAATGAGGGGCCAGGCATGGAGCCACCTAGGGTACTGGAGTCCTGGATTCCCTGGACATGAAAGGGTAGTAGAGCATGGTGGCTCCCTGCACCCTAGGTCAGGGTGTTCAGGCCCCATGCCATGATATGGTGCAGCAGGATGGTACTGGGGGGAAGCACAACAATGACCACAGCACAACAGGGCAGAGAGCCCAGCCTGGAACAGCAAGGTGAGCTCCTGCACTCTGGATAGGTCAGGAAAATGTACCCAAAGTAAAGCCTGTCAGCAAAGAGCTTCCTCATGCTGCTGAGGTTGGTTGGTTGTTTTCCATTGAGGTGGAAATCACATCACAGAAAATTAACTATTTTAAGGTGAATAATTTAGTGCAATTAGTACATTCACAATACTGTGCAGCCATCATCATTGAAAACACCAAAATGGTTGTTTTGGTTTCTGTGTTTTTGTAGAGATGGGATGTCACCAAGTTGCCCAGGCTGGTCTCAAACTCCTGGCCTCAAGTGATCCTCCTGCCTTGGCCTCCAAAGTGTTGGGATTACAGGCATGAGTCACCATGCCTGGACAACCAAATGTTTTCATCATCCCCCAAAGAGATACCATATCAACTAAGCGGTCACTCTCTTTTCCCTCACCTGCTTTTATGTATCTGTGGGTTTGCCTGTTCTGGACATTTCATGTAAATGGTAGCATACACTGTGTGGCCTTTTGCATCTGGCATCCTTCACTCACCATAACAAGTAAACCCATGTTGTAGCATGGATCGGTACATTATTCCTTTTTGTGACTAAATATCATTCCATTGTATAGTTAGACCCCACTCATCCTTCAGTGGACATTTAATTTGTTTAACCCTTTTGCCTACTGTAAGTAGTGCTGCTATGAATATGTCTCATGTACAAGGATTAGTTTAAGGCCAGGCACAGTGGTTTATGCCTGTAATACCAGCACTTTGGGAGGTCAGGTTGGAAGGATCACTTCAGTCCAGGAGTTCGTGACAAGCCTGATTAACAAAGCCAGACCCTATCTCTGCAAAAACTTAAAAAATTAGCCCAGCATGGTGGTGTGTGCCTGTTGTCCCAGCTACTCAGGAGACTGAGACTGGAGATTGCTTGAACCTGGGAGGTCGAGGCTGCAGTGAGCTATGATTGCACTGCTGCGCTCCAGCCTGGGTGACAGACTGAGGACCTTTCTCAAAACAAAAATATATCTGAGTTTCTGTTTTCAGTTCTTTGGGTGTATACGTAGGAGTGGAATTCCTGGGTTAGATGATATTTCTATGTACAGGATTTTGAGGAACCACTGAACTGCTTTCCACAGCAGCTGTACCATTTTACATTCCTACCAGCAATGCGCAAGGGTTCTAACTTCTCCATATCTATGCTAAGCCTATTTTACAATTTTGATTGTAGCTATCCTAGTGACAGTGACTGAAGTTTTTGAGACTTGATCTAAACGGGACCCATCGTGATAAAACCACGGAATAGGAATTTCTGCTGAAAGCATACACTCTGATGGCATTTTTCTGTTCTCATTGGCTATGGTTTTAATGTTTGTGTCCTCCAAAAATTCATGTTGAAATCCTAACCCTCAAGGGGATGGTATTAAGAGGTGGGGGCTTGGGAGGTGATGAGGTCATGAGAGTGGAGCCTCATGAAAGTGATAAGTGACCTTATAAAAGGGACCCCAGGGAGCTCTCTCACCCCTTCCACCATGTGAGGAAACTGTAAAAACTCTCCGTCTATGAACCAGGAAGTGTGTTGTCACTGAATCTCCCATGCCTTGATCTTGAACTCCCAGCCTGCAGAACTGTGAGCAATGCATTTCTGTTGTGTATGAGCCACCGCTAGTCTGTGATGTTTGTTACAGCAGTCTGGACAGACTAAGACACCACCTTACAAGTATGGTACTTGCCAGGTGCTCCTCCCAGCCCTTCAAACCCGCCCAGCCTCCCCACTTATTCCTCCTATAGCCTCATCCCAGGAAGATGCTCTGAGGCTCAAGAAGTCTGAACCCTGAATCCAAACATCTGGCACATTGGTACCTGCACTGCCTTGGCCAGATACTTTTCTCAGAGTTGTGGTTTGCTTTTCTCAGTGGGGTGAACAAGGAAATCCTTTTCAGCCTGCCTGTGCCATTACGCTAAGGGCTGGGTAGACGTCAGGACCGGCTGCTTTCTGCTTCTATGCTGCTCTTCAGGGCAGGCTGGCCATCCGTGCCTGCCTCCACTTTCCCACAATGCTGGGCCTACCCTTCACACCTGGCTGTCTTCAATTTGAGGACAATCAGAAGTCCCCAGCAGTGGGATTTACCAGCATCCTATGCTCAGGGAGGGTGGAGACATGTGCTGGACCATCAGCACCATCACTCTGGGAATTGCCTTTGGGTGTACATTTTGTACAGGGGAAGAGGGGCCAGTGATAGGAGGGCCTTCCTACAACCTTAACTTACAGGATGGCCGTCAGCTTGTGCAAAAGTAACGTCCAGTTGAAAGGAATGAAGTACTGATGTATGCTGCTACATTGGTAAACCTCAGAAACAGAATGCTGAGTGAAAAGCCAGATACAAAAGGTGCACATATTGTATGATTACACTGACATCGGGGTGGCTGCTAATAGGTACAGGGTTTCTTTTTGGGATAGCGGAAATGTTTTGGAACTATCAGTATTGGAGCTAACTGATGTATAACTCTGCAGATGGCACTAAAAGCCACTGAAATGCACACTTTTGAAGGTGACTGTTACAGTATTTAAGTTATATCTCAATTAAAGAATAATAGAGTTGTAGCCGCACAGTATGTCTCACTCAGTGTACATTGGCTGAATGTTTACCGAGCAAAGATCATGCCTGTTCTAGGCACTGGGGACGTGAAGATCCCTGCCCACATGGGGGTGACCACCTCGAGAGGGCAACATACAAGAAGCAGTGTAACGTCCCTGCCTGTGCCCCTTCTGGGGGCTAGTCCCACAGGCCCTGTTTGGATGAAGAAGATTTTACATGAAATCAAGCTTGGAGCTGTGATTAATTTAAGGCAAGTGTCCGCAACCCCCAGTTGCAACCATACTGGTTCATGGCCTGTTAGAAACTGGGCTACATAGCAGGAGGTAAGCAGTAGGCTAGCAAGTGAAGCTTCAACTGTATTTACAGCCACTCCCCGTCACTCGCACTACCACCTGGGCTCCACCTGCTGTCAGATTAGCAGTGGCATTAGATTCTCATAGCATTGCGAACCCTATTTGTGAACTGCACTTATGAGGAATCTGAGTTTTGGGCTCCTAATGAAAATCTAATGCCTGGTGATCTGTCACTGTCTCCTATCACTCCCAAATAGGACTGTTTAGTTACAGGAAAACAAGCTTGGGGCTCCCACTGATTCTACATGATGGTGAGGTGTAAAATTATTTCATTATATATTACAATGTAATAACAGCAGAAATAAAGTACACAATAAAGGTAATGCACATGAATCAATCCAAAACCATTCCCAGCACCAATCCATGGGGGAAAAAAATTGTCTTCCATGAAAGTGGTCTCTGCTGTCAAAAAGGTTGGAGGCTGCTGATCTAAGAGACAAGACTATGGGGCTGTTTTTTCTCTTTATAATAGACAGGGTTACTCTCTGCCATTCATACTGGGGTACAGTGGCATTATAAGTCCTCACAGTAACTTCAAACTCCTGAGCTCAAGTGACACATCTCCCTCAGTTTCCCAAATAGCTAGGGCAACAGCGCACACCACCATGCTCCACTAATTTTTTTTAATTTTATTTTTAGTAGAGATGGGGTCCTGCTATGTTGCCCAGGCTTATTTCATACTCCTGCGCTTAAACCATCCTCTTGCCTCAGCCTCCTAAAGTGCTAGGATTACAGGTGTGAGCCACCACACATCACAGCTGGATAAAACTACGTATATAAGTTAAAGTGGACAAACACTTGTGATAGCCCAAATAAGTTTCCCTAAAGATGTCCCTGTCCTAATCTCTGGAACCTGTGACTATGTTTCCTTATATGGCAAAAGAGACTTTGTAGGTGAAGTTAAGGATGTTTGAGATGAGGACGTTATCCTGGATTATCTGGGTTGGCCCACTGTAACTGCCAGAATCCAGGAAAGCAGACTGTCAGCTGCAGAGAACCAGAGAGATAAGAAGGACCTAAACCACTGTTGCTAAGAAGAGGTCATGAGTCAAGGAATGTGGGCTATAGCCAGGCGTGGTCCATACCTGTAGCCCCAGCAAGAGGATTCCTTGAGCCTGGGAGGTTGAGGTTGCAGTGAGCCAAGATGGCACCATCACACTCTAGCATGAGTTTCAGAGCAAGAACTTCTGTATTTATTTATTTTTATTTTTTGAGACAGGGTCTCACTCTGTCACCCAGGCTGGAGTTCACAATATAGCTGCATTCTCCATCAGAGTTTATGCGTGGACACTAATTGTTAAGTTTCATGTACACTCACATGCCAGGATTTTTTTTTTCTTTTGATTTCTAAAAACATTTTGAAGCAAGGTGAGGTGGTTCAGGCCTGTAATCCCAAAATTTTAGAATGCGAAGGTGGGAGATCTCTTGAGCTCAAGAGTTGGAAACCAGCCTAGGCAACACAGTGATATCCCATTTCTACCAAAAATTTTAAAATTAGCCATGTGTGGTGGTGTGCACCTGTAGTCTCAGCCCAGGAGGTTGAGGCTGAAGTGAACTATGATCCTAGCCTGGGCAGCAGAATGAGACTCTGTCTCAAAACAAACAAACAAACAAACAAACAAAAACCTAATGTGTAAAACCATTCTTAGCTCATGGGCCTTAGAATATGGGCAAGATTTTGTTCATGGGCTGCAGTTTGCACAGCTATGGTGGAAAAACCAAGCCCAAAAAAGCCTGGATAGGGAGGGGATTTAAGGTCACAAAACACGCGGGAAATATATGGTGCAAAAGAGGAAAGAATTTGCGGGGACTCAGTCCTGTAATACCAGCATTTTGGGAGGCCCAGGTGGGCAGACCACCTGAGGGCAGGAGTTTGAGACCAGCCTGGCCAAAATGGTGAAACCCCCTCTCTACTGAAAATACAAAATTGAGCTGGGTGTCATGTTGCATGCCTGTAGTCCCAGCCACTCTGGAGGCTGAGGCAGGAGAATCGCTTGAACTTGGGATGAGGAAGTTGCAGTGAGGAGCAATCACACCACTGCACTCCAACCTGGATGACACAGCCAGTTTCCACCAAAAAAAAAAAAAAAAAAAAAAAAAAAGCATGCACATACACACACTTTAACTGTGAGTTTCTCCCTGGTGCAATTTTTGCTCAGCTGCACTGTCTGAAATTTTCCTGTTCAGAAACACAATGAATGGATTTTTAAAGACCGAACCTCACGTGGACAGGAATTTTTACCTACCATTTTGCATGGAAAAATTACCTACTCGTTCAGTCCGGTCCCGAGGGAAGCGCCTCTGCTTCCCTTTTCTCTGTGCTTCAAGTGTTCAGAAGCCCAATCCAGCCGGAGGGTGGTGCGCCATCACTCAGGCACCGATCTAGTTACAACTCGACTGCCCTATGTCCTCACCTGGGCACTGAGCAGGTCTTAACCCACAGATGGAGCACACACTTACCTAGGCAGCCAAGCAGCGGCAGCACCCAGGATGCGCTGAGTTGGCCGGGAGGTCCGGGGGAACCAGGGCCTCAGGCTGACAGCAGGGCAGCAGTTGCAGGAGGCTCAGGGCCAGGCAGAGCTGCCACTGTCCAGTGGCTGAAACATCAGCACGAACTGCCTGGCTGCCTCCCAGAGGGGCAGCAGAAGGTCGCCAGTTTTTGGGAGGCCACGGACGGGCAGCTCTGTAACCACCCAACAGGTTCATCTTGCCAGCTGCCTAGAGAGAGCTGATTTATCAAGACAGGGGAATTGCAATGGAGAAAGAGTAATCCATGCAGAGTCAGCTGTGCAGGAAATCTTATTATTACTCAAATGGGTCTCCCCTAGCACTTGTGGATTGGAGTTTAACAAGGATAATTTTGCAGGTAACGGCTCTCCTCATGCCTACATATGTATTTGACTAACAGTCTTCTGAAAATGATTCAATCAGAAAAGCCCGTTTTAGTCAGAGAGCACTATTCAGCACTGTTATATCTGGAGGAGCGAATGCTTTTTTGGGGGAGAATAATAAAAAAGGAAAATGATGGGGAAAAGAATGGAAAAGTGAGTTGTCTGCCGCAGAGAGTGGAAGAAACCAGTCCAGTTAAGGTTAAGGGCTCTCCGAGAGCTGTCCAGGACTAGAACTGAAATTGATAGTGCTCTGATGAGGGTAAGAACACCAGAGCTCTTGTCTCACATTGAATTAGATAAAACAACAGGACACAGGTGGAGTTGTTTTAAGGAGCAGAGAGTTTAATAGGCAAGAAACAAGGAAGAACAAAGAAGGAAGAAGCTCCCCTGTACAGACACAGAGGGAGGGAGGACTCGAAAGCCAAGAGATGGAACCCAAGTGGGGAGGAAACAAGCCAGGTATACGTAGAGGCTGGAGGAGGCGGTGTCTGATTTGCACAGGGCACAGTGGATTGGTTTGACAAGGCATGTCATTCACTTAGCCCACGAAAAAGCGGGCCCAACTACTCTAGTCTTTTAATATGCAAACGAAGGACGCCATGATGTTCTACACACGTGGGGATATGTGGGGGTGGCCATGTTGCCAGGAACATGTAGGGCAAGGGCAGGAGGGCACAGGAATTGCCATGTTTGGGTGGACCCAGTTTCTAATGGCCTACATTTGCATATCAAAGTTTGCCAGCCAAGCCCTAAGAGCCAAAGCTCTAAGAGCCCAGGCTTTGCTTCTAGACAAGAAACATTTCTAGAGCAGCTTTAATAGAAATGAAAACTTTTCCTCTCTATTTGCCTAAAATAATTTCTTAATAACTCCTACCACAAAAGCAGCAAAGGGACCTAAGTAATGGCAAAAGGAGTCTAGGAGTCTCAGAATAGAAGAGGTGAATACTAGTACAGAGCAAACAGTGTGGAGTTCAGATCTATTCCAGCCTGCTGTCTTGCTAGCTGGCACATACAGTGCCTATAGACTTGAATCAAGGAATTGAATGCAAAGACAAACAAAACATAACAACAAAAACATTTTAGGCACTGTTACGCGCTTACAAATTGGTAAAAATGGTCGATGTTACTGTGTTGTGTTCTCTCTACAGTTAAAGGAAAAAGAAAAGAAAAGCTGGAGGCCAGGCTTGGTGGCTCATGCCTGTAATCCCAGCACTTTGGGAGGCAGAGTCGGTGGTTCATGAAGTCAGGAGTCTGACACAAGCTTGGCCAACACAGTGAAACCCTGTCTATACTAAAAGTACAAAAAAACAGCCAGGCCTGGTGGCGGGCGCCTGTAATCCCAGCGACTCAGGAGGCTGAGGCAGGAGAATGGCTTTAAGCCAGGAGGTGTAGGTTGCAGTGAGCCGAGATCGCGCCATTGCATTCCAGCCCCGGCGACAGTGCCAGACTCCGTCTCAATAAATAAATAAATAAATAAATAAAAATAAAAATTCCGTAAAGTGCTGGCAGGTGCCTGTGGGTCTCAGCACTGTGGGAGGCTGAGGTGGGAGGAACACTCAACCCCCGGAAAGTCGAGGCTGCCGGGACCTGAGATGGCGCCCCTGCCCTCCACCCGGTGCGACAGAGCCAGACCCTGCCACATTCAAAAACACAATAAAAGAAAGAAAGAAAAGGAAAAGAAAAAGAAAAAGAAAAGAAATACCTAGAAAATAACACAAGGAAATTTTTGATGGTGATGGAGATGTTTATTACCTCGATTGTGATGATGGTTCCGTGGGTTTACGCCTATGTCCGAACTCGTCAAACGGTACAGATTAAGGAAGTCCATTTGGCTGGTTGTGTTTTGTATAGCAATTCCACCTCAATAAAGCTGTGACATCACACACATGCGAGCGTGGTACAACTTACATAGCCGAGTTCACCTTTTTAAAAGTGAATTGTTTTGGAGGTTTTAGGGACATGCACAGAGTTGTGCAACCATCACCTCAAGTTAATGCAAAACAAGGTATTGAACTTACAATTCACGTCCCATAAAACCTACCCTTTCAAAGTTGACAATACAGACGATTTTAATACATTCTCAAACCTGTGAAATTGGCCCTAATTCAGAAAAACGAATTGTTTCTTAAATCATGATTTTACAATACAACATGTCACAGTCACAAGGAATCATACAGGTTATTTCTTAACGATTGGCTTTTTTTTTTTTAAGGCGGCTAAATCCTGCTCCTTCAGAGCTTCTGTTAAATATTTTTAAAGTTGGCGAAAGATAATTTTTAGAGTGTAAACTGCGTCCTCCCAGCTTAGCCGACCTGAGGGGAGGAAGCACAACAAAAAGTCCCGTGGCATAACTGACACCTATGAATCAGTATCAGAAACTGAATATGCTAAGAAACTCAGTTCCGAGCTGTGACCTCTACAACGGAAGAATAATAGGTTGGTTACCCGAGGCGGAATCTGGAACTGAAATTCTCACTCATTTGACTTCCCGCTGTTTATCACCGCAGATTACGGTTGCACCGTAAAAGGAGAGGTTCTGTTCCGTCGCGGGATTTCGCCATGGTAAGACGTCTGCGTCCTAGCTCCGGATTTATCTGCCTCCATCCTTTGAAGAAGGGCCTTCCATCTTGGCAAGCTTTTACTTTTCGGGTACCGCTGCTTGGCGGGTGGGAATGCTGCTGGTGCTGCTTCAGGAAACCCGATTTGGAGAGCGGAGGTCTGAGAAGAGTGCGGCTGGGGGTTCCGGGCTGGCCCTTGTGCTCGGCCTGGGCGCCGGTGGTGCTGTTGGCACGTGAGTCTTGTTAGGAATAAGCTTCCTCGGCTAACCTTACAAGTCCACCCTTGACTCCGCAGCCCAGCACTGGCTTTTTACGCGGGTTAGCTTATATCCATACGTTGAAGCAGTCTCAGATTCGCTTGGAGAGCACTGTGGACGCTGTCTTGACAGACGCCAGAGAGACTCGTGAGGTTGTCAAAGGTCTGGGAGTTTTGCGGGGTTTGTTCTGGAGTCTGGCAGGAAGTAATATTTGCTCAAAACTGGGCGTGAAATAGCCTGGACTGTCCTTTCTCCTCCGATCCGGTATTACCCGTTAGCAGTTGTTACAGCTGAAGATAAAGACATTTTACTGTTAACTGAGACGAGTTTCTCTGAAAAAGTTTGGTGTCTTTTTCAGGCCCGGGGCCCCAAGAAGCACTTGAAGCGTGTTGCAGCGCCGAAGCATTGGATGCTGGATAAACTAACTGGTGTATTTGTGAGTATAACTGTATTTGCTTTTTACTCAAAAGTGCATGCTGTGTACCTGTGGCTTGCTATTTCGTGGGAACACTGTTTGCTTATTTATGTGAGATTTTCGTTGGTGAAGACTTGCTGCACACGGAACTTGTCCTTGCACTGTAATGAAAAGGTCCCTGAGAAAAAAGTTAGGACATCCTGTTTGGAAACAGCGGGTCGAACAGCTCTCTGACCTCAACTTTGAGCACTATTGTGGTCCATAATGTCGCTGAGAACCTGGGCTTGCCATCTTTTAGTAACTATTGAGAGCCTAATACATGCCAGGTGTTGTTATGTGGGCCCACCCTTAAGGATATGTCCGGGTACAAAATGGTTGGACAACAAAATCTATCCCTCTTTCTTGTTGAAGCTTACATCCTGCTGGGAGGAGAGGGAAGTTACAGTATGTTCACAGGTGCTGAAGGCTGGGGGGAGAAAAAAGTAGGGCTGTTGGAAGGATCAATGGGGTTTTGAGCACTGCAGTTTTAAAGAGTGTGAAATAAAGAAGCCTCTTACAGAAGAACAGAAAGACATAAGTGAGTGAACTATTGGACATGTTTGGGGTTTTTTTTTTTTTTTTTTTTGAAACTGAGTCTTGGCTTGTCACCAGGCTGGAGTGCTGTGGCATGATCTTAGCTCACTGCAACCTCTGCCTCCGGGTTCAAGCGATTCTCATGCCTCAGCCTCCCCAGTAGCTGGGATCTTTTAGTCACCACGCCGATCTAAATTTTGTATTTTTAGTAGATACCAAGTTTCACCCTGTTGGCCAAGATGTTCTCAATTTCCTGACCTTCTGATCCACCCGCTGGTGGCCACTCCCACAGTGCTGGGATTATAAGCATTAGCCATGGCGCCCCTCATATTTTCAAAAGAGCTGTTAGGCTGCTGTGTTGTGATTTATTCAAATTGTGTTATATCATGAACCCATTTCTTGAGGCTTGTGCTCTCAAGGATTAAAAATGCCAACAGCAACAACAAAACACCAGGATGTCAAGTCCTGGTGGTCTCTTTTGCTGTTTGAGCTCTCCACTTTAGAGGGCACTTCCTGAACCCAGACCTGAGGGGATTAATGAATGTGCTAAATTCCAGATAAGAAAGGGTTCAGTGACAGTGCACTGAGTCCCCATTAATAATAAAATGTATTTAATTTGAAGTTACCCTTTGTTTCAGAGGGTGGAGTAGCTGCTGTTTACATTGAGCCCAAGATACGGTTTTAACAGTAACGGCTACTGGGGTCCATGCAACACAGGCAAGAAATTGCGTGAGAAATGCAGGAGTCTCTTGAACTCAACCTTGAAGACCTGGCAGGATGAGGACAGTATGCCCAGAGGCAAAGGAGGCAAGCATCTGACAAGAGGCGGACTAGGCAGTTTCCACATTGGTGGTGTGGTAACAATGGGAGAGAGGGGTTGAAGCCATAAGAAAGTCTTGGGTCTTCTGAGACAGAAAGGGAGCCAGTGTGAAGAAGCAGACAGAAGCGAGGTGATTAAGATGCCAAAAGTTTTGTTGGGCAGGAATAAACATAGGGCATCTAAGAGAAAATAATGCAGCCCTGAGGGTCCACATCCACATAATAGGCACTTGGTAACTAACTTGATAGATTACGTAGCCTTTTCTTGGGACTTAGAACTCTGAACACTGAGTAGCAGAAATTTGTCTTCCTTGTCTTGGCATTTTCGGAGAGAACATGGACTCTGTGTTGTTTGCAGAGCTGGATTTGCAAACTTTCCGTGTCAGTTTCTGCTTCCAAGTCTTATCTCTGCTACTGCCCCCTAGTGTCTGACCTCCCAGGTTGGGCCCCTGTTCCCTCTATTGTTAAGTGGATGAGCAAGGCACTCTCTCTCTTTTTTTTTTTTTTTTTTTTTTTTTGAGACGGAGTTTCAGTCTTGTTTCCCAGGCTGGAATGCAATGGCACAATCATGGCTCACTGCAACATCCGCCTCCTGGATTCAAGTGATTCTGCTGCCTCGGCCTCCCAAGTAGCTGAGATCACAGGCATGTACCACCAAGCCCAGCTGATTTTGTATTTTTAGTAAAGATGGGGTTTCTCCACATTGGTCAGGCTGGGTCAAACTCCTGACCTCAGGTGATCTGCTTACCTTGGCCTTTTAAAGTGCTGGGATTACAGGGGTGAGCCGCTGCACCTGGTCAAGGCACTCTTTTTAAGAAGACTTGCTGGGAACTTAGTCCTCAGTCTTCTGGGCTCCACTCTTTTCCCCATGGCGTCGATGGAAGTGTGTGGTTAATGATTGAGTCCATTTTAAGAGGGATAAAGCTAAATAGGCATCTGTAGAAGGAGCTTTAAGAACAGCCTTCATTAGAAAGGATTCCTGTGTGGCCTCAGCTTAAGAGATAATTGAGGAGTGGAGTTAAAGGCAATACAGCCCCAGAGCTTGAGACCTTTACAGGTACTGGTAGCAAATAGCCAAAGGATGGTATAACACTAAAACTGCAAAAGTATAGGTTATAGGATTTATTGGAGTGGGAATTTGATGACACTTAAGCTGGTGGCAAGCAGCCAAGAAAGGGAAGAGCACACAGTCTGTGTTAAGAGGTGGTCCAGCAATATCGGCAGGGCTTGTGTGGGACTTTGAGGCCTAGAATGGTGAGAAAGTAGTAGAATATGTCTTCGTAGGTTGTGGGTAAAGCGTAACCTACACCTGAGATACATGGGATGTAGTATTGTATTGAAGGGAGGTTTGAAGAGGCAGTACCAGTGCTGGTGGTGCTTGGGGCAGGGCAAAATGGGGAGATGGTTGTGAGACTGGATTTGTGAAACAAAGGGGCACAAAAAGAGACTTCCATAGTTGGGGTTGTGACCTTCCTAACAAGACAGACCTCTCTAAATTGATGAAATAATTGCCCTCTTATATTCCTCTTCCCCAACTAGTTAAGTTCAGCTAATGCTGAACTAAGGCAAGTCATCTACTCAATCTGGTTATGTAAGGGGCGGATCTTGAGAGATTAGGTTGCCTGCCATTGTCTTCTACAGGCACCTCGTCCATCGACAGGTCCTCACAAGCTGAGGGAATGTCTTCCCCTGATAGTCTTCCTCAGGAATAGACTCAAGTATGCATTGACTGGAGATGAGGTAAAGAAGATATGTATGCAACACTTCCTCAAAATTGATGGCAAGGTTCGAGTGGACATCACATACCCTGCTGGATTCATAGGTAAGGAAAGAGTTCTTTGTTTTGAAGAAGGAACAGGTTGAGAGAAAAACAAGGTGTGAGGCTTACATGTTGCCAACGATAAGCAAAACCCAACACTGAACTTTGATTTCTACATGAGTTACTGCTGGTCATTTCAGAAGGAGAATGAGGGATAGGGAGAGCGTGGCAAGGCACAAGTGAAAAGCTGGAAAGGGGTTGGTAATGTAATGGGATGAGATCAGCAGTGGCTGCTAGCTGGTGGTTATCGAAGTTTGGTTCCTACCCTCCCAACAGAGACTGGGAGACAGAGAAGCTGTCCTCAGGTGTTGGCTGGAAAAAACAGTAAATTCTTTTGGTTAGTCTTGAGTTTGTCAGGCAGGCACTTTGAAGGGGTCTGGGCTCATCTTGAGTTTTTAGAAGCCATGTTAGTGGTTCAGATCTTCATAGCCAAGGCTGAAGCTCAGCCAAGAAGAGGGCTTAGAGGAGTCTGGCTAATGACTGGTCAAGGAGAGAGAATCTTTGTCAGTGAACAGGGTTTTGGCCCTGTCTTCCCACTTTCTCTGTTGATGACCTAACCATGCTGGATCTCCAAGGATGCATTTGCACCTTGGTGGGAGAGGAGAGTGGAGAAGGGAGAGAAGGGTCACACTCGTCTAGGGAAAAAGTGTCCTGAGAAGGATGGTAGGGAAAGGCACTGAGGAATTCTGACCTAGTGGTTTGTTCTCTCTTTCTTTCATGGCGACAGGCTCAATACTTTTTTTTTTTTCTTCATTTTGTATTTTGCTTTCTTTCTTAAAACTCCAAGTCCCAAGCAAGGCAGGACTCCTGATAAGGGAAGTCAGAGTCGTGGCGGGGGGTGCCAAGCCATTGACCGGGCAACCTGCAGAGCCTTGAGCCTTGTCTGCTTAAATGTGAGGACTGCTTGTTCATTTGGTTTTCTGGTGTGTGTGGGTATGCTTATGTGTGTTTTCTCCTCAGCATCCTGAGTGCATTAACCCAGAACACAGTCTCAAGCAGCCGTTGCACAATAACATAGAAAGTGGTAGAGTAGCCATATATATAGACATTTCCTTTTGTTGGATGATATTTACTGGGACAGGACCGGGGTTGGTTGGTTTCATTCAAGCACCCCCATCAAGCGCTGGGGACCCCTACGCTGCTAAAATGTTCTCACATTCAGCTTGGCACAGAGAGCTCCAGCTGTGCAGGCCAAAGAAACTGCATTAATAATGTTCCTTATACTTGTTTGTGATCAGATGTCATCAGCATTGAGAAAACAGGTGAGCATTTCCGCCTGGTCTATAATACCAAGGGCTGTTTTGCTGTTCATCGTATCACAGTGGAAGAGGCAAAGGTAAGTGAGCTTTATAATTTCCAGACAGATAGGTCTGTTGCTAAGGTTCTCAGACGGCATTTAAGCCATATTCTGGGAATAGTGCCTATCTCTGCCTGTTTGTCCGGGCATTTAAGCCATATTCTGGGAATAGTGCCTATCTCTGCCTATTTGTCTGGTTGTTCAATTCAGGCACGTAGGTCTACCAACACTGATACAAGGCAGTGGATTTTCCAGACGAGGCTGTTTAGAAACAGCGTACAGAGTAAGCAGTTCTCTGAGGGACAAGATGTTTCTGTATAGGAAAAGTCTGGTATTGGAACCAGGAAGGCCTGGGTAAGAATCCAGACCCTGTCATTGATTAATTATGTAACCGTAGGCAACAGTATGTAGAACCTTTTGTGAGCCTTCATTTTCTCTGTAAGTGGTGATAATATGCTTTCTTGCCAGGTTTCTGTGACTGTTAGCAGCAGTGGTGCCTCGCACTTGCTAGACATAGAAGATTGTTGACTTCCTGAAGTCTGCCTCAACCGTTAAACTCCCCCTTCTCCAAATTTAATGGCCAAAGTCAGTACCATCGGGGAAACTTTTCAAGGAAGTTCCTTTCCGTGTGGACAGCACCTGCCTTTTTTCTGTGTAGGGAACACCTCTTTGGAAACCAGGATCACCCCTCAGTCATCCATTCCTCTTTTCCCTGGATTTAAGGTCATGGGGTGACTTCTTCCTTATTTCTCACATAACCCAATCACCTGTACAGTGACCAAATGCCACCTAAATATGAGACACATTCTATAGATGAATTTCAATGTTTTATCAGACATTGTTTCCACTTTGTTTAATCAGCTTGCCTTTTTCTCAGTTATTTCTTTGGGGGAAACACATTGGAGTCCCTATAGGAATTCACAAATACTTTCATATCTGGGTAGTTTCTTAATTGATCAGTTGTTGGTTGTTTTTAACTTCTTTGGTAGTGTCCCTTGATGCAGTGTCCCTTCTGTTTTTGTGGATTGTTCCCACAATGAGGTGCTTTGTTTTAGGTGGTAGGAACTAGGTCTAGTGTCCTGGAGAGTGTTCAGTTGCCCAGGGTGTTGGATCCTGTTGTGTCTAAAAGCTAGAAAGCACAGGGAAATCTCAAATCTGATGACTGGTTTCTGCTTTTGTAAGGAATTTGGATCTCAAGAGACAATGCAGATTGGTAGTCCCTGTGAATTTTTTTTTTTTTTTGACTGAGTCTCACTCTGTCGCCCAGACTGGAGTGCAGTGGTGCCATCTCGGCTCGCTGCAACCTCCGCCTCCTGGGTTCATACTAATCTGCCTCGGCATCCCAAGTAGCTGGGACTACAGGCATGTGCCACCCCTCCCGGCTAATTTTTATATTTTTAGTAGACATGGGGTTTCACCATATTGGCCAGGCTGGTTTTGAACTCCTGACCTCGTAATCCACCTGCCTGGGCCTTCCAAAGTGCTGGGATTACAGGCATAAACCACCACACGCAGCCGTTGCTGTGAATTTTTAAATGGGGAGAGATGGAGTAGGAGAAGGAGATACTGGAGAGTTGTTAATACCTAGTACTGGTTCTACTACATTGGCCAGTCACCATGTGAAAAGCTTGTGTCCAGGTGAGTATCACATCGTAGCCACAGGTGCCAAATGCCTATTCTGGGTTTGGGTTAGAGTAAGGACCTTATCTTTGTGCAAGAGATAAGAGATTTGGGGAAGTTTTGGTTGAGCTTATTTGTTGGCTGGTTGTTTCTTTCGATAGCTAGAAAGGTAGCATTCCCTGTCACACCCCAGCCAGCATGTCTAGAGCCACAGGTTGAAGGGCACAGTGACTTCAGAGTGGAGAGTGGTGGGCTCCTTGGATTTCAGTGTATCAGGGACACACCACGGAGCCTTTTTATGCAGATTACTAGTCCACCAGGTAGCACAGGTTAGTGGAGAGACAGAACATCCAAACGGCCCTCCACCCTTGAAATTAAAACTAGAAAAGGGATATTTTATGGGTCTTGAGAAAACAGCCTTATAGATTTCAGACATAATTTTTCCCTTTAACAACTTGGTATTAGTTGAGGACCACAGAAATGGGAGTCATTAGATTTAAGGATGGGAGATGAGGTTTTTGTTTTGTTGTTGTTGTTGTTTTGTGATTGCCACTACAGTGGATGGGAGAAAAGGAAAGATTTTGGGTGAGCCCGTGATGAGCCTGCACATGAGTAATGGGAACTGAGGCAGTACCTGTTCCCATTGCAAGTTGGGGTAGAGGACACAAGTATCACCTGGGAGATGGCAAAGGAGACAAAGGGTTTAGTGTATGCATCCCCTGCTGTGGTAGAGGGGAAGAAGATGTGGGACAGGGTGACTGAGTATTTGGTGGTAGGGTAAGGAGATGGTAGCTGCAGATCTTCATGAAATACATGGATGCTTGAGAGAGTTGTGGAAGGACAGTACATTAATGCTTTGGGTTCAGCTTGCGTTGGAACTTTCAAGTAGATGATAGAAGGAAGTAGATGCTGACTGAAATAGAGGACTGAAACACTGCTCAGATGAGTTACAATAGAGGCTGAATAGTTGGCACAGAATCCTCATTGACTTTGGGCAGCTTGTATTCAATGATGGATGTGCATGGGGAGAGAGAGATTTCATAATGCAGAGGGTTTATGAACAGGATCTAGGTGGTGCAGGTTCTGTTTCCTGAAAAGTAGAAAACACTGGTTAAAGAAATCAGAAAGAGGAAGTCAGAGAGTAACCAACCGGAGATGTGTTTGTGGATTGTCATTCTTGAAAATTGAGAAGACTGAACCTCATAAAGGTGGCAGTTATACCCAAAGTAGAAGATAGATGGTGGTAAATAGAGGTAACTTTGTTAAGAGGGAGTTTCTTTTAAGATAAGAGGCGATGTTTCCCCCTTTTTTTTTTTTTACACAATTGGAGTCTGGTGCAAAAGGAGGTAGTGGTCAAGACCATGAATGTGGAGACTAGTGCTTTTGTGGTGGGCAAGGAAAAAGACTGGCGGACAGGATAGGCAGTTGAAGTTTCAGAAAAGATGGAACCTGGGCAATTGCATTTGTTTGTTTCTAAGGGAGGCCAGGTAGGGAAGGATTTCAGACTGGTTTGTGTGGGTGTTATTCAAAGGGCAGTGGAAACTTGAAGCGAACAGTTCTTTAATCTGCAGTTCGAGAGGGACAGGGTAGAATGCTTTCAGTGGAGCCTCACATTTGACATTCACTTTGGAGAATGACCAGGGGCCTCACCTTGCAGTCCAGGTTGTATGGAAAGGGTGTTGATGGGGTAGGCATGTTGTAATAGGTGGTGATGTGATTACAAATCATTGCTCGTCAAGATTGCTGAGCAGACAGGCAGCAGAGTTGAGGTTTTCTTTTGGTAGGGTGCTGTACGACAGCTACAAATAGTCTTTTTCTCCAAATTTCTTTTAAAAACAATAATTAAATTTAAAAAATTGAGTAGTTTTTTAGATTCAAGTAGTTTTTGGGTTACACAGTGGTGAATTTTGAGATATTAGTGCGCCTGTCACCCTAGTAGTGTGTGACTGTACGTAACCTAATGTACAGTTATTTTTATTCCTGGCCCCCTCCCAAGTCTCTGAAGCCCATTATATCATTTGTATGCTTTTGCATACTCATAGCGTAGCTCCCACTTACAATCGAGAACCTAAGAGTTTTGATTTTTTCCACTCCTGTGTTAGTTCACTTAGAATAATGGCTTCCAGCTCCATTCAAATTGCTGCAAAAGATGTTTCGTTCATTGTTGGGTGGGGTCAGAAGATGATGGGGGAGTCACATCTTTAAAATCTGAAGGCAGTCTTTTCAGTTGTGGGGCAAAGGAAAAGTGATTGGTTTTTTGCAGATGGTTGAGGCTACCCCTCTGGTACAAGGTTTACTCAGCTGGAAGTTCCCCTCATGAAATGTCCAGCCATACCCTTAGTGAAGCTCTAGTTTCCTGGCAGGATGGGCCTCTACTAAGCAAGACGACCCCAGATCTGAATCCTGAGCTGTCTTGGCCACATGAAGGTTTGGTGCTTAGGTAATAAAGTTGTTTGAGGTGAATATGAGGAAAGCCTGCCATGGTGTTGTCTTTTGCAGGAGCACTTCTCTTAATAAAAGTGTTTAGAAGTTTTTAGCCTGTCTTAGTCCTGGTCTTAAAAGTACTGCAAACTCGGTCAGTCAGCTCTGTATAAAGGTTAGACAGAATTGTTACCTGTTAATGTACTAGCATGCTTACAGGCATTTTACTCAGTTATGGATAGTTACTGAGTGTCATCTGTGTTTCAGTCAAGTTACCTGTGGATGCTTCAAGGACTGACATGCATCATGAAGCTTGGGTTAATGGTTCCAGAGTGAACCTCAGAGGATGGAGGGAGGCCACTTGGAACTGGTAGCACCTTTAAAGGGAGAGGCCATGCCTTTTTCAGAGGGTGTTTCATGCCTGCGTTTAAAGACAAAGGACCTTTGGGCCCAAGGTGTCAAGTTTGATGCCATGATGATGCTATTGCTGTCATGAAGAAATAGTTTGGTTAGTGAGAGGATCTGTGGAAGATACAGGAGAAGAGTATTTTTACTTGTTTTGTTTTTGCTGTCTGTCTCCTGACCGTCAGCAGTACCTGTTAACTACTGTGACTCCTTTAGCCCTGTTCTCAGAGTATACTACACAGGATGTATGTGAAAAGTGGAGGGCAGCAGGTAGGCTTTGAAGTGTGAATAGGCCTTCTATGTGTTCACAGCTATAGAACTTGCTTGGACCTGGGTTACCTGGGATATTTGGAGCTAATGAGCCAGGGTGGAAAGGGGACAGAATTAGCTTTCGCTGGAAACATTTTAGAATCCCCGAGTAGGTTCAGGATGTCACATGCAAAAAATGTGCAGGACAGTTGGCTGACATGAATGCATTCAGCAGGCCATGATGCAAAGACTTGCCTCATGAAGTTGGAGGGGCAGATTTTATTCTGAATAGGGAACAGTGATTATAATAGCGATATTGGTAATAGGGATCTTGGTAACTGTGTGTAGAGCCATTTGAGAGCTAGAGCATGGCATTTCAGAGTTCTTTTCTCATGTTATCAAGGACAGGATTTCTTAAATCTAGCAGGGAGTAGAGCTGGAGAGATTGAGAATGTCCACTAGTAGCCCTAGGTTTTGTAATACTGCTTTAGTAAGTGGTCACTGGAATTGCACTGTGAAAGATAAGGATTTCAAAGGCAGGAGAAAGGAGGAAGGGTACTGAAGATGGGATAGTAACTTTTAAAGGCAAATTGCAAGTTTCCCTTCTCCTAAATGGGGATGGAAGAGTGAAGTCAACAGACAGGCTGTTTTCAAGTCTGGCCTCACTGGTGGCAGAGTATAGGCTCTGGAGTAGTGTTCTCTTTCTTATGATTTGGTCCCAAGGCCTTAGGAAGTATAAGAGGAAAACATGTTTTCTCTGCCTGCTTAGTCCTCAGCAGCTCTAGGACCTTATTTACTCGAGGCTTGAACAAGCCTGGATTCTTGGCCAATGCTCTGGTGCTTATGGACTGTAGCTTGGTAGTTTTCCACTTAGGAGTAGAAGGCAAAGAGAACAATGAGCTTCGATAATCATATTGTACCCCATCCACATGTATTCACCCGAAGCTGGCAGGTTAGTAACCCTCTGTGCCCTTAGTATGCCATTTATTGTCTGAGGCGATTCTGCTTGGCTGCTCAGTGAATCTCAAATTCAAATTAGGGATCAGGGAGCTAGGCAGTCTTCATTTCTGTGCTTAACTCCCTGGCCAAGAAAGCTGAAAATGATCTTGGGTTTGTATTTGTAGTGGTGGTAAATGTGAGCTGGTGTTGGTAAACAAACTGACCACTTACTGAAGAGAGTGCCTGGGGGGGTTGTGTCAACTGTGAACTTTTGAGGTAGAGAGAAGAGAGTGCACTCATTAGATTGACTGCCTAGGAGCCAGGCCTTAACATGGATAAGTGGGCTTGGATATGCCTGGCTGGTGAATTCCAGATTTACCTTAACTAATAGAGTTAATATGGCCTAAGTTCCACATGTGGAGTGTCGTCACTGTCTTGGACTGCTGGGTTATATTAAATGGCCTCACATCTCCATAGCGCCTTGAATAGTGTTGGATCAGTAGTAGCAGCAGAAATAATATTAGCTGGCGTTAACTGCTTTGCTAGGTCCTTTATGTTCCTTCATCTTATAAATGTATTACATCTAGGACTGTGCAGTTATTACTCCCATCTTATCCTCTGAAGCTTAAGGGGACAGTATTTGAACTTGGGGACTTTTTATAGGAGTGGAGCCCAAGATCTGGCTACTTTTCTCACCATGTTTCTTTCCACACCTCCTAGGCAGGTCAAAAGCAATGACAGAGACAAGCTGGCAACTCTAGTCAGTCCTGAGAGCCCAAAGATGAGGGAGAGAGTGCAACATCTGTAGAGGAAATGCAGGAGCTGATTTAGAAAAAAAAAAAAAAGTATTGGCTCTTGGAGTTCATTTATTGTGCCCTTCTTGGAGGTTTTCTCTCATCTTTTCTTGGGGGGTTTTCTGTTACCTGGCACTCTACGTTTGTCCTTGTCATTTTCACATTTACCCAAAACTTGCCCTGAGAAGCTTTTTCTCCCAGCAAAGCTAAAAGAAAACCCATTTTGTTACTTCTGAGCAGTGACACTCTGTGGGGAGCCCGTGGTACATAGGATGGGCAGTAACAACCACAAATGGGTTATGTTCATTTGAGATTACGAAGTATACCATTTGAAGCCCCTGAAAATTGTTTCTGGAACATAATGGGGCTTGGCTAACTGTTGGGATGATACACGTACTTGGTATGAGACATTTTGAACAGCTTCTGCTGTTAGATGTCATTTGAACAGCACCAGAGCTCAAGGAGCTAAGGCAAGTAGATAATGGGATGTGACCCTTAAAAATCAGGTGAGGAAGAGCAGCATTGTGTATGGAAGGTATCTAGCTGCCTGGAAAAGCTGTTTTTACCTAACCTGGTCATCAAAGCGTCATGTTTTTAGCAGTGGTAGAGTTAAGTTTGTTGCTAGGGCACCATGTAGCCACCTTTCCAGAGTTGCAAGATGAGAGTTCTCTCGGGAAAAACATCCCTGAGGAGAAAGTGATAGACCAGTCGGTTGAGTCTGTGTTACCACTCAGATGTACAGGCAACAAGCTTAGCCTGTGATAAAGGACCGGAAGTTAGTTCAGCTGAGTACTCCTCCAGGAGCCACCAGAGGGTTCTGAAACAGATTCCCCCTTGGGGAGGTTTCCCAGATGTCTCAATTACTAAATCAGTATGGCAGACCATCAGCTCTGTGACTGGTTAATATAGTTTTTCCAAGAGCACTCCCTCTGACTAAGGAAATGTTGAAAATTGGTGGGATTAATAATGACTGGGTGACTGCTTTGGGCTGAGTTTGTGTTTACATGCTAAATTGGTTTTCCTTATGTGTATAGTACAAGTTGTGCAAAGTGAGGAAGATTACTGTGGGGACAAAGGGAATTCCACACCTGGTGACTCATGATGCTCGAACCATTCGCTACCCAGATCCTCTCATCAAGGTGAACGATACTGTGCAGATTGATTTAGGGACTGGGAAGATAACCAGCTTTATCAAATTTGACACAGGTAAGGTTTTTTTTGTTGTTTTTTTTTTCCCTTGTCTGTTGGCCACCTCCCTTGCCTTTTCTTTTTCTATCTTTTCTTTCTATTTTATTCTCTTTTATCTGTATTACCATCTTGACTGGAGAGAACACATTTGGCTCTCCCTAAGAGAGTATGTTGCCTCGTGGTCTCTTGGGTTTGCAGTGGGTTCTTGATGCTGAATAGTGGTGTGACGTCCCTTTGGGCTACATCCAACAGCCTGGCCTTTTTCAAGAATGTAAACCATAGCTGTGTAAACTCGGTGTCCATTTGGTTTGTCATGAGAGGGGAACTTTGTTTTAAATGTGTAAATTTTATGTGTATTCCTTGAGTTGAAGGGCTGAAGTTGTCCAGATAACCTCAAACTAGTGATGAGGAAAAGATGTGTCTGCAGATTTGTTTCTCCTCCCTACACCCCAGGCTCTGACTCCTGACAGCTTTACACCCAAGTGCTTGCTAGCATCTGATGTGCTAATGAAGTGAAATATTTTGCCCAGTGTGTTTAACAGAAATTTCTAGAAATGCAGAAACACTGAAAAAATAGGATAGGCACAACAAACAATGACAACTCCTTTTTCTGCCTATCTTTGATGACTTTGCACTTCGTTCTGTTGCTTAAGTGCATCCCCACAATCCCCACTTGGACCCTGATTTAAGACCCAGCCAAAGTCGTCAGTTGCCTTGCTGTTTAAAGACCCCAAGCTGGCTGTCTTGAATTCAGTACTCCACACGCTGAAGCTGTCTGATTGTTGTCTGACCTCTATGACCTTGTGCCTGTGCTGCCTGAACTCCTGGTATTTACTGTTGAACTGGAAATGTTAGGCAAGAATGTTTGGCTGTGAAAGTTGAGAGGCCTTCCCATTAGGGGAAAACATTGAGAGAGGGGATATTAAACTGGATGTTTCATGCTTACGATGTCTAAACCTGTTGATTTCAGTGTGACCACAAAAGAGATAACTAGACATCATGCATCTCCCAGTAGTGGCAGTGCACAGTACCATTCAGGAAGTATTCTTGTCAAAGAATCAATACAAACTTGGATAAAGGGAGAAAAGAAAGCATGTATATATTGGAAGAAGCTTAAGACATCTAGCAGTCATCTGCAGAGTGACTTAGCTTTTTGAGAGGCTTGCCAAAATACTTCAAGTTCAAATGATTTGATACTGGCCATTTGTTTCTAAGTGATCCAATGCAGGACTACATGGATAAAGATGAATCAATGCTGGCCATGAGTTTTCAAATGTTTTGAAACTGGAGAGTGGATAGGTAGGAGCGTATTATGCTTGTCTGTCAACTTTTGCATACCTTTGAGAATAATTTTTAAAACGGACATGGACTTCCTATCTCCAATTAAATGGAATATTTGCCATTTGTTTATTAAATGAATTTCCCTGTTAAAATTCAACAGATTATTCTCCCCCACCTAACTCTATTTGAAATATATAGATCTTTGTTTTACATGAAATGCTTGGTTTGCTTGTTTATTACTTGCTTATTAAGTTTAATCCTGGGAGTTTACATAAAATAATTTCACAGAGCCAATATTTCTGGTAAGAAGAAACCAACTGAATAAGGGCAAAGGTTTCTTTATAGTTCTTGGTTTGTTTGGTTTAAAATGCCTAAGTAATTTTTAATTATGTTTAAAAAAAAAGATACATCATGAATTACCATCTTAATTATTTTTAACGGTATGGATCATTAGTGTTAACTATATTTACATTGTTGTGTGGCAGATCTCCAGAATGCCTACATCTTGTAAAACTGAAACTCTGCCCATTAAACAACTCTGCCACTTCCTCCTCCCCATAGCCCCCAACAACCACCGTCCCACTCTTTGCTTCTGTGAATTTGACTCCTTTGGGTTTGTCTTAATAAGTGGAAATCATAGTGATTGTCTTTGTTTGACTAGTTTACTTTGCAGTGTCCTCAAGGTTCATCATCCATGTTCTGGCATGTGACAGTATTTCCTTCCTCTTTCTGAGGCAGAATAATACTAAATTGTGTGTACACCACATTTTGTTTATCTGTTCTTCTGGATGGGCATTTCGGTTGCCACCACCTCTTGACTATTGTGAGTAATGTTGCTGCGGACACAGCTGTGCAGATAACTCTCCCAGATCCTGTTGGATGTTTTTATGTATATACTCAGAAGTGGGATTGCTGGATCATATGTGATAATTTTACAATTTTTGAGTAATTTTTGTGCTGCTTTTCATAGCAGCCCCACTGTTTTACATTCTCCCCAACAGTGCAGAAGAGTTTCAGTTTCTCCACATTCCTGCCCATACTTTGCTTTTGTTTGCTTTTTATATTTTTTTCTTTTTTCTTTCTTGACAACCCTGATAGGCATGAGGTCATATCTCTTTAGTTTTTGTTGTTGTTCTTTTAAATTTGGGTTTCTGTGATAAGTAGAGATATTGAGCATCTTTTTGTGTGCTTGTATGTCTTTAGAGAAAGGTCTCATTCGAGCCCTTTGCCCAGTATTTAGTCAGGTTGTTTCTTGGTATTATTGCATTATAGGAGTTCTTTAGATATTATCAGATGTAAGATTTGCGGATATTTTCTCTCATTCGTTTGGTTGCCTTTTCACCCTTACTGATTGTTTCCTTTGATTGGCAGGCAATTTTGAATTTGTGTATTTTTGCTTTTGGTGTCATATCCAAGAAATCATGTCCCTAATATCATGAAGCTTGTGGTCCTCTGTTTTTGGCTGTGGTGCTTTATAGTTTGAGGCCTTACGTTGAATCCATTTAGAATTGATTTTTTGTATGGTGTAAGGTAAAGTCTTCCCCATGTTGTTCTTTTACATGGGGACCTAGTTTCACCAACACCATTTGTTGAAGCAACTGTCCTTTCTCCATTGAGAGTTCTGGGCACCCTTGTTGAAGATCATTTGGCCATATACCCTTAGGTTTATTTCTGGGCTCTATTTTCTTCCTTTTGTTGTTTGTCTTTTATGCTAATAAAAGACTGTTGGATTGCTGTCATTTTCATTTTGTATTGTGTGTCAAATCAGAATGTGTGAGTTACCTAACTTTGTGCCTGCCTGCCTGCCTACCTGCCTGCCTTCTCACTCTGTGTCATCCAGGCTGGAGTGCAGTTGTTCGATCACTACTTACTGCAGCCTCAACTTCCCTAGGCTTAGATAATTCTCCTGCCTCAGTGTCCTGAGTAGCTAGGACCACAGGCACATGCCCTGCCACACCTGGCTAATTTTTGTATTGTTGTCATGGAAATGGGGTTTTGCCATGTTGTTTACATTGGTCTTGAACTCCTGGGCTCAGGTGATCAACCTGCTTCTGTCTCCCAAAGTGCTGTGATTACAGGCGGGAGTTACCACACCCAGCCTAGGTTTTGTCCCTTTTGTTAATCTTTTTTTTTTTTCAAATCAACTCTTAGCTTTTTTCCGGTTTTTTTTTTTTCTCTTATGTCTGCTCCAATCTTTATTTAATTTCCTTCCTTCTGCTAACCTTGGGTTTTTCTATTCTTTTTCTAGTTTCTTGTGATCTAGTTAGGTTTTGGTTTGAGGTCTTCTTTTGTAACATAAGCATTTTTGAGCTGCCTTGTCTTATGTGACAGTTTTTGACTTACAGTCTATTTTGTCTGACCAAGTTTGGTCAGCCCCTGCCCTCTTTTGGTTACCATTTGCCTGGAACATCAGCTTTAGTCCTACACTTTTAGCCTATGTGTGTCATTAAATCTAAAACTGGTCTTTTGTTAGTAGCATATAATTGTACCTTGGTTGGTTGGTTGGTTTTATTCATTTAGCTAGTCTTTGTCCTAAGATTGGGGTGGGGAGTTAATTTATTTATAGTCAATAATTACTGTTAAGGAAGGCATTAGTGTAGCTCTGTTGCTAACTATTTTCTGTTATGTTCTGTAGATATTTTGTCCCTATTTTTTCTCCCTTATTACCTGCCTTTTGTGTTTTAAAGAATACTTTGAATCCTTTCTCATTTTATTGTATCTGTCCTTCCTTGGTTATTTTCTTCCTGGTTACCAAGGGAATTACATAAATTATCTTAAATTGAAAACAATCTGTTTTCAGCTGTTAATTCCATCTCCATACCTCCTCAGACCAACTTTGTTATTGATGCCACATGTTAATCTTTTTCTATTGTGTACCCATTTACATTGGTTTATGGTGGTTCTTATGCTTTCATGTTTTAAATTTTATACCAGACTTAAAAGTGATTTGTAAACCATTATGATTTTCTATTTTTCTGTATATTTACCTTTACCAGAGATCTTTATATTTTCATATGGTTTTGTGTCTAATGTCTTTTTCTTGGACACTTGAAGGATTCCCTTCAGCATTTCTTGTAGGGCAAGCCTAGTGCCTTTTGTTTATCTGGGAAGGTCTTATTTTCTTCAATTTTGAAGGACAGCTTTGCTGGAAATGGTATTCTTGTGAGGACTGAACTCTGATTTTAATCTTGCCTAAATTCCTATCTAAGGCGTCTTGGGAATCATGCCCTACAAATGGGCATGACTTATCATCAGATGGGTTTTATTTTAACCCTACATATCATGACTTACTTTCCAGCCTGACACTGGCATAACATTTCGAGACAATGAAGAAAATTAAAATATTTTACCTCAAAGCATGTTTCTTTGCCATATTTTGAAATGGCCCTGCAAAACTGTTCCTTGTGAGGGGGAAATCTGTATTTGTAAAGAGTCTCTCTTCACGTAGCTAGATCTTTTTCTTCTAAATCTTTTCAATCTTAAAGAGATTAACTAAAATTTGAATCGGAAACATTTGTCATCTCTTGTCTCTGAGGGCAGCCATTATAAGACTTCCTCAACTTTGATCTCCACCATCTTTTATCTTAACTAAAACATTCCCTGTCTGTCAATCCCAGGTCTTTAGGCAAACTCAACTTAGGGAAACCAGTTGCCAACCAGAAAATGCTGAAATTCACCAATAGCCTGGACCACCCCACCCCACTTTGAGTTGTCCGCCCTTTCTGGACCAAACCAATGTGTTTCTTAAATGTATTTGATGTCTCATGCCCTTCTAAAGTGTATAAAACCGAGCTGTGTCCTGACCACTTTGGGCACGTGTTCTCAGGACCTCCTAAGAGCTGTGTCATGGACCATGGTCGCTCGTATTTGGCTCAGAATAAATCTCTTCAAATATTTTACAGAGTTAGACTCTTTTCATTGACACTTGAAGTATGTCATCCCTCTATCTTCTGGATGGCAGAGTTATCAGAGATTATCAGAAAAGTGCTTATCTAGCAGGAGCTTCCTTGTACATGATTCTTTCCCAGATTCTTTCTCTGTGATGTGACACTTTGATTATATTGTCTCTTGATGTGTGTCTCTTTGGGCTTATTCTAGTTGGAGTTCAGCTTCTTGAATTTCTATGTCCATCTTCTTTCTCCCAACTGGGGAGTTTGGGCCTCTTTTTTTTTTTTTTTTTTTTTTTTTGAGATGGAGTCTTGTTCTATTGCCCAGGCTGGAGTGCAGTGGCTCCTTCTGGGTTCACGCCATTCTCCTGCCTCAGCCTCCCTAGTAGCTGGGACTACAGGTGCCCACCACTGCACTCTGCTGATTTTTTGTATTTTTAGTAGAGATGGGGTTTCACCGTGTTAGCCAGGATGGTCTCAATCTCCTGACCTCGTAATCCGCCCACCTTGGCCTCCCAAAAGTGCTGGGATTACAGGTGTAAGCCACCGCACCCGGGCCATTATTATTTTTCTAGAAGGCCTTCTGCCCCTCCCGCTCTGTCTCCCAAATTCCCTTGTCATATTCTCTGTTTCTGTCTCTTCTCCTTCTAGGACTCTTGTAATTTGTGTATTGTCTTGTAATTTGTGTATTGTTCCTCTTGATGTTGTCTCATACTCCCTTCCTTAGGCTCACCTTTCTTTGTTATTTTTTTTCTTTTTGCTCCTCTGACTTGTTAATTTCAATGGCCTGTCTTCAAGTTTGCAAATTCTTCCTGAACCTGTGAATTTTTCAATTCAGTTTAAAGGTATTCGGCTCCAGTTTGATTATGGGTATTTGTTGTGGGTTTCCTTTACTTTGTTGATAACTCTCATGTTTATGCGTTGTTTTTCTGATTTTGTTTGTCTATCTGTGTTCCCTTAGTTTGATGTGCATCTTTAAGATGGTTAGTTTGAATTCTTTTTCAGGTAACTCATAGATCATCATTTGTTTAGGCTTATTTTTCTAGAGAAAAACGGCCACCTCTCCCAATCTCTACCAGGTATCTTCATACAGGGACGATGACTTTCACCAGTCAGCCAGGCCAGAGGTTCTGGGGATCTCTCAACTAGGGACTTGGGTGTGCGCTTTCCTGGTTGAGCTTCTGTGAAGACCCTAATCTCTTTCATTCCCTGATGCCTGTCTGTGTAGTACGGCCTCTCTGGTGCTGTAACAACTGTCCCGTCCCCCCAGCACCTGCAGATCTTTGTTTTTTTTGTTTGTTTGTTGTTTTTGAGGCACAGTCTTGCTGTGTCACCTAGCCTGGAGTGTAGTGGCTTAATCTCAACTGCAACCTCTGCCTCCTAGGTTCAATCATTCTCCTGCCTCAGACTCCGAAGTAGGTGGTATTCCAGGCACGCACCACCATGCCTACCTAATTTTTTGTATTTTTAGTTAGAGACAGAGTTTCACCATATTGACCAGGCTGGTCTTTAACCGCTGGCCTCAAGTGATCAGTCCACCACAGCCTCCCAAAGTGCTAGGATTACAGGCCCGAGCCACCGCACCCCACCTGCATGTCTTGTCTTCTTTCTCTGAGTCCCTCAGCCTGGGTGTCCAAACTACCTTCCTTGTCAGTATTGACTCAGGTAAGACAGAAAGCAGTTTGTCAGGCAGGTTTTGACCCCTTGAAAAGCCAGAATGTCGCATGAATGGTTCACATTTCTCTTTCCTTCCTGTGGGAGATGCCAGGATTTTGGATTTTTTTTTTTTTTTCCCAAATGTGTTACGCGGTGCTGGGGAAGTGGAACATGTTGTGCAGGTAAAATGCCACAAATGTTTCTATTGGTCTAGTGCTGCTTTTCTTGGCTTTGCACTGGCCTGGGGTCCTGCAGCCTCTTATCTGATTGGTGGAGTGTTCACCAATGCAGTTTGGTTGTATATGTTATTGTGAAATCTGTGTGTCCAGTCGGAGGGAGAGCCTGGGGCCTCCTCTTGTGCCATTTTGCAGATGTCTGCTGTGTTATTTTTTTGACATTTTAGTTTTTATTTGTTTCCTTGGTGGTTTTGAAATAAAGCCACATCTGGTTCTGTTAATTTTAAGTGGTTGTGCTCGTGATTACAGTGTGCATATTGAAACCACCCAAGCTCAGGATTAACCACCTTCTTTATCCTCCTCTGGGGCAGTAGCAGGATGTGGGTGGGAATATGCTATCTGTTTCTCTCCTTACCTTTCTTGAGATTTTTGACGGGTTTCATGCATCTGGGTTGGCATCATTCTAGAAAATTATGTTTTCACATACTGCTTTGTCCCTAACCTTCCTCTCACCTTGGTTTTCGGGACTTGCATTTAACTTGTATTAGAGCTTCTCACAGTAGACCCAGTCACCCGGTCTTCTCTGTTTTTCATCCTTTGTCTTTCCATGGTGCATCATGAGCATATCTTCCCAGCAACCTTCTCTTTTTCTGATTCTCTCTTCAACCAATTGTAGGCTGTTTCTTTAAACCCATTCCTTTCCATTCTTAATTTTGTTCACTAAATTTTCATTACTTGATTTTCAAATCCACTAGGTCACTCTACAAAGGTGGGCTTCTTGTGATTTACATTAGTTTTGTTCTGTTTTGTTTTGCTTTTGTCCTTGTAGACTCTTTCAAGGCAGTTCCAAGTTCTGCATTTGGTTTGATGCTGTGTTGATGATGGTGGTTCTTTATCATGGTATCTTAGTTCCTTCCATGCTAGACACTATATGTAAAGTGTTGTTAGTAAGAACAATATGAGGTCAATTTTTTTTTTTTTTGAGACAGAGTCTTGCTCTGTTTGGAGTGCAATGACCCAGCCTCGGCACACTACAACCTCTGCCTCTCGGGTTCAAGCGATTCTCCTGCCTCAGCCTTCCGCGAGGCTGAGGTGCCCACCACCACACTGGGCTAATTTTTGTATTTGTGGTAGAGATGGGGTTTCACCATGTTGGCCAAGCTTGTCTTGAACTCCTGTCCTCAGGTGAACCGCCCGCCTCAACTCCCCAGAGTGCTGGGATTACAAACATGAGCATTTGCGCCTGGCTAAATCCTGTATTTTGTTAGTAGGAAAACAGGGTTGTTTTTGGGCTCATGTGTTTGTGAGGGTCCTGCCTTTGGGGTCCATCTAATGGTGGGAAGGGTCTCCTGTTACAGCCTTCACTCAAGAGACTGAACCTGGGGCTTTGATTTCTATTCCACTGTCTTTGTGAGGCCATCAGAAAGAAAGCAGAGTCTCACAACAAAAGTCAACATTAGTTTCCACTCAGTCTGTTTTTCTGAGGGTTGTCTGATAGACATAAAGAATATATCTGACACATTCAAGAATTACAGTTATTCTTGTGAAGGGTCTTAGCTTTCAACCTACATTTACTAGTGTGCCCTAGTGGGAACTTTTGTAAATGTCAGGGGCTTTTTATTGGAACTTAACACACCTTGAAAGAATGAGTGTTCTCATCAATTTATACCCTTTCTTCACTTTTAGAAGCAGTGACAAACAAGTGAAGGGAAGGAACTATTAACAGTTTGAATCTTACCGTGATTAACTTAGTTCTATTTTTTCCCTATGCATACTAAGTCCATAGTGTTCCCACCTAAGGACTCTGGAAAATGAACTAAAAACCTTTGTGGACCTTATTATTGACATAAGCAGCATGAGGCATTTCTGCTGCTCTTTCCCAAGTACTGATTTTCTTTTACAGGAGTCTCTGCAATTGGGTCTTTTCTATGAGGAACAAAACACCAAGCTTTCACTGGCATTTCATCTCACCTCTTTTTTGGGTGTCATCTTCTGCTTATCACGTAGAACAAACATGCATTTTGTTACTGAGCAGGCGTTTTTATCCAGATCTTCCTAAACTGCCCTAAAGCATAGTGTACAAAAGTTTTTTGTAACTGAGGGTGTTTGGTGCTGCTCGTTTACTGTCTTCTCAGTGGTTGCCACAAGGACCCCAAAGAACTGGCCAAGTACACTGACCTAAGAAGCAAAATCTTGGGCTGTTTATGTGATTTTTCTTATATTTCAGATAGGGGTCTGTGGGTACTTTCTTGTGACTTACCTGAACATTATTGGGTATCCATACCATCTGGAATAAATGCGATACCAGCACTTACACAAAATTACTTTCAAATCACTTCTCTGACTCTCAGTACAGTTGTTAATGCTGAGGTAAAACCATTGGTCCTTTTAATTCCTGTGGCTTCTCACCATGCCAAACACATATTTCCCGCTGGCCCTGGATTTCTGTTAAAAATCTGTATTTTGGATCAACAAATGTCTGTGGTAGGGACGGTCAAACTGCAGAAATCTCTTTGTTCATTGGAAATCTCTTTGTTCATTGTCAAATCGAAGAATTTTTACTCTGAACATAATTTTAATTTTCTTTTATCCCAGAGGCTTATCTTTAAGACCCTCAGGTTGAGTTGGTTTCTTCTTTTTCCCATTAGTTTTTGAGAGCTCAATAAGTGTTTGTGCTCTTGATTTATGTTTTTCCCCTTGATTTATAGGTTATAATTTCAAATTTATCCTGGAGTATTTTAGGCTAGGTTACTAGTTTGTGTTTTGTTTTGTTGGCATTAAGACAGGGCTGCATTCTCTGGCTTTGGTGTGTCTTCATTTTAAAAAAAAGGACGTGTCCTTGTTTTTTTTTTCCTTTTTTTTAAATGTGTCTTCACATAAAAAAGTGGACTTATGGCTGAGTCTTTATTAGCAGTGGTTTGAGGAAACTTTTTCTTAAAACATGCTTATTCTGTGATAAAACTTCCTTGACATGGTGGCCTGTGCCCTATATAGGATGCTTATATTAGGTGGTTATGTCCCACAAAAATAAGTCCAGATATCTGAAATGAACACTATTCTTCCAGGAGCCCTGTGACAGCCCTCAGAACATTGGAAGTTTCCCCCTCTAGAGATTGGATTAGCTAGCAGTCCAGTTAAAGGCCTTTCGTTATTGTCTAGTGTCTTTCTGATTAGCCTGAATTTCTCTAGTTCTCCCTCCCTCTCAGTCAATCATTCTTCTTTCTTCCCACCCAGTACTCTTCCATGCCATCTTTGTCCCCCCCAAAAATGATTATTTATTCAACCTTTGAAGAATTATTGTTGGACAAACAGTGCAGGGAAAGCTTGTCATTGGAAAAATCCTTAGGGGCTTGCCTTAAAACGCTGACTGCAGTCTACTTCACAAAAAGCATGTTCATAGTGACAAGAGTTCTTGACATTACAATTTTGTAATGATGCTCCATTTTTTGGTCCCGGTGAGCCTGTCTGTGGTAAATTGGTTTTAAAGGACAGCAGGCCTCTATCTGGTTTTAAAATGACTCCTCTCCTGTTTATTTTCCTTTCCCTCTAGGCAATGTATGTATGGTGATTGCTGGAGCTAACCTCGGTCGTGTTGGTGTGATCACAAACAGGGAAAGACATCCTGGTTCTTGCGATGTGGTACATGTGAAGGATGCCAACGGCAACAGCTTTGCCACAAGGATTTCCAACATTTTTGTCATTGGCAATGTAAGACTTGCACTCTCTTTACTACTTTCTAAGAAGACTCACCCTAAAAAATGTAAAGACCTGCATCCACTGTTGGTGTTTGTCTGTTTGTTCTTGTGTTTTTCCTGTGTTAAGGTGCACAGAGTGCAGCAAGCTCTGTATTTAGCCTCTGACCAGAAAGAATATTAGATCTAGAGCCTTGCGCCTGCCTCTCAAGGAGGTCTGTGTGAGGTGCCAGCACTGTCACACAACAAATTAAGTTAAACTCAGCCTTGCAACTTCTGCAGGGCTATACCACTGGTATGTGCTGGATTAAGGTCACTGTCTGCCATCTCCTCTGAGACTACATTATATGCCTCATCATTGAACATGTATTTGATGATGAAGATTGATGTAAGGGACTATGAGTGAGTTGCTAATTTGAGAATAAGAGCATTTACAAGTCACATACTGCTTGTTAGTTTCGTTTACTCATTCAGAATGACCTTGCTCTGAGATCTTTTGAGGGCTTTTCAGTGAAGGAGCACCTCTGGAGTCACACAGTATCCTCACATGAGAGTCTGTTACCCTGTGACTTAAGGACGGGCAAGCTTTTCATCAAGCAATTCAGCCTTGGGAGTGGTATCTTAACACTTGTACCCTGGCAGCTATTTGGTACGTGAGAGATGATATGGTACAGAGGGGAAGCCTGCTGTTGCCTCTTTGGCTGTGTCACTTGGCAGCTCTATAGTTGGGCCATTTCTCTTCTCAGTGCTGAATTATGACACCTCATTCTGTACCTTTGAAAACAGGTGTATCATATCATCTGGTGTTTCTGAAGGAACTGAAGGACTGAGTAGATGCCTGTGAAAGCTCTGTAAAGCTTATGACAGGGAGCTGACAGTTCTCCACTTCAAAATAATGAGAAGCTGAGGTTAATGGCCTTTTTTTTTTTCTCAGCACTGAGTGCCTTATGGAAAAAGATGTTCATGAAAAGCTTCTTGACTGATTGCTTCACACAAAATAGAAGCAGGAAGACCTGTATTCAGCAGCTCAGCAGTGGGGAGTGGGAGGAACAGTGAGAGACAGACAACCTCTCAGGAAACATGTATAAGGAAATTTTTATTTTGTTGGGAATTTTGTTTGGTTGTGTTCTGTTAGCTGCCCCTTAATGTAAAGGAAGGTACAAGGCATGTGTGTTTTGGTGGAGTGTTGTTTTTTTCCTGTCTTTCCCTCCAGCTTTCTTTCGTCTCCTCCCTTTTCATCCCTTTTTTATGTACTTATTTTATCTCCTTCTCAATTACAGGGTAATAAACCTTGGATTTCCCTGCCCAGGGGAAAGGGCATCCGACTTACTATTGCTGAAGAGAGAGACAAGAGGCTGGCTGCCAAACAGAGCAGTGGCTAAATTACAGTAGTGGCTTATTTTTTTTCTTTGCACAAATAAACAATGAATTCTTGTTTCCTAATGTGTATGTTTTTTTCTTTTTCCCTTGTGGATAATGATAGGGTTTGAATTTTGGGCATGGTTTTGGCACCATCTTAAGATCTCTAGGTACCACCCGTTCTTCCTCTGACCCTCAAGGAAATAAACCTTTTCTTTCCTTCCCTCATACATGTTACCCACATCTTCTCTGTGGTCAGAATGATGGGAATAACATCAATAAATGAAGTGCAAAAAATGTGATATTTTTGGCTGCCTGAGAAAATGAACATTAGTTGAAATCATAGAAGAAAAATGTGTTTGTGTTAATTAGGGAGTTTTTAAATAATTTTTCGTGCCTTACCATGGTTATGCTTTTTCTTTCTACCCCCACTTCCCTCCTCCCCTCTTTTTTCACCTTATAGAATTTACCTCACAGTTTTTTAGGTCCAAAGTCTGGCCTCTCTCTCCGAAAGGACTGCATTCTTTTGTGGAAGCTCTGGGGAAGGTGTTAGTTTCCTTCCTCATTAACATTATTGGCAGAAATTCAGATCTCTGTGGCTGTAGGGTACTGTCCCTGTTTCCTTGCTGACTGGCAGCTGAGGCCTGTTCTCGGCTTCTGTAGGTCACGTGCATTCTTTGCCTAGTGGTCCCATCCCTCAGATACACTAAGCGGTCTTTCTTTGACCCAGTCAGGAACAGTTCTCCACTTTTAAGGGCCCAGCAGGATAATCTCTATTTCATGGACTGTCACTTTAATGACATCATATTTATTCCACTTTGTCTTGGCAGTGGACTTGTAAAAGGTAGCATTTACAAGTACTAGACAGTGGGATGTGGGCATCTTTGATGTTTGTAAAGACTTAGAAACAAAAGAAAAATGGCTGGCGGGCAGTTGAAGCCAACAGTTTAATATTTGGCTACTGTTGAAAAGCAAATTCTGAATTATGATACATAACTGGAAGTTAAAATAAAGGTTATTTTATATTGCAGTGGCTCACATCTGTAATCCCAACACTTTGGGAGAGGGAGGATCACTTGAGCCCAGAAGTTTAAGGCCATCCTGGGCAATATATTGAGACCCTGTCTCTATAAAAAGTAAAAAGCAAAAAAAATTAGCCAGGTATGGTGGTGCATGCTTGTAGTGCCAGTTACTTGGAAGGTGGAGGTGGGAAGACTGATTGATAGCTTTCTTCACCCAGGTCTTGGCGGTTACAGTGAGCCCTGATTCTGCTGCTGCACTCCAGCTTGGGTGACAGAGCAAGACCCTGTGTCTTGCTGGATTCTATAAAAGAATCAGTTACAAAGGGAATAGGAGTCATTACCCTTCCTCCTTGGAGTCTTAAAGGAGCATATACTTGCCAAGTGTGTATTTTTATGCATCTACAAGCTCAAAAACCTATGGTTATAACAGCTGTTTTGCTGTGAGCCCTCATTTGGTGCTTGCTTGTTGAGCTCTCTTCCTGTGTATCATACCATCTGGTGTTTCTGAAGGAATTGAAGTGAAATGACCACATGAAAGAAAATGGGCTCTTTCAGGACACAGGAAGGAAAAACTGAGGAATTTGGTGTAATTTTAAGATCCCGGTTGCAACTGCCAAAATGGGTATGTGT
The DNA here is from genome assembly GCF_000001405.40 of Homo sapiens. Classification (NCBI taxonomy): domain Eukaryota; kingdom Metazoa; phylum Chordata; class Mammalia; order Primates; family Hominidae; genus Homo; species Homo sapiens. The sequence continues at coordinate 20,782,662 of NC_000024.10, forward strand.
GTGTGTGTTTGTGTCCACGTGTGCATGCACCTGTGATAATCAAATTTTGTTTTGGTTTTTTTGAGACAGTCTCACTCTGTTGCTGGGGCTGGAGTTCAGTGTTGTGATCTCAGCTCACTGCAACCTCTGCCTCCTGGGTTTAAGTGATTCTTATGCCTCTTAGCCTCTTGAGTAGCTGGGACTACAGGCACACACCACCATGCCCAGATAATTTTTGTAGTTTTGGTGTACAAAAATTGGACAGGCTGGTCTCAAACTCCTGACCTCAAGTGATCGACCCACCTTGACCTCCCAAAGTGCTGAGATTACAGGCATGAGCCATTCACCCCCAGCTGATAATCAAAATTTTGACTCTGCAACAAAGATGCTATGCTGGAAAGTGCAACAAAGATACTATACTGGAAAGAAGTGGGATAGTAATTCTCTGACTACCGTGTTTATTGTTGTATTGTGATACTGTTATTTCAATATCCCTCCATCTCATGACTGACAAATCCAATATTGAACATGTTCAAAAATGTTTTCTCTTTGTAATCCTTCCTCCCTGAAGTAGGGACATTCCTTACCTCATCATGCTTGAGGACCTTGGGTTATTGTTACCTTATTCCTCACCCTCATCTCATCTCCCTCAAATCCTTTCTGTAAGTAGGTGAATTTTAAATCATATGTAAGTAAAACTAAGCCACTAAACCACCTGGCATAAATCTCTTCCATCCATTGTCTTCTCTGTTGCAGGATTTTATCCCAGAAATGTTCATCTCTGAGTTTATATTCTCCTCTGTCCACTGCCTATTATTTGAGTTTGTTCTTCCTGTATTTCACTAGCTGGCGAGCTCAAAGAGCTACACTGTCAACCCAAAACTTTGTTTCTGAATCTCTTTCAGGTTGCCTTGAGGCTCAAAGGCAGCAAGTCTGAGCTCTCACAAAATACTGCTCCTCTGTTTGGTATCTTGAACTTTAAGTATGTCTGCACATTTGCCCTAATCTTTGCCCTACACAGGCCCAGTACCTGACAGCCTCTTTCTGTCTGGTAGAGTTCAAGCCCTCAGGCCTTTGTGCTCAAGCTTTGAAGGTCTGGTTTCCTCCAACACTCTTTCCTACCAAGCGGGGTGGCAGAGCAGGACTAAGAACTCACGTTCTCTATGTAACTCATAGACAAACTGGTACAAAAGCACACTCATCCACAGCAGGGAAAGAGAACTCAGGCCCAAGACCATGCAGCAAGTCCAAATACTTAATCCCAGCCCAAAGAGATGAAAAAAGGAAAAGCAGGAAAAGTGGAAGAACAAAGGAATGAACACCATCAGTGTCAACAACCCTTGACCATACACAGAAATCTGTATTCCCAAATTAAACATTACTTTCTCGTGCCTTCATTCTTGAGACATACTTTTTGAGCACCTGTTGTTTGACATGCATTGAACAGAACAGACAGAAAATACTGAAGCATGAGCTCAGGTGTGGGAAATTGATGATTTAAAGTCAACAAATTAAGTAAGGTTCTGTCAGTGACAAGTCTATGAAGAAGTAAAATGGGACTGGGATAGAGCCTTTAGATCAGGCACTACACAAAGGCCTTTGAGCAGTGACATTTTTGAGTCAGTAGAGTCGAGTCGACAGAGTACACGCAAGTTAATGGCATGTTAACACTTTTCCTCCATAATTAAAGGGGTGGATCCATGCTTTCCATTTGTATTAGTTTGCTAGGGCACAAAATGGATAACTTAAAAGACAGAAGTTAGTTGTCTCCTAATCCTGGAGGCCAGAAGTCCAAAACAAGGTGTTGACAGGGCCATACTCCCTCAATGGATAGGAGGGATCTGTTCTAGGCCTCTCCAAGCTCTGGCAGTTCCTTGACTTGTGGCTGCATAACTAGCCTTCATGTGGCATTTTCCCTGTGTGCTGGGGATATTCTTAAGTGAAACTTGCTTATATTTATCTTTAGGGGAGCTTTTACGATTGTGGAAATTAGAAATGACTCAAGTGCCGTTTGGTGCTACTGTCTTTATCCATTAGTGGTAGGAAGCCAGGAGTCTCAACCACCAGTGCCGTTTGAACCTTCAGTGCAAACATTAGCATGGTGGAAAGGGCAGGTTATATTTCTGTGTGAAAATAATTGTGACTTTATGTATTCCTGGAAAGGGTCCCCGAGGCTTGATTTTAGGGGTGGCTGTGTTGAAACAGGCATTGCAAATTGCAAACACCTAGAAATTGACCATCTTCAGTAGCTCCTTTTCTAGTAAGAAAGTCAACCAAATACCATATGCCTACCAGTGCACGATGTCACATGTGAAGAATTACTGTGTATTTGTGCATATAGTTACATACATGGATATGTTCTGAATACAATCAGGCAGATCTAACAGTATACAAGAAAATCAGGAGAGGTAGTTTAAAGGAAATGATATAGAATAAACAAACCACACAAGCAATAAAAAGGAAAGTGCTTCTAAAGCATTGAGCAACATGAAGAGTATCACTGAAGTGGTTTGGAGCAAAGGAAGCTAAACTCAAAAGATGAGCAACATGAAGAGTATCACCGAAGTGGTTTACAGCAAAGGAAGCTGAACTCAAAAGAGGTTCTAATTTATATGTTGTTCAAAAACATAAAAAACTTATCTATGGTGCCCAGAGAACAGGAGAGCACTTAACCTTGAGTAGGGATGAGTAACTGAGAATGGACTTTTGGGGTACTGAAAAATTATTCTTCATCTTGACTTTTGGGGAGTAAACTCAGTGAATATGTAAAAAGACATCAATTTGTATACCTTAAGTGGTGTTCATTTCCATAAACACATTATGCCACCCTTAAAAACAAGGTATTAGTCTGATGAAGTAATGGATGGGGTGGCCACTTTTAAGGGGTAGGATGTATGGAAGGTGGCTTATGACTGTTAATAGGCATGTGGGAACTTTCTAAAACATCTATTTCCTATGGCATTGGAGTTGTGGTTACTCAGGTGTATTTGTCACAACTGAAATGTGATTTTGAAAGCAAATGAAACTGGGTAACTTGCACAGAATTGCTGGAACACTTGAGATGCCAGCTAATGCTAACATACTTGGAGTAATGCCAAAAGCATAAAATAAATTAGTCTAATGTAACATTTCTCATTATTCTTCCTCCACAATATGCTGGGATCTCTGCCAATACTCTTCAGACATCATATTCAGAACAGCATTTTGGCCACTGCAGGCAACACTGCCAAAATTCTGGTGCTCTCACCCTCATGGGAAATGAGATTCAATGCTTTATATGGTGCATTTCCCACTTTACTAGCATATTGAAGTCTCAGTTATCACAATGTGTCTGAAAGCCAGGATTTATATGTCACATGTCTTTGTGCATACAGCACTGGAAGATTGGTATTTAGTCTCTGATAGATATTTTGAAGAGAGTAGGGCTTATGATACTGCAGTCTCTCAAACCATTCCAATGATGAATAACACATGGCATTTGTTCTCTATATTTTTACTTTAAAAAAATTTGTTTTAATGGACAACAACCTTGTATGTGTTGTGTACATATAACATGATGTTTTGAAGTACACATACATTGTGGACTCGTTAAATCTGGCTAATAAACAAATGCATTGCCTGACATTGTTACCATTTTTGTGGTGAGAACCCTTAACATTCAATCTCAGCATTTCTAAGCAATACAATATATTGTCATTAACTATAGTTGTAATGCTGAATAATAGATCTCTTGAACTGAGTCCTCCTGTCTAACTATAAATATATATTCTTTGACCAACATCTCCTCAACCCCACCTCCCCTAGCACCCCAGGCTCTGGTAACTACTATTATAATCCACATTTATGAGATTGATGTTTCTGAATTCTATGTGAGTGGGATCATGCAAAATCCATCCTTCTGTGCTTGGTTTATTTCACTTAAAATGCCCTCCAGATTTATCCATATTTCATCACAGATGGCAGGGTTTCTCCATTTGTAAGGCTGAAGATGATTCCATTCTGTATATATACTGCATTTTCTCTATCTGTTCTTCCCGCAATGAACACTTAGGTTGCTTCCTAATATCTTGGATATTGTGAATGGTGCTGAAAGAATCATAGGAGTGCAGATATCAGGTTGATAATACTGATTTTCTTTTCTCCGAATATGTGCCTAACAATATTTCTGATCCTATGGTAGTTCTATTTGTAATTTGTGAAACAGCCTCCATACTGTTTTCCATAATGGCTGTGCTAATTTACATTCTCATCAACAATGTGCATGGGTTTTGTTTTCTCCACATCCTCGTGAACACTTGTTAACTTTTGTCTCCTTGATCACAGCAATCGTAACAGGAGTGAAGTGACACCTCATTGTGGTTTTGATTTGTATTTCTCTGATAGCTAATGATATTGAGTATTTTCATATAGCTGTTGACCATTCCTGGGTCTTTTGAGAAATGTCTATTCTGGTTCTTTGTCCATTTGTTATTGAGTTAGTTGTTTCCTTTCTGTTGAGTTGTTTGAGTTCCTCATATGTTAGATATTAACTTCTTATTCATATGGTGTGCAGATACTTTCTCTTACCCTGTAAGTTTCTCTTCACTCTTTATACTGGTTTTTGTTTTGTTTGTTTTGTTTTTGCTGCACAGAAGCTTTTTTTGTTTGATGTAATCCCATTTCTCTGTTTTTGTTTCGGTTGCCTGTGACATCATATGAAACAAGTCATTGCCCAGACCAATGTCCTGGAACATTTCCCCTGTGTTTCGTTATACTTAATAGTAGTTGTGGAAATATCGGGTCTTACACTGAAGTTCCTAATGTATTTTGGTTGGTTTTGTGTGTTGTGAGAAAGCCTAAGTTCATTCTTCTGCATGTCAATATCTAGTTTTCCTAACACTAATCATTGAAGAGACTGTCTTTTACGCATTGTGGGCTGTTGGCACCTTTGTCAAAAATTAGTATGGTTTTTTTTTTGGGACTTTATTCTGTTTCATATGTCAATTCTTTTTTTTTTTTTTTTTAAGTAATGCTGTTCTGGTTACTGTAGCTTTGTAGTGTATGTTGAAGTCAGGTAATTTGATAACTCCACGTTTGTTTTTTGGCTCAAGATTGACTTGCCAATTCAGGATTGTTTTGTGGTTCCAGATGAATTTTAGGATTTTTTTTCTCTTCTGTTTTGCCAGACACTTTTTTTTTTGTTTTAATATAGATGGGGATTGCACTGAAATAAATAGCTCTGAGTAGTATTGAAAATTAACCATATTGATTCTTCTAATCCATGAACAGGCAACAACTTTTTCTTCAGTTTCTGTTATCAGTGTCTTATAGTTTTCAGTATACAGATGATTTCATTTCCTTGGTGAAACATACTTTTTTTTTTTTTTTTTTTTTTTGAGATGGAGTCTTGCTGCAGCATCCAGGCTGAAGTGTAATGGCATGATCTCAGCTCACTGCAACCCTGCCTCCTGGGTTCAAGTGATTCTCCTGCCTCAGCATCCTGAGTAGCTGAGATTACAGGCATGGGCCATCATGCCCAGCTAATTTTTATATTTTCAGTAGAAACGGGTTTCACCATGTTGGCCAGGCTGGTCTCAAACTCCTGACCTCAAATTATCTACCTGCCTTGGCCGCCCACAGTGCTGGGATTACAGGTGTGAGCCACCATGCCCAGCCAGTTAAACATACTTTTTTTTTTTTTTTTTTTTTGACATGGAGTCTCACCCTGTCGCCCAGGCTGGAGTGCATTGGTGTGATTTCTGCTCACTGCAAGCTCTGCTTCCTGGGTTCATGCCATTCTCCTGCCTCAGCCTCCTGAGTAGCTGGGACTATAGGCGCCCATTATGATGCATGAGTAATTTTTTTGTATTTTTAGTAGAGACTGGGTTTCACTGTGTTAGCCAGGATGGTCTTGATCTGACTTCGTGATCCACCAGCCTCAGCCTCCCAAAGTGCTGGTATTTCAGGTGCAAGCCACTGCACCCAGCCTAAACGTACTCTGAAGTATTTAACTTTCTTGTAGGTATTGTAAATGGGCTTTTTTTTTTGTGATTGCTTTTTCAGATAAATCTCTTTCTGTATAGAAATGCTGTTTTTTTAATGTTGACTTTATTATTTCTCTCTCTCTTTCTTGTCTTTTATTTTTTCTTTCTTTTGAGATGGAGTCTTGCTCTGTTGCCCAGGCTGGAGTGTAGTGGCATGAGCTTGGCTCATTGCAACCTCTGCTGCCTCTGAGGAGGTTCAAGAGATTCTTCCACCTCAATCCCAAGTAGCTGGGACTATAGGAGCTTACCACCCTAATATTTTGTATTTTTAGTAAAGACGGGGTTTTACCATATTGGCCAGGCTGCTCTTGCACTTCCTACCTCCAGTGATCCACCTGCCTTACTCTCCCAAAGTGCTGGCATTATAGGTTGTCTTTCTTTCGAGACAGGGTCTTGCTCTAGCATCCAGGCTGGGAGTGCTTTGCTATAATCAGGGCTCATGTTAGCCTCAACCTCCCAGGCTCAAACACTCAAACAGTCCTCCCTCCTCAGTCTTCTAAGTAGCTGGGATTACAGGCATGCAGCTGCACCATGCCTAGTTAATTTTTTTTTCTTTTTTTTTTTTTGAGATGGAGTCTCACCCTGTTGCCACAGCTGGAGTGCAATGGTGTGATCTCAACTCACTGCAACCTCCTCCTCCTGGGTTCAAGTGATTCTCCTGCCTCAGCCTCCTGAGTAGCTGGGATTAGAGGCACCCACCACCATGCCCAGCTAATTTTTTGTATCTTTAGTAGAGACAAGGTTTTACCATGCTGGCTGGGCTCGTCTCGATCTCCTGACCGTGTGATGTGCCTGCCTTGGCCTCCCAAAGTGCTGGGATTATAAGTGTGAGCCACCGTGCCTGGCCAATTTTGTATTTTTTGGAGAGATGGAGTTTTGCCATGCTGGTCTTGAACACCAGTGGAAGGATCTTGAATGATCTTGAACAATCCTTCCACCTTGGCCTCACAAAGTGCTAGGATTACAGGTGTAAGCTACTGCACCCAACCTTTGAATTCTTTTATTAGTTCTGGTTTTGATGAATTCTTTAGGTTTTTCTGTGTGTAAAATTATGTTGTCTACAAACGAAGATAATTTCACTTCTTCATTTCCAGCTTGGAAGTATTTTATTTTTTGTCTTGCCTCATTGTGAAGCGGGATTTAAGGAACCAGAGAGACCAGATGGAGTGCAAGAAAGTGTTTGTTTTAAGGTGTACACCAGCCTAGCAGACATTTGTCCTAAAGGTGAGCCCAGAACAAAGAAAACGAGTCCCTTTTAAGCATTTTGAGGCAGGTACTACATGAAGCAGGCTTACAGAAGCAAGAACAAAAGGCTGCTGTGACACTTTTGTAACATGTCTTACATCTCTTTGAGAACTTGGTTTGCAGCTTATGCTTATGTCTTGGGACTTTGCAGCTGTGCAGGGAAGAAAGAAGTAGGAGTTTATAAAGCCAACAAAATATGTGGAGGATAGACATGGTTAATGGTTCTTGGAACAGACAGTTAATATTCTCTTCTGACTTTAATTTCGGGGGGCTACTTACATTCTTCTTAGCTTTGGTTAATACAGAAATTCATTCTATGAACTGTTGTTATTTTTCTAACTATTATTATAATTTTTACTATTATGACTTATGTTATTATTCTGTTATTTTCACAATTTCCCCCTTCATCCCCACTTTGGTGCTCTGTATTAATGTTGGTTAATAGAGCACTACAATTGTTTATTTCTTCTTGGGCTGATACATATTCTTCTTGGGGCAAAACCTGATACTTAGTCAATGCCATTTTTCGGGCAATAGTGTGTCTGGCCATGATTGCCTCTATAGTTGACTGAACAATTCTGATGAAAAGAGGTAAGAGACAAGGAAGAATTAGGCAGAAATAGTAACAACATTAGTGTGTATAATAGAAACATGATTACACTACACATGGGCATGGGAGGCTTTCTCCTGGACAAAGGGATTGGCAACATTTGTAGTAACAGCATAATAACAAGATAATTAATACTGATAAAATCACAACTAGACTTATGAATTTTATCCATGTCTACTTATCTATTGCTTATTCCTAAAGCTTCGGCTGTGGGTAGACCAGTCAGCTTTCAGTGTGTGACTTCAGCAGGGCTTGAAGACTCCTTAAGCTTCAGTCGTGCATAGACTGACCAGCCTCCGGTGTGGTCAGAGCAGGGCAGTTCTTCTCAGCAGTGGCTTGGTTTTGCCACAAAATCAGTCATGTTGGATGATCTGCGTCCTGCTGACTGGTCCACTGGTCCTGGGCAGCCAGCTTCAGTTGGCTGTGGCGAATCCAGGGTATGATAGCTGCAACTTCAACAGCAGTGGGAGTAGACAAGATTACAGTGTGGGTCCCATCCCATGTGGGCCGTAAGGTGGTTGGGTTCCATTTGTTAACCCAAACAAAAACTCCAGGTATAAAAGGGTGGACTGGGTCTGTCAGGCTAATAGGCATCTTTTCTTGAACCCAGTCATGGACCTTCTGCATAGCTTGCCCTAAGGCCTGCATTTGCCTTCTTAAAGTTAGTTCTCCTAGTTCCCAGAGATCACCTATAATCTGATTTATAATTGGGGGTGGTTAGAGAACACAATCTCATAGGGTGAATACCCAGTTAATTTGGTAGGGGTATACCTGACTCAGAGAAGGACCATGAGCAAGACCTGATACCACCTAAGATGAGTTTCTTGACAAAATTTCTTCAGCAGCTGCTTCAATGTCTGGTTAATCCATTCTGCCTTCCCTGAGCTCTGTGGGTGGTAGGCTGTGTGTAATTTCCACTTTATTTTTGCAGCTGAGTTAGTTGCTGTACAACTTCAGCCACAAATGCCAGGCCATTGTCTGATCCTAAGGACAGAGGCAGTCCAAATGTAGGAATAATGTCCTTTAGCAATACTCTGGTTACTTCTAGGGCTTTCTGTGTCCTAGTGGGGAATGCTTCAACCCATCCTGAGAAATTGCAAACAAACATCAGGCACTGTTAGCCCCTGCTCGGGCAGTTTGGTGAAGTCCACAAGCAAATTCTCACAAGGTGTCGCTCCTATCTCTTGAATTCCTGGGGGCCGAGTTGGCCCTTGCCTTGGATTGTTCAGAGCACAAGTCATGCATTGCCACAAACAGCTTAAGTGATAGCAATAAGGTGTGGGACATAAAAGTTCTGTACTACAAGAGTCTCTAAAGCAGTTTTTCCCATGTGCGATCCTTGATGAAACTTTTACAAATCAGGGGGCTATTGTTTCTGGGATAGCTAGCCTTCCATCTGAGAACTTCCACCAGCCTCCTATGTAACTTCCGCTCTCTTGTTCAAACCAAGTTCTCTCATTTGGAGAGTAGTGTGGGGTTTCAGTTAAGGAAGGCTCTAGTAGAAGTGGCAGGGTTGGGGTCTACTTTTTAGTACCTAGGTTGGACATAGCTGCTTGCTTGGCTTCTCTCTCTGCCTTTCTATTTCCTTGTGCCTCTATGCCACCACCTGTCTGGTGTCCTTTACAGTGAATGACTGCCATCCTGTCTGGAGCCCACATAGCATGTAAGAGCTGTAAAATTTCCTCTTTATTTTTAATTTCTTTCCCTCCAGCAGTTAAAAGTCATCTTTCCTTGTAAATAGCCTCGTGGGCATGCAATATGGCAGAAGCATACTTTGAGTCAGTGTAAATGTGGACTGTTTTTCCTTTGGCCACCAGCAGGGCTCTAGTTAGAGCTATAAATTCTGCTTTGTGTGCTGAGTGAGGTCCCAGCAGGGAGGGCCTGTGCCTCAGCTACTGAACTTAAGAGTCTCCACTCCTTGCCCGGCTTGGTGGATCCCCTCTGATGTGAAACTGCTCCCATCTGTGAAATATTCAACATCTCGTACCTCAAAGGGCTGGTCTTTTTATGTATTTATGTATGTATTTATTTATTTATTTATTGGACATGATCTTTTTATTTATTATTATACTTTAAGTTCTAGGGTACTTGTGCACAACATACAGGTTTGTTACATATGTATACATGAGCCATGTTGGTGTGCTGCACCCATTAACTCATCATTTACATTAGGTATATCTCCTAATGCTATCCCTCCCCCCTCCTCCCACGCCACAACAGGCCCCAGTGTGTGGTGTTCCCCACCCTGTTTCCAAGTGTTCTCATTGTTCAATTCCCACCTATGAGTGAGAACATGCAGTGTTTGGTTTTCCGTCCTTGCGATAGTTTGCTCAGATTGATGGTTTCCAGCTTCATCCATGTCCCTATAAAGGACATAAACTCATCCTTTTTTATGGCTGCACAGTATTCCATGGTGTATGTGAGCCACATTTTCTTAATCCAGTATATCATTGATGGGCATTTGGGTTGGCTCCAAGTCTTTGCTATTGTGAATAGTGCCGCAATAAACATACGTGTGCTTGTGTCTTTATAGCAGCATGATTTATAGTCCTTTGGGTATATACCCAGTAATGGGATGTCTGGGTCAAATTGTATTTCTGGTTCTAGATCCTTGAGGAATCACCACACTGTCTTCCACAATGGCCGAACTGGTTTACACTCCCACCAACAGTGTAAAAGTGTTATTTCTGCACATCCTCTCCAGCACCTGTTGTTTCCTGACTTTTTAATGATCACCATTCTAACTGGTGTGAGATGGTATCTCATTGTGGTTTTGATTTGCATTTCTCTGATGCAAATCTCTGTTGCAAATTGATCAACTCTGATGGCCAGTGATGATGAGCATTTTTTCATGTGTCTGTTGGATGCATAAATATCTTCTTTTGAGAAGTGTCTGTTCATATCCTTTGCCCACTTTTTTATTGGGGTTGTTTGATTTTCTCTTGTAAGTTTGTTTAAGTTCTTCGTAGATTCTGGATATTAGCCATTTGTCAGATGGCTAGATTGTAAAAATTTTCTCCCATTCTGTAGGTGGCCTGTTCACTCTGATAGTAGTTTCTTTTGCTGTGCAGAAGCTCTTTAGTTTAATTAGATCCCATTTGTCAGTTTTGGCTTTTGTTGCCATTGCTTTTGGTGTTTTAGTAATGAAGTACTTGCCCATGCCTATGTCCTGAATGGTATTGCCTATGTTTTCTTCTAGGGTTTTTATGGTTTTAGTTATAACATTTAAGTCTTTATTCCATCTTGAATTAATTTTTATATAATGTGCAAGGAAGGGATACAGTTTCAGCTTTCTACATATGGCTAGCTAGTTGTCCCAGCACCATTTATTAAATAGGGAATCCTTTCCCCATTTCTTGTTTTTGTCAGGTTTGTCAAAGATCAGATGGTTGTAGATGTGTGGTATTATTTCTGAGGGCTCTGTTCTGTTCCATTGGTCTATATCTCTGTTTTGGTACCAGTACCATGCTGTTTTGGTTACTGTAGCCTTGTAGTATAGTTTGAAGTCACGTAGTGTGATGTCTCTAGCTTGGTTCTTTTAGCTTAGGATTGTCTTGGCAATGCAAGCTCTTTTTTGGTTCCATTTGAACTTTAAAGTAGTTTTTTCCAATTCTGTGAAGAAAGTCATTGGTAGCTTGATGGGGGTGGCATTGAATCTATAAATTACCTTTTGCAGAATGGCCCTTTTCACAATATTGATTCTTCCTATCCATGAGCATGGAATGTTTTTCCACTTGTTTGTGTCCTCTTTTATTTCATTGAGCAGTGGTTTGTAGTTCTCCTTGGAGAGGTCTTTCACGTCCCTTGTAAGTTGGATTCCTAGGTATTTTATTCTCTTTGTAGCAATTGTGAATGAGAGTTCACTCATGATTTTTCTGTTTGTCTGTTATTGGTGTATAGGAATGCTTGTGATTTTTGCACATTGATTTTGTATCCTGAGACATTGCTGAAGTTGCTTATCAGCTTAAAGGGAGATTTTGGGCTGAGATGATGGTGTTTCTAAATATACAATCATGTCATCTGCAAACAGGGACAATTTGACTTCCTCTTTTCCTAATTGAATACTCTTTATTTCTTTCTCCTACCTGATTGAAGGACTGGTCCTTTAAATCCTTCTGGCTCAAGAATATTTTGTCCACAACGTCTGCACAGTAGTGCTGGGGAAATTGGTCATGCAGCTTGGGCATTTCCATGGGCAAAAGAGTAGCCAGGTTTAGGATATTTACAGTTTCTAAATTTATATTTGGATTTTCAAATGAGAGCCCTTGGTATCTTAATATTCTTGGATTAGATAGCCAGTGATATCCTTTTTGACCCATTAGGAAAATTATGGTATGTGGCACCCGTATTATTAGCCTTTGGGCTAGAGTTAACTTGGTTGCATCCTCGGCTAGCGTGGCAGTGGTGGCCAATGCCTTCAAAGAGGGGGGCCATCTGAAGGCCATAAAATCTAGTCATTTTGACAAGTAAGCCACTGGTCGATTCCACAACTCTACCATTTGAAATAAAACTCCTGTGGCCATTCCCTTTCTCTGATGGATGTAGAGAAAGAATGGCTTTATCAGGTGAGGCAGTCCTAAGGCTGGAGCCTGGATTAAAGCTTTCTTGATGTTGTTGAAAGCTTTTTCCTGTTCAACTCCCCACAGAAGAGGTTCTTTTTCTCCCCACTTGGTGGCTTAATACAGTGGTTTTGCCATAAGTGAAAAGTTTGGTATCTAAATGTGGCACAACACAGCTACCCCTAAGAATTCTCTGATCTGCTGACATGTTACAAGTGATGGAAGAGCACAAACAGCCTGTTTTCACTCACTGCCCATTTCACATTGCCCTTGAGTTACTAGAAACCTAGATATCTTGCTCCTTGTTCACAAATCTGGGCCTTCTTCTGGGACACCTTATAATTTGCTTTACATAGTAGATGCAGGAGGCCCTCAATGCCCTGGTAGCAATCTTCCTTAGTTGGGGCTGCAAACAAAAGATCATCTATGTGCTGCAACAGGACACATTTGTCATTTGGCGAGACAAAATCCTTGAGATCAGACACTAATGCCTCCTCAAAGATAGGAGGGGAGTTTTTGAACTCTTGTGGAAGTCGCCTCCAAGTATACTGTGTTTCTCCCCCATCTGAATGCAAAAATAGATTGGCTTACTGGAGTTAGCTTGAGGCAAAAGAAAGCATCCTTTAAGTCTAAACAAGTAAACCAAGCAGCATGAGCAGGTATCTGACTCATCATTGTATATCAGTTGGGTACCATGGCATGCAAAGTAACAGTGACTTTATTTATGGCCCATAGGTCTTGCACATGTCTAAATTCACCAGATGGTTTCTGCACCAGTAAGAGAGGTGTGTTCTCTTACTGGTTGACCTACAGAGTGACTTACATTTTCTTATAATTCCATGTTCTAACAGCTGGCTCATGTGTTTGTTCATACCTCATACTGCCTCTATGGACACCTGGTACTGTGGATCACACACTGGTGACACACCTGGATTCAGCTCTACTACCACTGATGCTTGGGGTATAGCTAGTGCTGGTGGATTGTCTTCTGCCACACTTCAGGTATCTTCAGAACAAGCCTGTCCATTAGTCTGCCCATAAACTTGGACAGTTGATATGCTGCTTTCATGTATAGCCTGCATTCCTCAGTTTTTGGCAAGGTAAGGGTTAATGCCATGGCTTTCAGACGACTCAGATCTAGAGTCATGTTTCCTTATGACCTGAAAGAACTTTGAGCTTGGAGTTTCTGAAGTATGTCCCTCCCTAACAGAGGCACCGGACAGTTTGGCAGATATAGAAATTCATGCCAGACCTCCTGACCTCCAATAACACACCTTCTGGACTGAAAGAAAGGCCTTTTTTCTGACACTCTGGTTGCCCCAACTATAGTAGCATAGTTTTTAGATAGTGGCCCCACTGGCCATGTCATCACTGAGTGCTCAGCACCAGTATCTACCATAAAGTCCATCTGTTGGTCCCCTACCTCCATAGAGACCAAGGGCTCCCGGAGGCCCAGAGAGATCGAGCTTGGTCTGTCTCAGTCCTCATATTCTTCAATTCCTGCCAAGCCGACCAAGTCAGCTTCTTGCTTCAAAATGCAATGGCTAGCAGCTGCTGGCCTTTGCCATGTCTCAGGTCCTTGGCTGTTGCCTCCATCCTTTTCTGTTTCTGTACATTCATCCTTCTAATTCCCTTTTCTGTTTGCATCTCACACACTGATCCCTCTCAAGCCTAGCCAGCCCTCTTGCCCTGGCCTAGCTTGTCCTCTTCCACAACCATGTCCACAACCATTTCTACATCCACATCCTTTCACAAATCCAGTCTCTCTTTCTACCATGGCAGCAGCCAACAAATCAGCCTTTTTCTTAGCTTTGGCATTGCCTGTTCCTTGGTTTCCTCCTCTCAATTAACAAACACCATGGTAGCCACTTGAATAAGCTGGGTGATATTCATACCTTCAAACCCTTCCAACTTCTGAAGCTTTCATCTGATACCACCTTGTGCCTGGCCCACAAATGCCCTGTTAATCATGCACTGGTTCCCTACAGCCTCTAGGTCAAATGGAGTGTGAAGGCAGTATGCTTCACAGAGCCTTTCATAAAATTTACTATGACTGTCATCAGCCTTCTGGTGAACCTCTGAGACCTTTCCCATATTCATTGTCTTTTTTCCTCCTGCCTTTATTCCGTTAAGGAGTGCCTTTCAATACCATTGCAGGTTTTGTAACCCTTCTGCCTGGTTTTGTCTCCGGTGCATACTGCTTGACATTGTTTGTGCCTTCTGGTTCATTGCTTTCTAACAACTGGAGGGCCACTTGTGCCACTCTACGACATTCCTCCATATTGAATAATGCTAAAAGAAGTTGTTGACAATCAGGCCAGGTAGGGTTATGAGTCAGAAAGATGGACCACATCAAGTCTGTAAGGGCCTGGGGCTTCTCCGTATAGGAGGGTGTATTCTGTTTCCAGTTTAGGTCAGTGGTGGAGAAAGGCTAGTAAACAAAAAGACCCTGCCCTCCTCGGATTTGACCTTGTTCATCATGATAAATATAACCTTGTGTCTCCCCGAGAGGCATCTGCAAAGCTTGGATGCAGCCTGATCTCATTATCCTGAGGTTCTTCCTTAGTCTTTACAGACAGGGGCTCTAACTCTTCCCTGCCAGGTGAAACCTTAAATCACTCTCCTCTGAGCTTTATTCCTCTAGGACCACTTGTTTGGCATCCTGCCTTAGCCTTGCCAGAGATGGATATATTGGGACATAGAGAGGTGGAATTTTCCTCTCCTCAGGTCGGGCTTGCAAAACAGGCTTTTTCTGTTCTCCTCGTGGCTTTTTCTTTTTTTCTACAGTCTCTTTGGACACTTTTACTGTGTGTAATTTGGCACAGGTTACCAAGGTATTACAGTAGTTTTCAAAACAGACTTGCAGATACTTGGGGCGATTTTCAATGACCCTCAGCCAGGAGTCAACGTATGGGAACTGATCGGGGTGCCCAGATTGTTCTCCGGTTCCAGTTACTACCCTAAACACACGGCCAATTATCTCCCTATCTATTGTTCCTTCAGTCGGCCACCTGACATTAAAAAAAGGCCAATCCATTTCACAGAGAGTTCTCAATCTCTGAGAGTCAATTTAACTTCATTAATCTCCATTAAAACCTTTCTTGAAATTTTTCAACATATACTCCAATGCAGTAGCCTTCGAAGCATTTCCTTCCATCTCCAGCCTTGAGAGGCGCATTTGCTGTCACTTTCACTCCTGGACTGACCAGACGGGGTCCTATTACGGGAAGTCTGGGGGTTGCTTAGCCAGGAGAATACCTTAATCCTGTCACAGCCAGCTGCAGCCGTGAAGCAGCTCCTATTGGCTGTATGCAATGCCCTAGATCTGGCTCGTCCCACACTCGCTTTGGAACACACAGTCTGTGCTAAGAGATCTGTGTCTCCCCACGTCACATCCCGAGTTGGCCTCTGCTCAGACCGTCTCTTTCACATACTTTCACACACCTCCCCATTTCCCGTACTGGCCTTTAGTTAAAGCAGCGAGCCCCCGCCACTTTCAGTTTCCTTGAATCTCCTCTGTTCTCTCTCTTTCTTTAGTTAAAGCTGCGAGCCCCTCTTGCCACTTTCATTTCCTTTTTCCGACCGACCTATAAGCCTCTCTCGCATTCGATGTCGGTTGGAGCATGAGTTTCATCTGAATCAAGGGGCCTCTCTTGTTGTCCCCAGTCCCTCTGGGTCGGACTAGTTGTCTCACCCTGGGAGGTGATCACGCTCCCTGGGGACGGGTCCTGCCTTAAGGCTCAGACCCTTACTGCAGTTCATATGTCTGCACAGAGCTCCTGACACTGTCCAGCAATCTCCTTTGCCGGTTCTGTTGCGCTGTCAGGAAGGGCACCAGGACAGAGGAGGACCAATTCCCTTATGGGCTGAAGTCCTCCCGTGGTGCCGAGGGGTTCAGGTCTCCCCTCTTCTGGGGCCTCAGTCCCACAGGCAAAGGATACAGAAATCTGCTGTCTCCAGTTCCCAGGTTTTGGTACCAGATGAAGTGGGATTTAAAGAATCAGAGAGACCGGACAGAGTGCAGAAAAGTGCTTAAGGTGTACACCGGCCCAGCAGACATGTGTCCTAAAGACTGAGCCCAGACAAAGAAAATGAGTTAATTTTGGTCTTCTATATATAACTTCTTAAAATAGAAGTGTACATTTTTGAAATACATTTTGTTTTCTCATGTTTTGATTTAATGCCATAAATTTACCTGTCAGCACTGCTTTTACCTTCATCTGATCTGAAGTATTGTATTTTCATGTTTATCCAGCTCAGTGTATTGTTTTATTTTCCTTGACAATTTTTTTTAAATCCTCTCGTTATTAAAGGATTCTTGTTTGACCCAAGGATTATCTTCCCAGTGTATGGAGATTCTCCTGTTTTTTTCTTTGTCTTACTGATTTCTACTTTAGTTGTATTGTGGTTGGGAAACACACTGGATTATTGTAAGTCTTTTATGTCTGTTGAGTTTTCTTTTATGGCACAGGAACCCTGAAAGCAATGTGTATTTGGCATTGGGTGGAACGTTCCATTAATGTTGATTCAATTCTTTTGGTTGATGGTGTTGCTGAGTCCTCTTCTTTGTTGGTTTTCTTTCAAGTTGTTCTGTAAATTGAGAAAGGATGTTGTCCTTTCCAACTGTAATTGTAGATTTGTCTTTTTCTTTTATATTTTTAGGTTTTACTTCACATATTTTCAGTTCTGTTTCTTGCTGCATGGACAGTACAGATTGTGGTTTCTTCTCGGTTACTAGTTTCATTTATCATTATATAATATCTTTTACATCATTGAAAATTTTCTTTTCTCTAGTCTACTTTATCTGGTGAATATGTCTATCCACTCCTGCTTTCTTCTAATGTCTGCATGATACATTTTTCTTTTTTACTTTTGAACTTTTCATCCTGTCTCTACTTTTATGTGAAAGTGAGTTTCTTATAGATAGTATACGTGTGGGGCATGTTTTAAAATTCACACTGCTAATCTCCATATTTTTGTTGTATTTACACTATTTAGAATAGTTTACTTTTTTTTGTTTGTTTTTTTTGTTGTTGTTGTTGTTGTTTTTTTTTTTTTTTTTTTTTTTTTTTGAGACGGAGTCTCGCTCTGTCGCCCAGGCTGGAGTGCAGTGGCATGATCTTGGCTCACTGCAAACTCCACCTTCTGAGTTAAAATGATTTTCTTCCCTCAGCCTCCTGAGTAGCTGGGACTACAGGTGCATGCCACCACGCCTGGTGGTGCATTTTTTTTTTTTTTGTATTTTTAGTAGAGACAGAGTTTCACCGTGTTAGCCAGGATGGTCTCGATCTCCTGACCTCGTGATCCTCTCACCTCAGCCTCCCAGAGTGCTGGGATTACAGGCATGAGCGAACCATCGCACCCAGCCTACATTTAATGTTAATTTTTGATATGTTCATTAGCTCTTCATTTTCTGTTTGCTGGTTTTATTTTGTTTTCTTTTCTCTTGAGTTTTTTTTTTTTTTTTTTTTGTCCTTTATGTAGTTTATTTGAAGAGATTTGAGACATTCATTCTGATGTATTTATCATCTTTTTGAGTATACCTAAAGAGGTATAAAGATGTGTCTTTTTAAATTGTTTTTTGAGGTGTGAAATTCTGTAAACATAATTTGTCATAGTATACTGACATCTTTTTACCAGCTTCAGTGAAATATATAAACCTGTATACCTCCCATTATTCACTGTATTATTAGCTTTTTATACTTGCCTTATATATTTTCTCTACATACATTTAAGATCACCTCAGACTGAGTTACATGATTTTTGTTACAGTTTTTAGTCCTAAAATTTCCCTTTGTTTACTGAAACCTTTAATTTTTATGCTTTATACTTTTTCATTAGTTTTGAGCATGTTCATAATTCTTCATTTAATTATTTTTATGACAATTTAAAAATATTTCTCAGATAATCCTGATAGTATTGACATTTCTGTGTTGACATTTATCATGTTGTTTCATTGAGGTGGAGACGTTCCTATTTCTTGATTTTTATGAGTAATCTTTATTTGAAACTTGAATATTTGAGGGACTATTAGGAGACTCCAGACCTTATTACAACCCTCATTTGTAGCTGGCTTTGTGTGATACCACCCTAACAGAGGAAAGGGGTGTGCATGTCAAGTAGGGGCAGAATTCCAAATTCCCTTCTTCAGTTCCTTTGACACACAAAGCAGGGTTTCCTGTTATTGATAAATGAATATGCAGGTTTCAGCTTCACCCAAGGCCTTACGTGCATCTCTCTGGCTAGGAGGGGAGGAGTGTCTTCTTACCACATGTAAGAGTTGGAAACCCTAGCTCTCTACTCCACCTTCTCTGATTCTACTCTGTAGGAGCTCGGTCAGGGTGGTGGGAGAAATTACAAGATAAAATTATAGGAAAAATACAAACCTTCTTAGAAGGCCAGAAGGTTTTGCAAAAGCGTTAGGAAAGAGATATGGCTGAAAGCAGCCTGATCCTCTTACCTTGAGCTAATAGTAAAAGGCAAATAACAAGGGAATGTAGAGGAGTTCATCTAAATAGCTTGTTTAGTCATGTTGTCCTAACACCAACCTTTGATCATTTGTGCACAAGACTGCTTTCTCTGGGAGGGTGACCATGTTAATTATCTACAAGTGTGTTGACTCAAAGCCTCTGTCATTAAATCAGTGCTAAATAAATGCCTGTGGCACCAGCTTGTCAGGGCTGTGGCTGCTGACTCTTTATAGCACTTTTCTCAACATCTGTAGGTGGCTTAGTCCTCTAGCCTGCTCTTTCACTGGATACCTGTGTCTGAGTGCATTTGTTCATCCATCGTTTGGCCAGGGTCTGTGGGTCAGACCTGGCAGATGGTACCCCATGAGAGGAATGCTGCAACCATCATGACAGAACCCTCAAAAACGAAGGTGAAGAAGAATGCACAGTCAGTAAGTCAGTAAGTCATTGGTGCCCACTCAGGATTTCCAAGTTTGAAGGAATTGTTCAGGCTAGGGTTTCATCCTGGGACAACAGTTATCAGTTCAACAGAAACAATACATAAAACTATTGAAACAGCTGCTTAAAGCTAGTGGAGACTTGGTTTCACAGGCTAAATTAAGAGACCTAATGCCAACTGTTATAGCCTATAACCAGTTTCTCCTGAGAAATATCTTGGGTGCATACTAACTTCTTCGTCAGTAAGACCTCAAGAGTTTAAATTAAATACTAGCAACTTACCTACCTTAAATGATTATCAGAAATTGCTAAGTGATATTAATGGTCTTCGCCCCATCTTGGGCATAACAGGTGATAAATTACAGACGTTGTTTTCTATCTTAAAAGGCAGTGCTGCCCTAGACTCTTCCAGTTATTTAACTCCTGCAGCACAATGGGAAATTGAAGAAGCAGAGCTAGCTATTTCTCAAAGACAGCTAGCTCATATTGACCCATGGTATTCAATGCAATTATTTATTTTTCCCATGAAACACTCCCCTATAGGGTTAATAGGACAGGTGGCCCCGGGGCTATGCTTTCTAGAGTGGGTTTTTTTGCTCACATTACTGGGACTAAAACACTTTCTCCCTATATCCAATTAATCAGTAAAGTCATCTATTCAGGCCATAGATGATGCAATCAGTTTCTAGGTTATGACTTTTAATATCAACAGGATTCCTTTAAGTAAATAGCAATTTGAAGAAATATTGCCGTTATCTATAGACCTGAAAATAGCTCTCTCATTACTCAGGCCATATAGAACATGCACTTCCTTCTGACAAGCTTCTTCAGTTCTTATCTCATACTTCTGTGGTTTTGCCTACAAAAATATTTCAATCCCCCATACTTAACACTTTAACAGTCTTTACTGATGGCTCTGGTAACCACAGAAAAGAGGCTGTCTAGTGGAGACCACATAATTCCCTCACTCATTCTGGATTTACTAGCACTTAGAGAGCTGAGATTGGAGCCTTAATATTGGCTCTCGAGCCTTTTTCCACTCAGCCCATCAATATTATTAGTGACTCTTCTTACTCTGTTTATTTATTGCAGAACCTTGAGACAGCCCTCATTAAGTCCACTCTGGAGCCCACCCTGTGTGCACATTTTTTTCTGACTTCAACAATTACTAGATCAACGTACACATCCTATTTTTGTTACACACATTCGGGCCCACAACTCACTGCCTGGCTCATTGGCTTATGGCAATGATCAAGCACACCTACGGGTTCATCTAAGCAATTTTAACTTACCCAGAGACTAGCTAAATAAATTATCCTGCAATGCCCAGATTGCCAGCTCACAGGCACATCCCCTCCTTCAACAGGTGTTAACCCTAGTGGACTAGAACCTAATCAGTTATGGCAAACAGTTGTTACACATGTCCCTGAATTTGGAAAACTTTTATATGTACATGTATCTGTTGATACCAACTCTCATTTAATTAGCACTCATGCTCTTCCTGGAAAGTCCACCCATTATTTCATTAAACATCTTTTAACTTTTGCATTTAGGGGGCAACCCACAAAAATTAAAACTGATAATAGTCTGGCTTATGCCAGCTCACAATTTCAACAATTTTGTCACACATGAAACATCCAACATTCCACAGGCATCCTGTATAACTCCCAAGGACAGGCCATAGTAGAACGTGCCCACTTCACCCTTAAAAATATGCTCAAAAAACAAAAAAGGGGGAATACGAGTAAGGACCCTGCAACACTACTGGCACAAGCCTTACTCTTAATTTTTTTAAATTTAGATGATAAATTTCAATCAGCTGTAGAAAAGCACTTTCCTAAACCCTCTCAACACATAAAACCTGCAGTTTTATGGAAAGATGTAAACAGTAATGTATGGTGTTGTCTAAATGAATTGTTAATGTGGAGGAAAGGATATGCTTGTGTTCACACCCTCACAGGTCCTTCTTTGGATTCCAGCATGATGCATCAAACCATGGGGTTACTAGGACCCAACCCAGAAATAAAGAAAATGACCCTACAGGACCCACAGCTGCGGTGATGCAGCTTCTGTGGATGACACAAGCCCTGGAGGATGCTGAAGAGGATCACTCAGGAGGCTGAGCGAATCTTGCTCTGGACACAGACACCATTTACTCCATGTAATTTGTTCCTTGCTATGCTCTGTGTTGTACATTGCAGCTTGTGTAGGGTATTGATCCTTTGTATGCTCTCGCTTTGTCTGCAGCCTGTACCTGCTACACCTCTATTGGGCTCATCTCTTACACCCATCTTTCTTTCGCCTTGTCACCTGGGCAGACACCCCCTTCCCAGCCTCTAATAATGTAACTGCTTGGCTAGGAGGGATAGATTTACTCCCACTGGGGTTCCTCATTAATGGCACACATTGGACTAAGGTGCGGGGTAACACTACATATCATCCCACTATCCTCCCACTGTATGTAAATTGTAAAAGTTCTACCCCTTACTGTGTACCCGCCCAAACACAAGTATGGCTACATCATGGCAAAGGAAATGTCTTAACAGGCTTACTTGCATATAGCCTTAAACTAGGCAATGCAATCAATGCCACTTTCTCAAACATTCCTCACTGTGCTAAAGAACAAAAGCAAGAAAGTAATGGATTCCACTTTAGCTGAGAGGTCTGTCATGGGGAATAAGCTCGTAGCCTCCAGTTAGGCAATTGTAACATCTTAAACTGGAGCCCCCATAGCTGTTTGTAGGGTAATCATACTGATGTCCTTGTCTGTCGTGATATCAATGACAGTTTTGTAGCCACGTCCCATTCCCCTATAATTTGGTTCAAAATGGGGATGGCATGTCTCCATCCTCAAGTAAAGTCCATGCCACCCCAAGACACTTTACGGTGCCTGGGGCATCTTAGCACCCCTTTTAACACCTGGGATGGGACATATCATAATTCCAGTCACAATTATACTGTGACCTTTTTTCATAATCACCCTGATCAGTGCCTGATTTGCACACTACCCATTCATATGTTTTTCTTATGGGAGCCAATATTTCTATTATACCCCAAAACTCCACGTTTGTGACCCTCATGCAGGGACAGGCTTGGTTTGCCTCTTGTATCTCTAATTATAATGTATCTAATTTAAATATTACTAGGGTCATGGTATTGAGGAGACCATCTGACACCATCCTACCAGTCAATTTAACCTGTGATTGGCAAGGGCAGGGAAGCTCAGAACATGCCCTGTCCCAGATCAGACACAAAAGATTCATAGTTACACTTATAGCCTTTATAGTCTCAACCATAATCATCCTAGCAACTGCTAGTGTTGCTGTAGCATCTGTTACTGAATCAGTACAAACGGCTACTTTTCTAGATAATTTGGCCAGAAAGTTGTCTAAGAATCTTCTCTTATAGCAAGGTATAGATCTAAAGATTCCTGCATGTCTGCAAGCCCTTGAGGCTGCCTTGGAATATGTGGGGGAGTGACAGGACGCACTGGCATTCTGACAGCAATTAAAATGCAACTGGGAGCATAAACATGTCTCTGTTATTTCTCAACCATGGAATCAATTAATACATAGCTAGGATAAGGTGAAACAGCACCTCTGGGGAGTCTTTCATGACAATTTAACAGTAGCCATAAAACAACATAAAACTAAAATTCCAGAACCCCTAAACGCCGTAGATCTACACGCACAACAAACAGCCATATGGGAGGTTGTGTGAGATCATCTCTCCTGGATAGACCCCCCCAACTGCCGTGGGTCACTGCTTGATTGTAAAAGAATTTTGCTAATTATATTCATGTTTGTCTTATTTACTAATTCTAGGATGCAAAGCCGGAATATGAGCAGTGACTGCCACCCCTGACAGACCTGTTGCATCTGTACTCTTCACTCAACAAAATCTGATGCAAAAAAAACAGAAACGGGGGAGATGTAGCAATTTGTTCAGGGTGGTGGGAGAAATTATAAGAGGAAATTATATGAAAAACACAAACTTTCTTGGAAGGACAGGTTTTGAAAAAGCTTTAGGAAAGGTTTATGGCTGAAGGCAGCCTGATCCTCTTACCTTGAGCTAATAGTAAAAAGCAAATAACATCAGGAGGCCAAGGCAGGCGGATCACGAGTTCAAGAGTTTGAGACTATTTTGGCCAACATGGTGAAACCCCATGTCTACTACAAATGCAAAAATTACCTGGGTGTGGTGATGCGCACCTGTAATCCCAGCTACTCAGGAAGCTGAGGCAGGAGAATCACTGGAACTCAGGAAGAGGACGTTGCAGTGAGCTGAGATCATGCAACTGCTCTCCAGCCTGGCAATAGAGCAAGACTGTCAAAAAAACAAAAAAGCAAATAACAAGGGAATGTAGAGGAGTTATAGCTTGTTTACTTATGTTGTCCTAAAACTGACTCTGATCATTTGCATGCAAGACTGCTTTCTTTGTGGAGGGCGACGAAGTTAATTACCCACAAGTGTGTTGACTCAAAGCCTTTGTTATTAAATCTGTGCTGAATAAATGACTGTAGCACCAGCATGTCAGGGCTGTGGCTGCTGACTATGGCACCCTCCTTAGTGTCTGTAGACAGCCCAGTCCCCTAGCCCACTCTTTCACTGGGTACCTGTGTCTGAGTGCATTTGTTCATCTATTGTTTGGCCAGGGTCTGTGGGTCAGACCCAGCATTACTCCAGCAGAGGATTGGGATGTTTCATTATTGCCTGGTGCAATGGATATTCACACCTGGACTTTGTTGGCTTGGGTAGGTTTTTTGTTTTGCTTTGTTTTGTGTTGTGTTCTTTGGCTAAAGTAGTGTGACTATTGCATAAAAGATTTTTGTCTTAGTATGGTGTCCGTTTCCTGTCCCTGTGGCTAGAGAAGGTGGGCTTTGGGGAGACATTTTTGTTTGGGCCTATTTACAGTTTTTAGTACTGACTCCTTCAGGACTAAGACATGTGAAATGTGAAAACCAACATGTGAAAATGTGCATTAGAGACAGGGTGCTGTGGCTCACTGCTGTAATCCCAGCACTTTGGGAGGCTAAGGCGGGTGAATCACCTGCGGCTAGGAGTTCCAGACCAGCCTGTCAATATGGTAACATGGTGAAACCCCATCTCCACAAAAGTTTACCGGGTGTGGTAATACACATCTGTAATCCCACCTACTTGAGATGCTGAGATATGAGAATTGCTTGAACCCAGAGGTGGAGGTTATAGTGAGCCAAAATTGTGCCACTGTACTTGGGCCTGGGCAATAGAGTGAGACTATCTCAAAAAAATAAGTCAGAGAAAAGAATAAAAATGTGCATTAGAAGACATGAAAGGTGCACTCTTGCAGGAGGCAATTAAAGGCACAAACTTGCTGGACTGCTTTGTTAGATCAAAAATAGCCCTTGCTGATGCCAGCTGTAAAATTCCACCATGTGCTGACAGTGATGCAGTCCATGAATATAATATCACATGAGCTTTATTACTCAAGATAACACAAATGATGATTATCATGGTTACTGAGATGGCCTAGTAGATTTAAATTGTAATGAAGAGTTTTGCCAACTAAAATCCAAATTTAAAATAACTGGGGAAATGTAACTGAGAAAATACTGAAATATGTAGTGTGTGTTAACCTTTCTCTAGATTTTCTATGTGTGTATGTGTGCGTGTGTGTGAGTTTGTGTGTGCATGTGTTCCCTCCTTTATGCCATCCTAATTTGGGCCCTACTAGATTTATGCTAGACTATTTGAGAAGTTGCTTATTACCATTTCCTAACTCCAGTTCCTTTATTTTCTTTTGCCTGCTGTCATGGTTTTGAATGTCCCCTCCAAATTTCACATTGAAATTCTCTGGCCATTGTGATAGTGTTGGGAAGTAGGACCTTTAAGAGGTGATTAGCCATGAGGGTGCACCCTCATGACTGGATTGAAGGTATTATCTGGAAAACAGGTTAATTATTGTCCAAGTGAGCTTTGGATCAAAGGATGACTTTGGCCCCAATTTTCTGTTCCTCATGTGACCTTCACCATATGATAGCCTCCTGCCATGTTGTAACATAGAAAGAAGGTCTCACCACATGCAGCCCCATGGACTTCCCAGCCTCTAGAAACATCAGCAAAATAAGTCTCTTTACAAATTACCCAGTCAGGGCCAGGCGCGGTGGCTCACGCCTGTAATCCCAGCACTTTGGGAGGCCGGGGCGGGCAGATCACGAGGTCAAGAGATTGAGACCATCCTGGCTAACACAGTGAAACCCTGTCTCTACTAAAAATACAAAAAATTGGCCGGGCGAGGTGGCGGGCGCCTGTAGTCCCAGCTACTCGGGAGGCGGAGGCAGGAGAATGGCGTGAACCCCAGGGGGCGGAGCCTGCAGTGAGCCGAGATCCTGCCACTGCACTCCAGCCTGGGAGACAGCGGGACTCCGTCTCAAAAAAAAAAAAAAAAAAAAAAAAAAATTACCCAGTCAATGGTATTTTGTTCTTGGAGCAGCAAGTAGACTAAAACCGTCTATTATTTATTCCTTTTTAGGTAACTAAATAAACTAACTTACAAAGGAGCATGTCAAATTTCCTGTCAAATTGTCAAAAAGCCCATAAATGTTTTTAAAACGTAGTACAATAGCCTGCCATTGAAATAAAACTCCATTTTACTCTTAGCCACATTTTTAGAAATAAGTAAAAAACAACCATAAAGGTGAACATGTAATTTTATTGTTCAGTAAAAGAAATACAGGAATTTTTAATTTTTTGTCAATATAAATTTCAATCACTGTTGTGCTGCGTAAGTTGGCCCTCCTCTGATGGAAGTTCAGTTGTAATTAGGGTGATATTTGTCAAGTGAAGATAGTTATGAGCTGGCCTGGAATTAGAGGCAGCTGATGAATCAGCTATCACAGGCATTTGGAACCACTGGTTGCCTGCTGGTAGCCAGTTAGGATAAGAAGCCTTATTGACTAATACCTCAAAATGTCTGGTTGGAAAAGCAGATGGTTCCACCATTAGCCCCGAAGAACTGTTCTGTATCGAAGTTACGATGTGGTATTGGGAAGTTGTGGTTGTAACAAAATTCATAATGTGGCCATTTGCTTGCGTTGCAGGTGCTATGAGAGTGCATATGAATAGTGGCCAACTGATTTAAAATAGCATGCTGATCTGTTGCAATTTTGTCTGATGGTCCAACTGAGGCTGAAATGGAGGAGAAAGAAAAAACACTTTGGATTGTTTCAGGTGAATTAGCAATTCTCTGGCTGACAATAGACTTCCTTGTTAGAGGCATATTTAAATTTGTAGAGTTAGAAAATGAACTTTCTCCACTAGTTTCAGCCACTGAGCTGGAATTATGATTATCCATGTTACCCCCTGCTCTAAAGTGCTTCTTGTTGGCATTTTCAGCAACTAAAGTAGATACATAAGGGTTTTTAATCCCAGCTCTTCTTTTCATTCTTATTAAAAGTTGAGGACAGCCATGTTTAAAATTTGGAATATGATAGAACTGTAACTAAAACCAAAAGAAAAAGTAATTTAGTGCCATTTTAAACCAAAAGACAAGCAACAATAACAAAATGCATAAAATCTCAGATTTCTGTTTTATCATGCAAAGTTAATCTCATCAAATAATGCATGTACACTCTCGACTATTTTTAAGAGTAAGCATATCTACAACTATCTGATCTTTGACAAACCTGAGAAAAACAAGCAATGGGGAAAGGATTCCCTATTTAATAAATGGTGCTGGGAAAACTGGCTAGCCATATCTGGAAAGCTGAAACTGGATCCCTTCCTTACACCTCAAACAAAAACTAATTCAAGATGGATTAAAGACTTAAACGTTAGACCTAAAACCATAAAAACCCTAGAAGTAAACCTAGGCATTACCATTCAGGACATAGGCATAGGCAAGGACTCTATGTCTAAAACACCAAAAGCAATGGCAACAAAAGCCAAAATTGACAAATGGGATCTGATTAAACTAAAGGGTTTCTGCACAGCAAAAGAAACTACCATCAGAGTGAACAGGCAACCTACAAAATAGGAGAAAATTTTCGCAACCTACTCATCTGACAAAGGGCTAATATCCAGAGTCTACAATGAACTCAAACAAATTTACAAGAAAAAAACAACCCCATCAAAAAGTGGGTGAAGGACATGAACAGACACTTCTCAAAAGAAGACATTTATGCAGTCAAAAAACACATGAAAAAATGCTCACCATCACTGGCCATCAGAGAAATGCAAATCAAAACCACAATGAGATACCATCTCACACCAGTTAGAATGGCAATCATTAAAAAGTCAGGAAACAACAGATGCTGGAGATGATGTGGAGAAATAGGAACACTTCTACACTGTTGATGGGACTGTAAACTAGTTCAACCATTGTGGAAGTCAGTGTGGCGATTCCTCAGGGATCTAGAACTAGAAATACCATTTGACACAGCCATCCCATTACTGGGTATATACCCAAAGGACTATAAATCATGCTGCTATAAAGACACATGCACACGTATGTTTATTGTGGCACTATTCACAATAGCAAAGACTTGGAACCAATCCAAATGTCCAACAATGATAGACTAGATTAAGAAAATGTGGCACATATACACCATGGAATACTATGCAGCCATAAAAAATGATGAGTTCATGTCCTTTATAGGAACATGGATGAAATTGGAAATCATCATTCTCAGTAAACTATCGCAAGGACAAAAAAAACACCACATGTTCTCACTCATAGGTGGGAATTGAACAAGGAGAACACATGGACACAGGAAGGGGAACATCACACTCTGGGGACTGTTGTGGGGTGGCGGGAGGGGGTAGGGATAGCATTAGGAGATATACCTAATGCTAAATGACGAGTTAATGGGTGCAGCACACCAGCATGCCACATGTATACATATGTAACTAACCTGCACATTGTGCACATATACCCTAAAACTTAAAGTATAATAATAATAATAATAAATAAATAAATAAAATAAAATAAAAAAAGAGCATGTTTGTTGGGAAAAAAAGCATTCAAATAGTAAAGCCCTCAAGTGTAAACATGTTGAATATTGATAGTAATGTTTCATTAAATGCCTTTGGTACCTTTATTTGGAGGTCACTTCATTCAAAGTTGCTAGCAAAATTTCTTAAAACCCTGAAAGTTTAATACTTAAGCTGCCCTCAATGATTTTAAGAAATTAAAAACTTAAATAATTACCTTAAATATTAAAAAATTAAATAATTTTAACCTTAATATTTTATATAATTTTCAAAATCTGACCTTACTTCATGTATTAACATGTTTACTTATGTACAAAATAAAATACACTCTACATAAAGTGGCAACTGAAATATTTTGAATACCTTGCTTCAAACAGAGATTTTTGTTTTTCTTCTGCCAGAAGGTCAGCTAGAATATCAGATCTTTGAAAATTCTGTGAAATTTTACTATATCCATGAAGGTTGAGCTGTTGAGCTAAGCTTTTCATACTGTCAGTTTCAAATATTCTGTAAAAGAGTCTTTCTTTCCAAAACTTCTCATTTATCACTATGCAAGTTCCATTCTTATTCCACCAAATAGAGTTGAATTGGTCACTTTGCCAAAGTTTTCTGGGTAAGATCAGAGAAAGAAAATCATTATCTTTATCTGGCTCAGAGACACAAACTATGTAACATTGCCTTTATATCAAGGATTCTTGCGACAAAACTTGAAAAGCATTTTCTTCAATTATTGGCCTTAAGTTTGCATCCCCAAGAAATGTGTGTTCATATAATGGAGACCTTAAGGCAGGCTTCTGAACCAGTTGATTCATCTTTAGGAGAAATATCTCAAGTTCCTGAAAAATATGTGCCATCTCAAACAAATTTTTCTTCAGCTACTCTTCCAGCCTGCATGGTTTTTAACACTGCACTTCAAATGCTGCCTCAGTAAGTCTATGCAGGTAAAGTAATCTAGGCCATTACAGTGGTTCTCAACTTTAGTACCAATGATATCACAAGAGGACTTTTGTCTTCTAGCAACAAATGTTAAAAAAAAAAAAAAAAATAGCCAAAAGTGTTTCCTTCCGAGTCTGAGAAATGTATCCAGTAAAAATAAAATGTAGCCTGAGTACTTACACTGTGCAATCTGCACAATCTCACTCCTGCAGAATCTTTTAAGTAAATAAGGAAATAAATAATGTCCTAAATCCCTGAAATAAATATGCTTTTCTCCCTTACACATATGCTCTTAATAAATTGGTGCCAGAACTATACGGCCTGGTAATTGGGCAATGCAAAAAAAAAAAAAAAAAAAAAAAATTTAAAAAGTTATGTTTATTTAAAACTAGAATGTGTATATAACATATATATTGTAAGGCATAAATTTGTTATACTCATGTGATTTAAACTATAATTATATTTAATAAAATGGTTATTTATATATTTTACATAGTACTCTTTTAAATATATAAAAAGCTTTCCATAGTCATGTGAATGGGATATTTTAGTTAATGTTTATAAATATTTCACAAATATTTATAAAGTAAAACGAGTTTAAACAATCATATATTTTATTAAAAAGGTACCAAAAATTAAATAAAAAATAACCACAGTTTTATAAGTAAAGTAATGTTACTATTAAAACAGTAGTAAATGTATGTTAATATTCTACCCTGAACTTCACACACAAAAAAAAACTACAAAATCTTATGTTCATTACTTAAGTTCTGTATACTTAGTTTTTTTCTTCCCCTGCCTTAAGTCTTTCCAGTCCTAACAAGGAAGAGATCTACTAATTTTGTTTATAATTCACACTTCTGTAGGTTTTGTTAAATGTTCAATAAATGTTTTAATATTTATCATATTTTTAGGAGGCGGTTCTCTCATACCTAGAAAGAAGCATCATTATAAGGACATTTTATTAGTTTCACATTTTTAAAATGTAATATTTTATAAATTATCAGTATGTAATAGAAGTATTTTTCATTAACAATCTTTAGTATATACAATCATATGTAAAGCTATAATATTTAATTAGTGATTAACTACATGTAACATAATCCATATTGGACAAAAATAAAGGAGTTAAAACAGATCAAACGGGATCGGGCCAAAATGTTGGACTACAAGAGCTCACGTGTGCTGCTATCCCGGAGAGGAGATAGAAGGGCTAGCGAGCACTGACCCTGAAGGCTGATTATCTGAGAAACCACATTAGGATTCACCAAGGCAGCAGAGGAACACAGATAGCAGAGAGAAGTGAAGTTGTTGTACACCAGCCTGTTTGGGTTCAGTGCAGATGGGACTAGGAGAATCTCCCTGACCCTCCTGCAACCCCATCACAATTCTAGACTGAAGCAGAGAGCCATCTGGATGTTTTACAGGGCCACTCTACAAGTCTTGGGCCCTGCAACATACCAGCATCAGTGCCACATCCCCAGGACAGGCCACAGTTGCAGTGCCTAGGAGAAATAAGATTGTATCACCCTCTGCTTGTTGGTTGAGGCTCGGTGCCTCAGTGCCAGCTTCCAGACCAGTGGTCCTCTTACAGTGAGTTAGATAGGCAGAAATGAGCATGGCAGGACAGAGTCCCAAAGAATATCAGGTGACTGTCAGGCAATTGTCAGGTGGCTGGAAACAGGAAGAAGACAATTTTCTAACAAACACAGGATGTCTTTGGCTTGTGGGCAATCACTGCCTGATAAAAACTGAAAATGGCTAAATGTTTGATCTTCCTCTAAGGGCATGCTCAGTCATCACAGGAAAGGGCAAAATGATGGTATGCAACCCTCATATGACCTTTCTCTGGGAACACTAGACCGGTAAGAGAAAATTACCCTAAGAGATCATGCACATAACTTTAACCACCAAATGATGCATGCAGTCCCTCCCCAAAATTGGCAATATCCTCCAAAGGCAGCAATTAGCCAACAGCAAATACATAGAGAATAATGAGTAGATGAGACCAGATAAAAAAGATGATAATGTAAATTTATAGGACCCCTAAGCCAAACATTGTGTGGGACACTCAATTTTTTGAATTGCTCACCAGGTGCCTTCCAATTATACTTTTCTTTTTGCTTCAGTAAACTCTTGTTTCTGCCTTAAATCTACCTGTTCCTTTTGGCCAAATTATTTCTCCCAAGAAAACAATAATCAAAGGCTGTAGAACTCACTCAGTCTTGCTGCTGATAACAGTCTCTTTGGCCCAAACTGGGCCATCCACTTCACACATCCCCACCACTGATAATCAGGCAGGCAGTGTTTGCTAGAGATTTTACCCCAGTGGTCCCCCTTTTGTGTGAACTCAGCAGGAGGGGTAGATTCCTGTTAACTAGGGAAACACCTGGAGAGCAGAACACACAACCCTCCACTGATAGCAAGGTGGGCAACTCTTGCAATAACCTCTGGCCCAGCAATCTCACTTCTGTCTAAACTCAGCTGGAGGACACAGCTTCATCTTGTCCCAGAAAACACTGAGATGGCATAGCATGTGACACCACCTGCCATTGCCACTGGCAATCAGGCAAACAAGGCTTGCTACAGCTTTTGGCCCAGGGACTCCATTTCTGAATAAACTTCAGCTAGAGGTTGAAATTTGCTATTAACCTGGAAACACCTGGAAGCACAGTACCACCCTGTATGCCACCACCATAGGTAGGCAGGTGGGCAATGCCTGCTAGAGCCTATGGCCCACTCACCCTGCTTCTGTGTGAGCCCAGCCAGTGGGCTCAACCTGTTGTCCCATGAAACATCTAGATGGCAGACCAGGTGACCGAACCCACCCCTACCAATGATAGCCAGGTGGCCAACATCTGCTAGAGCTTCTAGCCCAGTAGACCTGCTTCTGTATAGACTTACCTAGAGGGCATGACTTCCTCTTGTCCCAGAAAACACCTGGATAGTACCACCTATTCCTGACACTGGTATCCAGGCAGGCAGGGAGGCAGGCAATGCTTGCTAGAGATTCAGGCCCAGCAGACACCCCTCTGGGTAAATGCACCTGGAGGGCACAGCTTACTGTTGTCATGGGAGATACCCAAAACACCCAGAAAATGGAGTGTATGACTATACTCACCACTGCCACTGGCAACCAGCCAGCTTCCCTGCTTGGATATAAATTCAGCTAAAGGATACAGCTTTCTATTGTGCCAGGAAACACCTGAATGGCAGGGCAGACATTTCTACTCATTGGTCAGGCATTGGTGGTAGCGGGATGAGTCAAACCTGCTACAGCTTCCAGTCCAACAGTACTACCTCTGCCTGAATTTGCCAAGGGACACAGACTCCTGTTGTCTGTGTTCACTCCTAGATGGCAGGGTGGACAACTCCACCCACTCCCACCACTTGTAGCCAGATGGGTCACACCCATTAATCCTTCCAACCAGTGGACTTGCTTCTACCTGATCTTGGAGGGCAGGCACAATTCTATTTCCCAAGGAAGCTTAGAAACAGTAGAATATAGCCAACTTTGCAAGGATACAGCTTGTTTGCCAACTGTGGCCTCTGCTTGAGGTAGCCCTGTGGACCCAAACGCCCAACAAAAGAAACATAGGCATGGAGACAGTAATTGAATTTGGTTGAATGGGTTGAAATTCTAGTTCACTCAAAGCCCCAGAGTGAACTAGAATTAAAGCCAGTCAACCAAACACACTTTATGCCATAATCAACCCCCAAGGGGCATCAAACAAGAAAGAAGCAAAGAAAATAAATAAATAAATACATACATACATACATACATACATACATACATACATACATACATAAAATTTAAAAAATAAAAAAATTATCCAAAAGTAGCAACTTCAAAGATTGAAGAAATGTCAGCCCACACAGATGGGAAAGTCCACTAGCTCTGGTAACTCAAAAAGTTTGAGTGTTTTTTTTACCTTCAACCCCAGCAATGGTTCTTAAACAGTCTGAAGTGGCTGAAATGTCAGAAACAGAATTCAGAATATGGATAACACTAAAAATTAACAATATACAGGAGATAGCCAAACCCAATTAACCACAAAATCAGGCAAAAAACAATTCTCAGGAAATTCAGAAAAACTGAAATTAAACACACTGTTCAACCACACTGCAATACAAAATAAGAATTAATGCTCACAAAATCACTTCAAACTATACAATTACATGGAAATTAAACAACCTACTACTGAATGACTTCTGAATAAACAATGAAATTAATGAAGAAATCAAGAAATTCTTTGAAACTAATGAGAACAAATTTACAACATACCAGAACATGTGACAAAGGCATAGTAGTGTTAAAGGGGAACTTTACAGCACTGAATGCCCACATCAAAATTAGAAAAATCTCAGATTAACACCATACATCACAATTATTAATAGGAGAATTGGAGAAACTAGGGGAACTAGAGAAAAAATAAACAAATCCCAAGGCTAAAAGATGACAAGAAGTAAGGTAAATTAGAGTTGAACTGAAAGAAATTGAGACACTGAAAACCATACAGCAGATCAATGAAATCAAGATCTACATTTTGAAGAATTAATAAGATGGATGTACTGCTACCTAGAATAATAAATAGAAAAGACATAATTTAAATAAACAATGAGATACAACATTACCATTTGCCCCATAAAAATGTGAAAAACCCCCAGAGAATATTTTGAACCCCTCTATTCACATAAGTTATAAAACATTGACGAAATTTACTGGATAAATTACTGAAAACACACAACCTCTCAAGTCTGAAGTAGGAAGTAATTGAATCCCTGAACAGACTGATAATGAGTTCCAAAATTGAGTAAGTGATAAAAAGCTTAGCAGAACAAAACGGAATAAATGGATACACAGCAGAATTCTACCAGATGTATAAGGACAAACATACTATTTCTACTGAAAATATTATTTAAAAGTGAGAAGAACGAACTACCTATTTCATCAAGTGAGGGAAACATCATCCTGATACCAAAATCTGGCAGAGACAAAAATAAAAATAAAACTTCAGGCTAATATTTGTGATGAACATTGATGTAAAAATACTCAACCAAATAATAGCAAATTGAATAAAGCAGCACATTAAAAAGCTTATTTACCATTAACAGGTAGGCTTTTTCTCGGTTGTAAGGATGGCTCAACACATGGATAAAAATGAATGTGATTTACCAGATAAATGTAACTAAAAACAAAGAAAAGATTATCTAATAGATGCAGAAAAGACTTTCAATAAAATTTTACATTCCTTCAGGCTAAAAATCTTCAACAAATTAGGCATTGAAGAAATATACTTCGAAATAATAACAGACATCCATGACAGATTCGTAGCCAACAGCACACAGAATGGCAATGTTGGCAACTTCCCCTTTCAGACCAGAGCAAGACCAGGGTTTTCTCTCTCACCACTCCCATTCAACATAGTACTGGAAGCCTTAGCCAGAGCATTCAGACAAGAGGAAAAAAAGAAAAGACCTCCAAATAGGAAAAGAGAAAGTTAAAAAATTCCTGTTTTCAGATGATATGATTCTATATCTAGAAAACCCCATAGTTTTTGCACAAAATCTCTCTTACATGATTAAAAAAAATTAGCAAATTTTTAGGACACAAAATCAATGTATGAAAATCAGTGTCCTTCAAATCAGGAAGATGGCCAAATAGGAACAGCTACGATCTGCAGCTCCAGCAAGATCAACACAGAAGAAGGGTGATTTTCGCATTTCCAACTGAGGTACATGGTTCTTCTCACTGGAATGGTTGGACAGTTGGTGCAGCTCATGGAGGGTGAGCTGAAGCAGGGCAGGGCATCATCTTACACAGGAAGTGCAAGGGGTTGGGAGATTTCCCTTTCCTGGCCAAGGGAAGCCATGACAGCCTGTACCTGGAGAAATGTACACTCTTGACGAAATACTGTGCTTTTTCCCACACTCTTAGCAAGCGGCAGACCTGGAGCTACCCTCCCGTGCCTGGCTCGGCAGGTTCCATGCCCATGGAGACTTGCTCACTGCTAGCACAGCAGTCTGAGATAAACCTGTGATGCTGCAGCTTGACAGGCCATCCACCATCACTGAGGCTTGAGTAGTTCACAGTGTAAATAAAGTGGCTGGGAAGCACAAACTGGGTGGAGCCCAACACAGCTCAGTGCAGCCTACTGCCTCTATAGATTCCACCTCTGGGGACAGGCGATAGTGGAACAAAAGGCAGAAGACAGCTTCTGCAGACTTAAGCATCCCTGTCCAACAGCTCTGAAGAGAGCAGTTGTTCTCTCAGCACGGCATTCAATCTCCAAGAATGGAAAGACTACCTCCTCAACCCCTGTCTAGCCTGACTGGGAAACATCTCCCAGTAGGGGTCAACAGACACCTCAAACAGGTGGGTAGCCATCTGGGACAAACCTTGCAGAAAAAGGATCAGACAGCAATATTTGCTGTTCTGCAGCCTCCCCTGCAGATGATACCCAGGCAAACTTGTCTGGAGTGGACTCTAGCAAACTCCAACAGACGTGCAGCTGAGGGGACTGATTGTTAGAATGAAAACTAACAAACAGAAAGGAATAGTATCAATATCAACAAAAAGGACATCTAGTCCATTCCAAGATGGCTAAATAGGAAGAGTTCTGGCCTGCAGCTCCCAGTATGATCGACACTGAATATGGGTGATTTCTGCATTTCCAACTGAAGGACCTTGTTCATCTCATTTGGACTGGTTGGACAGTGGTTGCAGCCCATGGAGGTTGAACCAAAGTGGGCGGGATGTCACCTCGCCTGGGAAGCACAAAGAGTCAGGAGATTTCCCTTTCCTAGTCAAGGGAAGCTGTGACAGATGGTACGTGGAAAAATGGGACAGTTTTGCCCAAACACTGCACTTTTCCCATGGTCTTAGCAACTTGCAGACCAGGAGATTCTCTCCCATGCCTTGATCAGTGGGTCCCATTCCCATGGAGTTTTGCTCACTGCTAGTGCAGCAGTCTGAGATCGACCTGCGATGCTGCAGCCTTACGGGGGGTGGGGGGTCATCCTCCATTGCTGAGGCTTGAGTAGGTAAACAAAGTGGCTGGGAATCTCGAACTGGGCAGAGCCCATTGTAGCTCAGCAAGGACTACTGCCTCTATAGAATCCACCTCTGTGGGAAGGGCATACATGAACAAAAGGCAGCAGAAATGTCTGCAGATTTAAATGTCTCTATGTGACAGTTCTGAAGAGAGCATTGGTTCTCCCAGCATGGTGTTTGAGCTCTAACAAGGAACAGAATGCCTCATCAAGTGGGTTCCTGAACCCTGTGTAGCCTAACTGGGAAACACCTCCCAGTAGGGGCCAGCTGACACCTCATACAGGTGGGTCCCCCTCTGGGACAAAGTTTCCAGAGGAAGGATCAGGCAGCAATATTTGTTGTTCAGCAATATTTGCTATTCTCCATCCTCTGCTGGTGATACCCAGGCAAACAGCATCTGGAGCGGACCTCCAGCAAACTCCAAGAGGCCTGCAGCTGAGGGACCTGACTGTTAGAATGAAAACTAACAAACACAAAGGAATAGCATCAGCATCAGCAATAAGGACATACACATCAAAACACCTTCTGTAGGTCACCAACATCAAAGCCCAAAAATAGATAAAACCACAAAGATGGGGAGAAACCAGAGCAGAAAAATGGAAAATCCTAAAAAGCAGAGTGCCTCTTCTCCAAAGTATTGCAGCTCTTCGCCAGCAGTAGAACAAAGCTGGATGGAGAATGATTGATGAGTTGACAGAAGTAGGTTTCAAAAGGTCAGTAATAAACTTCTCCGAGCTAAAGGAGCATGTTCTAACCCATCGCAAGGAAGCTAAAAACCTTGAAAAAACATCAGATGAAAGACTAACTAGAATAAACAGTGTAGAGAAGAACTGAAATGATGTGATGGAGCTGAACGCC
Source organism: Homo sapiens (assembly GCF_000001405.40). Lineage (NCBI taxonomy): Eukaryota > Metazoa > Chordata > Mammalia > Primates > Hominidae > Homo > Homo sapiens. Next base: position 20,819,804 of record NC_000024.10, read on the forward strand.
ATGGAACAAGAATTATGTGATGTATGAACAAGCTTCAATAGCTGATTCAATCAGGTGGAAGAAAGGATATCAGTGATTAAAGATCAAATTAATGAAATAAGGCAAGAAGACAATATTAGAGAAAAAAAGTAAAAAAAAAAAAAAATGAACAAAGCCACCAAGAAAGATGGGACTATGTGAAAAGATCAAATATATATTTGATTGGTGTCTCTGAAAGTGATGGTGAGAGTGGAACCAAGCTGGAAAACACTCTGCAGGATATTTTCCAGGAGAACTTCCCCAACCTAGCAAGACAGGCCAACATTCAAATTCAGGAAATAGAGAGAAATTCACAAAGATACTCCTCGAGAAGAGCAACGCCCAGACACATAATTGTCAGATTCACCAAGGTTGAAATAAAGGAAAAAATGTTAAGGACAGCCAGAGAGAAAGGTCAGGTTACACACAAAGGGAAGTCCATCAGACTAACAGTGGATCTCTCAGCAGGAACCCTACAAGTCAGAAGAGAGTGGGGGCCAATATACAATATTCTTAAAGAAAAGAATTTTCAACCCAGAATTTCTTTTTTTCTCTTTTTTCTTAAGTTTTATTATTATTATACTTTAAGTTTTAGGATACATGTGCACAACGTGCAGGTTTGTTACATATGTATACATATGCCATGTTGGTGTGCTGCACCCATTAACTCATCATTTAGCATTAGGTTTATCTCCTAATGCTATCCCTTCCCCCTCCCCCAACCCCACAACAATCCCCAGTGTGTGATGTTCCCCTTCCTGTGTCAGTGTGTTCTCTTTGTTCAATTCCCACCTATGAGTGAGAACATGCAGCGTTGGTTTTTTTGTCCTTGCGATAGTTTGCTGAGAATGATGGTTTCCAGTTTCATCAATTCCCCTACAAAGGACATAAACTCATCCTTTTTTATGGCTGCATAGTATTCCATTTTGTATATGTGCCATATTTTCTTACTCCAGTATATCATTGTTGGACATTCGGCTTGCTTCCAAGTCTTTGCTATTGTCAATAGTGCCACAATAAACATACGTGTAGCATGTGCCTTTATAGCAGCATGATTCATAAGCCTTTGGGTATATACCCAGTAATGGAATGGCTGGGTCAAATGGTATTTCTAGTTCTAGATCCCTGAGGAATCACCACACTGATTTCCACAATGGTTGAACTAGTTTACAGTCCTACCAACAGTGTAAAAGTATTCCTGTTTCTCCACATCCTCTCCAGCACCTGTTGTTTCCTGACTTTTTAATGATCGCCATTCCAACTGGTGTGAGATGGTATCTTATTGTGGTTTTTTGATTTGAATTTCTCTGATGGCCAGTGATGATGAGCATTTTTTCATGTATTTTTTGGCTACATAAATGTCTTCTTTTGAGAAGTGTCTGTTCATATTCTATGCCCACTTTTTGATGGGGTTGTTTGTTTTTTTCTTGTAAATTTGTTTGAGTTCATTGTAGGTTCTGGATATTAGCCTTTTGTAAGATGAATAGATTGAAAAAATTTTCTCCCATTCTGTAGGTTGCCTGTTCATTCTGATGGTAGTTTCTTTTGCTGTGCAGAAGCTCTTTAGTTTAATTAGATCCGATTTGTCAATTTTGGCTTTTGTTGCCATTGCTTTTTGTGTTTCAGACATGAAGTCCTTGCCCATACCTATGTCCTAAATGGTATTGCCTAGGTTTTCTCCTAGGGTTTTTATGGTTTTGGTCTAATTTTTAAGTCTTTAATCCATCTTGAATTAATTTTTATATAAGGTGTAAGGAAGGGATCCAGTTTCCGCTTTCTACATATGGTTAGCCAGTTTTCCCAGCACCATTTATTAAATAGGGAATCCTTTCCCTATTGCTTCAACTTTGATGAATCTGACAATTGTGTCTTGGAGTTGCTCTTCTCAAGGAGTATCTCTGTGATGTTCTCTGTATTTCCTGAATTTGAATGTTGGCCTGTCTTGCTAGATTGGGGAAGTTCTCCTGGATGATATCCTGCAGATTGTTTTCCATCTTGGTTCCATTCTCCCCATCACTTTCAGGTAGATGTAGATTTGGTCTTTTCACATAGTCCCATTTTCATGGAGGCTTTGTTTATTTCTTTTTATTCTTTTTTCTCTAAACTTCTCTTCTGGCTTCATTTCATTCATTTCATCTTCCATTGCTGATATCCTTTCTTCCAGTTGGTCTCATCAGCTACTGAGGCTTGTGCATTTGTCACATAGTTCTCATGCCATGGTTTTCAGCTCCATCAGGTCCTTTAAGGACTTCTCTGCATTGCTTATTCTAGTTAGCCATTCATCTAATTTTTTTCCAAGGTTTTTAACTTCTTTGCCATTGGTTCATACTTCCTCCTTTAGCTTGCAGTAGTTTGATCTTCTGAAGCCTTCTTCTCTCAACTCGTCAAGTCATTGTCCATCCAGCTTTGTTCCATTGCTGGTGAGGAGCTGCATTCCTTTGGAGGAGGAGAGGTGCTCTGATTTTTGTCAGGTTTGTCAAAGATCAGATAGTTGTAGATATGTGGCATTATTTCTGAGGGCTCTGTTCTGTTCCATTGGTGTATATCTCTGTTTTGGTAGCAGTACCATGATGTTTTGATTACTGTAGACGTGTAGTATAGTTTGAAGTCAGGTAGTGTGATGCCTCCAGCTTTGTTCTTTTGGCTTAGGATTGACTTGGCAATGCAGGCTCTTTTTTGGTTCCATATGAACTTTAAAGTACGTTTTTCCAATTCTGTGAAGAAAGTCATTGGTAGCTTGATGGGGATGGCATTGAATCTATAAATAACCTTGGGCAATGTGGCCATTTTCCTGATATTGATTCTTCCTACCCATGAGCATGGAATGTTCTTCCATTTGTTTGTATCCTCTTTTACTTCATTGCGCAGTGGTTTGTTGTTCTCCTTGAAGAGGTCCTTCACATCCCTTGTAAGTTGGATTCCTAGGTATTTTATTCTCTTTGAAGCAATTGTGAATGGGAGTTCACTCATGATTTGTCTCTGTTTGTCTGTTATTGGTGTATAACAATGTTTGTGATTTTTGCACATTGATTTTGTATCCTGAGACTTTGCTGAAGTTGCTTATCAGCTTAAGGAGATATTGGGCTGAGACGATGGGGCTTTCTAGATATACAGTCATGTCATCTGCCAACAGGGACAATTTGAATTCCTCTTTTCCTAATTGAATACCCTTTAATTCCTTCTCCTGCCTGATTGCCCTGGCCAGAACTTCCAACACTATGATGAATAGGAGTGGTGAGAGAGGCATCCCTGTCTTGTGCCAGTTTTCAAAGGGAATGCTTCCAGTTTTTGCCCATTCAGTATGATATTGGCTGTGGGTTTGTCATAGACAGCTCTTATTATTTTGAGATACATCCCATCAATACCTAATTCATTGACAGTTTTTAGCATGAAGCATTGTTGAATTTTGTCAAAGAACTTTTCTGCATCTGTTGAGATAATCATGTAGTTTTTGTCTGTAGTTCTGTTTATATGCTGGATTACATTTATTGATTTTCATATGTTGAACCAGCCTTGCATCCCAGGGATGAAGCCCACTTGATCATGGTGGACAGCTCTTTGATGTTGCTGGATTTGGTTTGCCAGTATTTTATTGAGGATTTTTGCATCAATGTTGATCAAGGATATTGGTCTAAAATTATCTTTTTTTGTTGTGTCTTTGCCAGGCTTTGGTATCAGGATGATGCTGGCTTCATAAAATGTGTTAGGGAGGATTCCCTCTTTTTCTATTGATTGGAATCATTTCAGAATGAATGGTAGCAGCTCCTCCTAGTACCTCTGGTAGAATTCAGCTGGGAATCCATCTGGTTCTGGACTTTTTTTGGTTGGTAAGCTAGTAATTATTACCTCAATTTCAGAGCCTGTTATTGTTCTATTCAGGGATTCAACTTCTTTCTGGTTTAGTCTTGGGAGGGTGTATGTGTTGAGGAATTTATCCATTTCTTCTAGATTTTCTATTTTATTTGCATAGAGGTGTTTATAGTATTCTCTGATGGTAGTTTGTATTTCTCTGGTATTGGTGGTGATATCCCCTTTATCGTCTTTATTGCATCTATTTGATTCTTCTCTCTTTTCTTCTTTATTAATCTTCCTAGTGGTCTATCAATTTTGTTGATCTTTTCAAAAAACCAGCTCCTGGATTCATTGATTTTTTGAAGAGATTTTTGTGTCTCTATTTCTTCAGTTCTGCTCTGGTCTTAGTTATTTCTTGCCTTCTGCTAGCTTTTGAATGTGCTTGCTCTTGCTTCTCTAGTTCTTTTAATTGTGATGTTAGGGTGTCAATTTTAGATCTTTCCTGCTTTCTCTTGTGGGCATTTAGTGCTGTGAATTTCCCTCACACACTGCTTTGAATGTGTCCCGGAGATTCTGGTATGTTGTGTCTTTGTTCTCATTGGTTTCAAAGAACATCTTTATTTCTGCCTTCATTTCGTTATGTACCCAGTAGTCATTCAGGAGCAGGTTGTTCAGTTTCCATGTAGTTGACCGGTTTTGAGTGAGTTTCTTAATCCTGAGTTCTAGTTTGTTTACACTGTGGTCTGAGAGACAGTTTGTTACAATTCCTATTCTTTTACATTTGCTGAGGAGTGCTTTACTTCCAACTATGTGGTCAATTTTGTAATAGGTGTGGTGTGATGCTGAAAAGAATCTTTATTCTGCTGATTTGGGGTGGAGAGTTCTGTAGATGTCTATTAGGTCTGCTTGGTGCAGAGCTGAGTTCAATTCCTGAATATCATTGTTAACTTTCTGTCTCATTGATCTGTCTAATGTTGACAGTGGGGTGTTAAAGTCTCCCATTATTATTGTGTGGGATTGTAAGTCTCTTTGTAGGTCACTAAGGACTTGCTTTATGAATCTGGGTGCTCCTGTATTGGGTGCATATGTATTTAGATACTTAGCTCTTCTTGTTGAATTGATCCCTTTATCATTATGTAATGGCCTTCTTTGTCTCGTTTGATCTTTGCTGGTTTAAAGTCTGTTTTATCAGAGACTAGGATTGCAACCCCTGCCTTTTTTTTGTTTTCCATTTGCTTGTTAGATCTTCCTCCATCCTTTTATTTTGAGCCTATGTGTGTCTCTGCACTTGAGATGGATTTCCTGAATACAGCACACTGATGCGTCTTGACTCTTTATCCAGTTTGCCAGTCTGAGTCTTTTAATTGGAGCATTTAGTCCATTTACATTTAAAGTTAATATTGGTATGTGTGAATTTGATCCTGTCATTATGATGTTAGCTGGCTATTTTGCTCGTTAGTTGATGCAGTTTCTCCTAGTCTTGATGGTCTTTATATTGTGGCATGATTTTGCAGCGGCTGATACCGGTTGTTCCTTTCCATGTTTAGCGCTTCCTTCAAGAGCTCTTTTAGGGCAGGCCTGGTGGGACAAAATCTCTCAGCATTTGCTTGTCTGTAAAGTATTTTATTTCTCCTTCACATATGAAGCTTAGTTTGGCTGGATATGAAATTCTGGGTTGAAAATTCTTTTCTTTAAGAATGTTGAATATTGGCCCCCACTCTCTTCTGGCTTGTAGGGTTTCTGCCGAGAGATCTGCTGTTAGTCTGATGGGCTTCCCTTTGAGGGTAACCTGACCTTTCTCTCTGCCTGCCCGTAACGTTTTTTCCTTCATTTCAACTTTGGTTAATCTGACAATTATGTGTCTTGGAGTTGCTCTTCTCGAGGAGTATCTTTGTGGCATTCTCTGTATTTCCTGAATCTGAACATTGGCCTGCCTTGCTAGAGTGAGGAAGTTCTCCTGGATAATATCCTGCAGAGTGTTTTCCAACTTGGTTCCATTCTCCCCATCACTTTCAGGTACACCAATCAGATGTAGATTTGTTCTTTTCACATAGTCCCATATTTCTTGGAGGCTTTGCTCGTTTCTTTTTATTCTTTTTCCTCTAAACTTCCCTTCTCACTTCATTTCATTCATTTCGTCTTCCACCACTGATACCCTTTCTTCCAGTTGATCGCATTGCCTCCTGAGGCTTCTGAATTCTTCACGTAGTTCTCGAGCATTGGTTTTCAGCTCCATCAGCTCCTTTAAGCACTTCTCTGGATTGGTTATTCTAGTTATACATTCTTCTAAATTTTTTTCAAAGTTTTCAACTTCTTTGCCTTTGGTTTGAATGTCCTCCCATAGCTCAGAGTAATTTGATCATCTGAAGCCTTCTCACAGCTCGTCAAAGTCATTCTCCATCCAGCTTTGTTCCATTGCTGGTGAGGAACTGAGTTCCTTGGAGGAGGAGAGGCACTCTGCGTTTTAGAGTTTCCAGTTTTTCTGTTCTGTTTTTTCCCCATCTTTGTGGTTTTATCTACTTTTGGTCTTTGATGATGGTGATGTACAGATGGGTTTTTGCTGTGGATGTCCCTTCTGTTTGTTCGTTTTCCTTCTAACAGACAGGACCCTCAGCTGCAGGTCTGTTGGAATACCCTGCCGTGTGAGGTGTCAGTGTGCCCCTGCTTGGGGTGCCTCCCAGTTAGGCTGCTCGGGGGTCAGGGGTCAGGGACCCACCTGAGGAGGCAGTCCGCCCATTCTCAGATCTCCAGCTGCCTGCTGGGAGAACCACTGCTCTCTTCAAATCTGTCAGACAGGGACATTTAAGTCTGCAGAGGTTACTGCTGTCTTTTTGTTTGTCTGTGCCCTGCCCCCAGAGCTGGAGCCTACAGAGGCAGGTAGGCCTCCTTGAGCTGTGGTGGGCTCCAACCAGTTGGAGCTTCCTGGCTGCTTTGTTTATGTAAGCAAGCCTGGGCAATGGTGGCCGCCCCTCCCCCAGCCTCGCTGCCACCTTGCAGTTTGATCTCAGACTGCTGTGCTAGCAATCTGCGAGACTCCGTGGGCGAAGGACCCTCCGAGCCAGGTACAGGATATAATCTCGTGGTTCACCATTTTTTAAGCCGGTCCGAAAAGCACAGTATTTGGGTGGGAGTGACCCGATTTTCCAGGTGCGTCCGTCACCCTTTTCTTTGACTCGGAAAGGGAACTCCTTGACCCCTTGAGCTTCCCAAGTGAGGCAATGCCTCGCCCTGCTTCGGCTCGCACACGGTGCACGCACCCACTGACCTGTGCCCACTGTCTGGCACTCCCTAGTGATATGAACCCGGTACCTCAGATGGAAATGCAGAAATCACCTGTCTTCTGCGTCGCTCACGCTGGGAGCTGTAGACCAGAGCTGTTCCTATTCAGCCATCTTGGCTCCTCCAACTGTACTCCTTTCTTAAAGCATAAAAAAATTCTACTCAAAATGAATTAAAGACTTAAAAGTAAAACCCAAAATTTCAAAAAACCAAAAACCCTGGAAGATAACCTAGAAGATAATCATTCTAAACATAGGATCTGATGAAATTGGAAATCATTATTCTCAGTAAACTATCGCAAGAACAAAAAACCAAACACAGCATACTCTCACTCATAGGTGGGAATTGAACAATGAGAACACGTGGACACAGGAAGGGGAACATCACACTCTGGGGACTGTTGTGGGGTGGGGGGATGGGGAGGGATAGCATTGGGAGATATACCTAATGCTAGATGACGAGTTAGTGGGTGCAGCGCACCAGCATGGCACATGTATACATATGTAACTAACCTGCACATTGTGCACATGTACCCTAAAACTTAGAGTATAATAATAATAAAATAATAATAAAATAAAATAAAATAAAATAAAACATAGGATCTGGCTAATATTTCCTGATGAAGACTCCAAAAGCAATGGCAAGAAAGAAGTAAATTGACAAGTGACACCCAATTAAAAAGCTTCTGCACAGCAGAATGAACTATCCAAGGTAGATAGAAAACCTACAGAATGGGAGAAAATATTTGCAGTTCAATATTCCATAAGGAACTTAAATTTACAAGAAATAACAACCCCATTGAAAAGTGAGCAAAGGACATAGAGATACTTTTTAAAGGAAGACATACATGCACCCAACAAGTATATAATATTTCTTTTTTTTTTTTTTGAGACGGAGTCTCGCTCTGTCGCCCAGGCTGGAGTGCAGTGGCGCGATCTCGGCTCACTGCAAGCTCCACCTCCCGGGTTCACGCCATTCTCCTGCCTCAGCCTCCCGCGTAGCTGGGACTACAGGCGCCCGCGACCACGCCTGGCTAATTTTTTGTATTTTTAGTAGAGACAGGGTTTCACCGTGTTAGCCAGGATGGTCTCAATCTCCTGACCTCGTGATCCGCCCGCCTCGGCCTCCCAAAGTGCTGGGATTACAGGCGTGAGCCACCGTGCCTGGCCATAAAATTTCTTAATATTACTAAGAATTAGACTAACACAAATCAAAACCAAAATGAGATACCATTTCACACAAGTCAACTCTGACTTTTTTTTTTTTCCCCGAGATGGAGTTTCACTTTCGTTCCCCAGGCTGGAGTGCAAGGGCAAGATCTCTGCTCACTGCAACCTCTGCCTCCCGGGTTCAAGCAATTCTCCTGCCTCAGCCTCCCGAATAGTGGGATTATAGGTATGAACCACCATGCCTGGCTAATTTTGTATTTTTAGTACAGACGTGGTTTCTCCATATTGGTGAGTCTGGTCTCGAACTCCTGACCTCAGTTGATCTGCCCTCCTGGCCTCCCAAAATGCTAGGATTACAGGCATGAGCCACCGCACCCAGCCCTCATCTGACTTTTATGATTACAAAGTAAAAGAAAAAATAACAGATGCTGGTGAGGTTCTGGAGAAAAGCGTATGCTTATACACTGCTGGGGGGAATGTAAATTAGTTCAGCTATTGTGGAAAGCAGTTTAACAAGTTCTGGAAGAATTTAAAACAGAAATACCAGGCTGGGCGCGGTGGCTCAGGCCTGTAATCCCAGCGCTTTGGGAGGCCGAGGCGGGCGGATCACGAGGTCAGGAGATTGAGACCATCCTGGCTAACACAGTGAAACCCTGTCTCTACTAAAAATACAAAAAATTAGCCAGGCGTGGTCGCGGGCGCCTGTAGTCCCAGCTACGCTGGAGGCTGAGGCAATAGAATGGCATGAACCCGGGAGGCGGAGCTTGCAGTGAGCCGAGATTGCGCCACTGCATTCCAGCCTGTGCAACTGAGCCAGACTCTGTCTCAAAAAACAAACAAGAAAAGAAATACCATTTCACCCATCAATCCCATTATTAGGTAGATACCTAGAGAACTATAAATCATTCTAACATAAAGACACACACACACACTCAACACACACACACATTTATTTCAGAAAAGTTTACAATAGCAAAGACATGGAATTAACCTAAATGACCATCAATGACAGAAGGGATATTTATTTTATATTTTTTATTTTTATTTTTTTGAGACAGAGTCTTGCTCTGTAGCCCAGGCTGGAGTGCGGTGGCGCAATCTCGGCTCACTGCAAGCACCGCCACCCAGGTTCACGCCATTCTCCTGCCTCAGCCCCCCGAGTAGCTGGGGCTACAGGCACCCACCACCACTCCCAGCTAAGTTTTTGTATTTTTTGGTAGAGACGGGGTTTCACTGTGTTAGCCAGGATGGTCTTGATCTCCTGACCTACTAATCCACCCGCCTTGGCCTCCCAAAGTGCTGGGATTACAGGCCTGAGCCACCATGCCCCGCCGGCAGAAGGAATTTTTAAAATGTGATACACATGCACCATGGAATACTATGCTGCCATAAAAGAACATTAATGTCCTCTGCAGCAACATGGATGGCCATTATTCAAAGGAAACCAATGCAGGAACAGAAAACCAAACATTGCATGTTGTTATTTATAAGTGGAAGCTAAACACTGAGTATATATGGACATAAAGAAAGAAACAACAGCCACCTGGACTTACTTGATGGTTAAGTTTGGGAAATAAGATGAAGATGAAACACTACCTATTGAGCACTATGCATTTTACCTGGGTGACAAAATAATATGCCGACCAAGTTCCTGTGAAATGCAATTTACCTATATAACTAACCTGCACATGGGTTCTTGAACCTAAAATAGAAGTTAAAAAAGGAAACTAATTACAGAAAAATGTAGACAGAATTCTTTGGGATTCAGCAAGATAAAAGTTGATTTCGGGCATATTTCTGAAAAAGCAGATGCATCAATTCCATTTTGTCATAAAAAATTTAGTTTTCTTTTCACTCAGTGTTTGTAACTCAAATTTAAAGTTCATCTTTTTTAGGTAGAGCATTGTTTTAGTAAATCTTTTTTGATAATAACTGAAGCAGGCAAAAAAGTTTTATTATTCAATAAAATAAACAAATCAGAAAATTTTTTAAAGTTTGAAGAAACATATCGGAATTTCTTCTCAACCTAAAATGTTTTTTTTTTTCCTTTTAATGAGTATATCTTCCTCATTGAAATTTTTGTTGTACAAATGTTTAATATGATTTCAGAATACCTTTTTTAACCACATATTTCTGACCGGCTTAGAAGGTGATAGTGTTTGTGATGAAAATAGATTATGTGCAATATTCACAAAAGTACCTTTTAAGATAGTTGTATGAGCTCCTAGGGAAAATTTGATTTTTACTGCCCTATAATATACATTTGTCTTCAGCAGACACTTTTATGATTGTGACATACACCTGGTTTCACTTTAGTCATATTCCTTCTAAGGGAATAGCTAAGTATATTGTAAAGACAAAGGTAGCACGCTTGTCTAATATTAACTTGGAAACAATATAGTTAAGCTATTTGCTGTTTATATATGAATAAATGTTTGTAGAATCATGTTGTTTCCCAAATTCTTAGCAAAATGATGACAACCAGATTTAATATTATCTTAAAATGCATTTAATAAATGTGATTTACCTATAGAAGTATAAATGCTTTTAAATATATGATGGCATATCCATCAGTTGTCAGTGTAATATTCATGTTCTCTCATGGAAAAGGCAGGTGATATGAAAGAAATATGATCACATGAAAACACTTCTAGTATCTCCAGAAATTAAATGAGAACTAATTTTTTGTTAGTAAGTAAGCAGGAAGTTTCTTAAAATCTTTCAAAGTTTAGTTTTGTGTATCATAAACTGGTCTTGCTACCGTACTTTGAACAAATCTAAAGGAAACCATTTGAAAAAATATTTTGAAATAAGATTTTAAAAATGTCTTAAGTATAAAAAGCTCATTATGACATTATCTACAAAGATAGAAGAGATTTTAATGTCCCAAATAAAAAAATCAATTTTGATTAATGGCATATTAATAACCATTCTAAGGTCTAAATAAATAACCCAGAAAACACTACAATAGAAAGAGAAAAAAAGTAAAATGCAAATGAAAAACTATAAGAATAAAACCACATTTATTATTCCATACTCTATTTCCATTTATGTACATTAACTCCCACTTGTATGTGAAAATATGTATATTTGACTATTTCTAGGTTGTTTTGCTTAAGATAATGCCTCTATTCAAAAGGCATTCATGTTATTACAAAAGGCATAACTCCATTCTTTTTATGGCTGAATAGTATTCCATGCATATAGATTATATGTAATATTTACAAAAGTACAAAGAGATGAGCAATTACTCAATGGATATGATGTACATTATTTAGGCGATAATTATACTTAAAGTGCAGACTTAACCACTACATAATATATACATGTAATAAAATTGAATGTATACTCCTTCAATTTACACGAAAAAGAAAACTATATACCTCATGAATATGCATAATTACTATTTTTTCAATTTAAAAATGTTAAATAGGACAGGTACGGTAGCTCATGCCTGTAATTTCAGCACTTTGGTAGGCCAAGGCAGGCAAATCACGAGGTCAGGAGTTCAAGACTAGCATGGCCAACATAGTGAAACCCTGTCTCTACTAAATGTATAAAAATTAGCCAGGCATGGCAGTTGGTGCCTGTAGTCCCAGCTACCTGGGAAGCTGAGGCAGGAGAATCGCTTGAACTTGGGAGGCAGAAGTTGCAGTGAGCCGAGATCGCTCCATTGCACTTCAGTGTGGGAAACAGAGTGAGACTGTTTCAAAAATAAAAGAAAGTTAAATGTGTATATGTACTTTTTATTTTTAAAATTATAACTCCACATTTTAATAACTGCCTTGCACAGAAAACATAATGATCGACCCATCTTCCCAAAGCTAAAATAGATTGAGCTGGGTAATCTTCATTTGATTGTAAGTATTGGGAAATAACAGAAAAATAAATGAGGATCAAAAGTTAGAGTGGGACTAGTAAGTGTTAAGCTAACTCTCAATTATAAACTGAAGCATGAAAACTTTAATGCTCAGGCAATGAGAGGACAGTAAAGAAAGAAAAGTGTATGATGTTCATACTGTTAGCCCTACAATTAATAAGAAAGCAGGACATATGAAAGGATACAGATTTAAAAATATTACAGAGTATATGATTAAGAAATTAACCTTAGTAACATGGTTTAGATTATTAATTTAAATTTAAGTATTCAGATATTTGGTTAGTATATCTAAACTAATAGCAATGAAAGGAGCAAGTTAACCAAGATATTGTACAGAAACAACTCACAGTATTGATGACAATCTAGGTGAGAAAATACAGATTATTTATATATATACATATATGTATGATAGAAAAAATTAAAGTTTTACTGATGTAGTTGAAAATAATGTAAAAGTATATTTTGTACAGATACATGGAAGAGTCACTTTTTAAAACTTTTAGATTAAGTTCTGGTGTAAATGTGCTGGTTTGTCATATAGGTAAACTTGTGTCACGGGGGTTTGTTGTACAGATTATTTTGTCACCAGGGTAGTAACCCTAGCACCAGTTAGTTATTTTTCTTGATCCTCTTTCTTCTTTCACTTTTCATTCTCTGGTAGGCTCCAGCGTCTGTTGTTTTTTTCTTTGTGCCCGTGTTTTCTCACTATTTAGCTTCAACTTCTAAGTGGAGAAGATGTGGTATTTGGTTTTCTTTTTTTACATTAGTTTGCTAAGAATGATGACCTTCAGCTCCATCCATGCTTCTGCAAACACATGGTCTCATTCTTTTTTATAGCTGTGTAGTACTCCATAGTGTATATGTGTCATATTTTCTTTATCTGGTCTACCATTGATGGGCATTTAATTTGATTCCATGTTTTTGCCATTGTGAGCAGTGCTGCAATAAACATTCACATACATGTCTCTTTATAATAAAACAATGTATATTCCTTTAGTTATATGCCTAGTGGAATTACTGGGTCAAATGATAGCTCTGTTTTAAGCTCCTTGAGGAATTTCAACACTGCTTTCTGTAATGATTGAACTAATGTACAGTCTCACCAACAGTGCATAAGTGTTCTGTTTGCTAGCATTTATTTTTTTACTTTTTACTAATAGCCATGCTGACTGGTGTGAGATGGTACCACATTGTGGTTTATACTTGCATTTCTCGAATGATCAGTAATAAATTTTTTTGAAATATGATTTTTGGCCACTTGTATATCTTCCTTAGAAAAGTACATTTTCTTGTCCTTTGCCCACTTTTTAATGTAGTTGTTTCTTTCTTGTACATCTGTTAATGTTCCTAATAGATGATTAATATTAAACATTTGTCTGATGCATAGTTTGCAGAAATTATCTCCCACTGCAGAGGTTGTCTGTTTACACTGCTGATAGTTTCTTATGTGTTGCAAAAGCTCTTTTGTTTAATTATATTTCATTTATCAATTTTTGATTTTGTTGCAATTCCAACACCATTTTTTGAATAGGGAGTCATTTCCCCATTGTTTTTTTTTTTTTTTTTTTTTGTCACCGTTGTCAAAGATCAGATGGTTGCAGGTGTCCAGCCTCATTTGTGGGCTCTCTATTCTGTTTCATTTGGTTTATGTGTCTATGTTTGTACCGGTACTATGCTGTTCTGGTTATTGTCGCATTGTTGTGTAGTTTGAAGTTGGGTAGCATGATGCCTCCAGCTTTGTTATTTTTGCTTGGGATTGTCTTGGCTATTTGGGATCTCTTTTGGTTCTATGTGAATTTAAAAATAGTTACTTTTAGTTCTGTGAAGAATTTCATTGGTAGTTTGATAAAAATAGAATTGAGTCCTTAAATTTATTTGGGATGTATTGTTAAAATATTAACAATATTGGGCCAGGCATGGTGGCTCACACCTGTAATCCCAGCACTTTGAGAGGCTGAGGTGGGTGGATCAAGAGGTCAGGAATTCAAGATCAACCTGGCCAACAGGGCGAAACCCCATCTCCACTAAAAATACAAAAATTAGCCAGGCATGGTGGCATGCACCTGTAGTCCCAGCTACTTGGATGCTGAGGCAGAGAATGCTTGAACCTGGGAGGTGGAGGTTGCAGTGAGCCAAAATGGTGCCACTGCACTCCAGCCTGGGTGAAAGAACAATACTCTGTCTCAAAAAAAAAAAAAAAAAATAATTAACCATATTGATTTTTCCTATCCATGAGCATAACATTTTTTTGTTTGTGTCTTCTCTGATTTCTTTGAACAGTGCTTTATAATTTTTATTGCAGAAATCTCTCACCTTTCTTGTAATTATTCCCTGTATTTCTAGGGTTTTTTTTTCTTTTTTGTGGTGATTGTGAATGGGATAGTAGTTCTGATTTGCCTGTTAGGTAGACTGTTGTTGATGAATGGGAATGCTAGTTATCTTTGTTCATTGCTGTTGTACCCTGAGACTTTGCTACAGTTATCAATATTTAGGGAGCTTTTGGACTGAGACTGTAGAGTTTTCTATATATAGAATCATGTCATCAGCAAACAGGAATAGTTTGACTTCGTCGCTTCCTATTTGGATGTCCTTTATATTTTGTCTTGCTGATTGCACTAACCAAGACTTTGATTACTGTGTTGAATAGGAGTGGCTTTGTTATAGTTTCAGTAGGATTGGTGGCAGTTCTTTTTTGAATGTCTGATAGAATTCAGCTGTGAATCTGTCTGCTCCTGGATATTTTACTGGCAACTTTAAAATTACTGTTTCAATCTTATTACTTCTTATTACTTAGTCAGTATAGAGTTTCTGTTTCTTCCTAGCTTAATCTGGGAGGGTTGTACTAATAGATGTTCATGTAGATCTGGTGTGGATCTGAAAGAAAACGAATTTACACTGCTGGTGGAAATGTAAACTAGTACAGCCACTATGAGAAACAGTAAAAGATTCCCTAAAGAACTAAAACTTGAACTACCATTTGATCCAACAATCCCACTACTGGGTATCTAGGCATAGGACAATAAGTCATTATATTAAAAAGACTCTTGGACATCCATGTTTATAGCAGCACAATTTACAATTGCAATAATATGGAACCTGCCTAAATGCCCATCAACCGATGAGTGAATAAAGAAAATGTGGGATATATATATATATATATATATATATATATATATATATATATTTAAACACACACACACATATATATGTATTTATATACACACACACACATATCATGGGATACTACACCTCCACTAAAAGGGATAAAATAAAGACATTCACAGCAACCTGGATGGAGTTGGATATTTTTATTATAACTCAGTAACGGAAAACAAAACATCCTGTGTTCTCACTTATAAGTGGGACTATGCTATGGGGGTGCAAAGGCAGAAGAAGGTTATAATGAACTCTGGGGGCTTGTGGGAAAAGTTGGGAGGCAGTGAGGGTTAAAATACTACACACTGGGTCTAATATACACTTCTGGGGTCATGGGTGCACCAAAATCTCAGAAATCACCTTTTAGAAACTATTAATGTAACTAAATACCACCTGTTCCCCCCAAAACTACTGCAATGATTAAAAAAAGATAATAAAATACCCAGGCGCTTCTAAAAAATGTCTTTTATAATATCTTGCAATTTTTTTTCAACATGGGAGTCAAATATGCTTAGGAAATAATAATATATAAGAAAAAGATATACAAATAGCAAAATGATGTTTGATAAAAATGCTTATCACTAATCATCATGGAAATGCAACTTACAATTACAATAATATATACTTACCAGTTAGAATGGCTTTTATTTTAAAAACACACAGAAGTTAGGCTGTGCACTGAGGCTTACTCCTGTAATCCTAGCACTTTGGGAGGCTGAGATGGGTGGATCACCTGAGGTCAGGAGTTCAAGATGAGCCTGGCTAACATGGTGAAACTTCTCTCTACCAAAAATATGAAAATTAGCTGGGCATGGTGGCATACACATATAATCTCAGCTAGTTGGGAGGCTGAGGCAGGAGAATTGCTTGAACACAAAAGGCAAACATTGCAGTAGCTGAGATCACACCACTGCACTCCAGCTTGGGTGACAGAGGGAGACCCTGCCACAGAAATAAATAAATAAATAAATAAAAATTAAAAATTAAAACACAGAAATTAACAAGCATTGGTGAGAGTATGAAGAAATGGGAACCCCATATGCTGTTGGTGGGAATGTGCACCAATAGACACATTAAGAAAAACAATAAAGTTTCCTTAGAAAACTAAAAATGGAACTATCCCACTTCCAGATATGTATCCAAAAGAACTAAAAAGGGTACGCTGAAGAGATATCTGTACTCTCATGTTCATTGCAACATTATTCACAATGGCTAAGACATGAAAGCAAACTAGTTGTTAATCATCAGATAAACACAAAGAAAATCTGATATATATACACAATGAAATATGATTCAACCTTTAAAAATAATGAAATACTGTATTTTGAGATGATAGGGATCAACTCAAAGGACATTATACTTAGTAAAATAAGCCAGACACAAGAGACAAATACCACATGATTGCAATTACATGTGGAAACCTAAAAGTCAAACTCATAGAAATAAAGAGTAGAATGGTAATTATGACAAGATAGAATGGAGAAATTAAAAAAGCTGGTTACACATGCATAATTATAGATAGGAGTATTGTGATTTAGTAATCTATTGTACAAATAGTAACTAAAATAATAATGAATTTCATATTTCAAAATGACTGAAAGCATAAATCTTAAATGTTTTCACCAAAATATAAGCATTTAAACTAACAAATCTGTTAATTAGCTTGATTTAACAATTAACTCTACAGTGTAAGCATATATCAATACATCGTATTATAAATGTATAATATATACACATTTTTTATTTGTAATTGCATAAATTGTAATTAATAGTTTTTAAAAATAAAATAAATTCTCATGATAGAGTAAAATAAGAAATAATATAACATGCAAAATCAAAGACATTATAATTTCAACAGTGGGTTTAATATTTCAGAAAATTAATTCAAATATTTTGATTAAACAATACTAACAAACATTTTAATTTTAAAACTTTATGTAACACAACACAGTCACATTTTAGGATAAGACTTATAGTTCTGAAATAACCTTACTGTTGCATAAAAAGTTTCTTCTGTTTGCCTAAAAAGAAACAATAAGTCTTTAATAAAGTAAAAGCAATTGTATGTCCATGTCTGAAAGTGCTATAATAAGATTTTCTTTTAATTGTATAAGGCAAACTAACTTCCCTTTGATGACAGAGATTATTTTTCTTTTTCTCTTATTTTATATCTTTATTTATGTTGTAATTTTTTATTGATGCATAGTAATTGTATCTATAGGGTACATGCAACATTTTGATACATGAATAAAATAAGTAATGATCATGGTACGGTATTTAGAATATCCACCACATCAAATATTTATCATTTAATTGTGTTGAAAATATTTTAAATCCTTTTTTCTAGCTACTAAAAAATATGCAATATGTTGTTATTAACTATAGTCACCCTATACTGTTATCAAACATTAGAGTTTATTCCTTCTACATAACTATATGTTAGTACCCATTAACCCACCTCTGTTTACCAGCCCCACCTTCACACACTTCTTCCAGCCTCTGGTAATGATCACTATTCTCTCTAGTTTTATGAGATCAATTGTTTTAGCACCAATATATGGGGGAGAACATTTAATATTTGTCTCTCTGTGCCTGGCTTAGTTCACTTCACATAATGACCTCCAATTCCACTTTTGTTGCTTGATGCCTAAGTTGATGTCATATCTACACTGTTGTGAGTAATTCCACAAAAACATGCAAGCACAGGTATTTATCTGATGTATTGACTTCTTTTGGGTAGATGTCTAGCAATAAAATACTTGAATGGTAATTCTATTTTTATTTTTTGAGGAATCTTTATATTGTTTTCCACAGTGGCTGTATTAAATTTCCACCAACGGTATTTAAGAGTTCCCCTTTCTCTCATCTTCAACAAGATTTTTTGTTTTTTGTCGTTGTAATAAAACCATTCTGATTGGGGTAAGGTGATAGCTAATTGTGGTTTATTATTTTGCATTTCCATGATGATTAATAATGTTGACCATTTTTCATGTATCTGTTGGCCATTTCTACATTTTCTCTTTATAAATGTTTATTTACATATTTTCCCTTGATTTTAATGGGATTATTTATGTTAACATATATATGTTCTTTGTATATTTTGGATGTTTAGTAACCTATGACATGAATAGGATAAAAACATTTTCTCTCATTTAACAGTAAGTTTTTTCACTCAGTTGATTAGTTCTTTTGCTGTGCAGAGCTTTTTAATTTAAGTCCAATTTGTCAATTTTTGTTTTTCTCTCCTGTGCTTTTGAGGTCTTAGTCAAAAATTCCTTCTGTAAGCCAACATCTTAAAACATACGTCTAGGTTTTCTTTTAGTGTTTTAATGTTTCAGGTCTCACATTCCTAAATATTTCATATATCTTAAGTTGATTTTTGTATACTGTGAGAGAGAAGAGGCATATGTATTTTTCTGCATGTGGCTATACGATATTCCAACATTTACTATGAGGATTTTTTTTTCCTGAGTGTAAATTCTTATCAGTTATGTCAAAGATCATTTACATACAAATATATTTTGCAGTTACTTATAGCTGGATTCCCTATTACAGTGCTCTATGTGTCTACTTTTATACCACTAACTGTTTTGGTTGGTACAGATTTGTAATACATTTTGAGGTCAAGTAGTATAATGCCTTTAGCTTTGCTCTATTTGCTCAAAATTGGTTTGTCTATATGTCCTCTTTTGGAGTTTTATAAGAATTTCAGGATTAAAAAAATTCATGAAGAATGATGTTGGGATATTCCTAAGGCTGCACTAAATATTTAGCTTCTTTTGGGCAATGTGATCATCTTAATGATATCTCTTTTAGTCCATAAGCATGGGATATTTTCCCAGATGTTTGTGTTATGTAAAATTTGTTTCAACAGTTTTTTTATTTGTAATTTCCCTTGTAGTAATTGCTTACATCCTCCATTAAATTTAGTCCTAGATAGTTTAATATTTTGCGGCTATTATAAATGAGATTGACTTCTTCATTTCTTTCTCAGCTAGATGACTATTGCTGTATGAAAATGCCACTAATTTTTGCAAGCTGTTGTAACCTATAATTTTGCTGAAATTACATATCAAATATAATTTTTTTTTTGGTGGAGTCTTTAGGTGTTTCTGCATTTAAGATCGTGTTCTCAGAGAAGAGGTACAGTTTGACTTTCTAATTTCTAATTTGGATACTTTTTCTTTCCTTCTTTAGCCTGGTGGCTCTGGCTAATACTCCCGGTGTTATGATGAATAAGAGTGATGAACATGGGTGTCTTTGTATTGTTCAATTTTGAAGGGAAAGGACTTTTAATTTTTTTCCGTTCAGTGTGATGTCAACTGCGGGTTTATCATATATACCCTTTATTGTTTGAGATATGTTCCTTCTATGACCGCATTGTTGCATTTTTTTTATGATGAAGGGATGCTAAATTTTACCAAATGCTTTTCTTGTATATATTGAGATGACTATATTATTTTGGTCCTTTATTCTGTTGATGTGATATATCATGCTTACAGATTTACACATGTTGAACCAGGCCTGCACCTCGGCTGTAAATTCCACTTGGTCTTCATGCAATGTATTTTCGATGTGCTGCTGGATTCTGATTGGTGGTAATTTGTTGAGAATTTGTGTGTCTGTTTTCAGCAGTGATACTAGACTGAAGTTTTTGTTGCTATTATTGTTGTTTTGTTTTTGTTTGATTTGGGCATCAGGGTGATCCTGGCCTTCTAGAATGAATTGAGAAGAATTTTCTATTTTATCCTTCTTTTGAATAGTTTTGGAAGAATTGATATTAGTTCTGTGTGAATGTGGCAGAATTTGGCTAACAATCTGTCCAATTTTTGGCTTTTTGTTGGAGGACTTTTTATTACTGATTCAATCTTGCTACTCATTATTGGTCGGTTCAGGTTTTCCATTTGTTATTGATTCAGTCTGTATAATTGCATGATTTCAGAAATTTGTTCATGTCCTGTAATTTTTCCAGTTCATTTGTGTATGTTTGTTCATAATAGTCTCATGATCCTTTGGTATTATTATTACATCACATGTAATGTCTTTTTTTTATTTTTGATTTTCTTTATTTGGCTTTTCTCTCTCCTCTTGGTTTGTCTAGCTAGCACTTTATCAATTTTGTTTATATTTTCAAAGTACTAACTTTTTGTTTCAATGTTTTTGGTCTCTTTGATTTTAGTTCTGCTAATGTTATTATTATTCCTTTATTCTGATAAATTTTGATTATTTGTGTTCATGCTTTCTAGTTTCTTGAGGGACATTTTTATATTGTTAATTTGTAAAATCTTTTTACTTTCTTGATGTAGGTGTTTATTGGTGTGAACTATCCTTTTAGCTTTTTTTTTTTTTTGCTGTATTGCACACGTTTCATATGTTGCATTTCCACTTTCAATTGTTTAAAGCAATTTTTAAATAAATTTTAAGAATTTTTTCGTTACTTATTGGTCATTCAGGAGAATGTTGCTTAAATTTTATGTACTTATGTAGTATAATTTCCAGAGTTCTGGCAGATATTTCTTTCCAGTTTTATTCTATTACAGTATAATAAAAATATTTGATATGATTTTGACTTTCTAAAATATATGAAGACTTATGAATGCTGATATATGGTCTATCCTGGGAAATGTTTTACATGCTCATTTTAAAAAAGTCTATTCTGCAGTTGTTGAATAGAGTGTTCTGTAAATATCTATTTGGTTTAAAATACAGCCTAACCCAATGTTTCTTTATTGAGTTTTGGTACAAATGAACTGTCTAATGCTGAAGGTGGGGTATTGCAGTCCTCTTAATATTATTATATTACAATATCTCTCTCTTCTTAGACTTAATAATATTTGTTTATGATTCTCAGTACTCTAGTGTTAGATGTGTATATATATATATATATATATATATATATATATATGTGAAATTATTACCACCTCATTTGATTGCTCCCATTATTATAATATAATAACCTACTTGGCATTTTTTTCCTTTTCACTGTTCTTGATTTAAAGTTTGTTTTATCTGATATGGGTACAGGTAGGTACTTCAGTTGATTTTTGGTTTCTATTTACATGGAATATATAAATTTACATCCCTTTATTTTCGGTCTGTATGTGTGATTGCTGGAAAGGTGAGCTTCTTGTAAATGGCATATAAGTGGATCATGATTAGTACATTCATCCAGTAATTCTACATCTTTTAACTGAAGAATGTAGTCCGTTTACATTGAGATTTTTATTACTTGTGAGGTTTATTTCTTGTTATATTAATTATTTTCTGGTGGTTTATACATTTTATTATTTTCTTTTTCTCATATATCTCCCATTATGGTTTACTGATTTCTGTGGTGATATCATTTACATGCTTTCTTTTCTTTCTTTTTGTGAAAACTTTACATGTAAGTTTTATAATTCTGTGTAATTTGATAATGGTAAATGTCTTCCTTTACTTCCATGTTTAGGACTTCCTGGAACGTTTTTTCTAGGTCCAGTCTAGTGGTAACAAATTTCCTCAGAATTTCCTTGTCTGGGAAGACATTATTTCTCCTTCATTTAGAAAGGATAGAATTGCTGGATATTTTATTCTTGACTTACAGTGTTTTTTCCCTAAGCACTATAAATATATCATTTTATTATTTTTGGGGTGAAACATTTCTGCTCAAAAGTCTGCATTAATTCGGTGATTTTTTTTCTTCATACAAATTTATTTGCTTTTCTGTTGCTGTTTTTAAGATTCACTCTTTGAATTTTACTTTAGACAAATTATAATGTGTCACAAGTATAACTTTTTGCATTGTGTTTATCTGGGGATCATTCACCCTCCTATATCTGAATGTTTATATATATATATACGAATATATAAATATTGATAGATGGGAAGATTTTAGCTATTATTTTATTAAATATGTTTTCTAGTTTTAAAATTTTCTATTCACCCTTAATATATTAATAATTTACACATTTAGTTGCTGTATGTTGTCCTAAATGTCATGAAGGCTTTCATTCTTTTTTTTTATTATACTTTAATTTCTGGGGTACATGTGCAGAATGTGCAGGTTTGTTACATAGGTATGTATGTGCCACGGTGGTTTGCTGAACCCATCAACCCGTCACCTACATTAGATATTTCTCCTAATGCTATACCTCCCCTAGCCCTCCACACCTGACAGGCTCCAGTGTGTGATGATCACCTCCCTGTGTCCATGTGTTCTCATTGTTCAATTGCCATTTATGAGTGAGAACATGCAGTGTTTGGTTTTTTGTTCTTGTGTTAGTTTGCTGAGAATGATGGTTTCCAGCTTCATCCATGTCCCAGCAAAGGACATGAACTCATCCTTTTTTATGGCTGAATAGTATTTCATGGTGTATATGTGCCACATTTTCTTTATCCAGTCTATCATTGATGGGCATTTGGATTGGTTCCAAGTCTTTGCTATTGTGAATAGTGCTGCAGTAAACATATGTGTGCCTATGTCTTTATAGTAGAATGATTTATAATCCTTTGGGTGTATACCCAGTATTGGGATTGGTGGTTCAAATGGTATTTCCAGTTTTAGACTCTTGAGGAATCACCACGCTGTCTTCCACAATGGTTGAACTAATTTACACTCACACCAACAGTGTAAAAGTGTTCCTATTTCTCCACATCTTCTCCAGCACCTGTTTCCTGAATTTTTAATGATTGCCATTCTAACTGGTGTGAGATAGTATCTCATTATGGATTTGATTTACATTTCTCTGATGACCAGTGATGATGGGCATTGTTTCCCATGTTTCTTGGCTGAATAAATGTCTTCTTTTGAGAAGTGTCTGTTCATATCCTTTGCCTACTTTTTGATGGGGTTGTTTTATTCTTGTAAATTTGTTTAAGTTCTTTGTAGATTCTGGATATTAGCCCTTTGTCAGATGGATAGATTGCAAAATTTTTCTCCCATTCTGTAGGTTGCCTGTTCACTCTGATGATAGTTTCTCTTGCTGAGCACAAGCTTTTCAGTTTAATTAGATCACATTTTTTTTTTGACTTTTGACATTGTTTATTAGGTTCAAAAATGCTTCACAAAAGCCTAACAATGGTTCTGTGGAAACCAGTACATCTGAGGCCCTTTCTGTTTTTCTGAGCAGGCACTGATTTGAAGATGGGCAGCATTTGCGGAACAATTCCCTCGCAGCTGTCAATGTAAGTGAGCATTCACCACTGGCCTAGAAAGGGCCTGTGAATAAACCGTATGGAAACGCTGGATTGGGCGGGGGGGTGCTGAGGAGCAAACCTTTATTAACCTCTTGGAGGGGAAATGGGTGGAAGCACCAGCCAGCAGAGGAAGGGGCGCTCCTGCCAGATTGCCATGGAGGGAGGTGTCCGCCTGAGGCCTCCTGTCCCGCGGGGTATGAGGATGCTTGGGGAGCATCTCTGGCGCCATGGCAAATGCGCCTCTTTCAACGGGATTTCCGGACGCGCTGCTTTGGATGTCGGGGTGTGCCTGAGCGCCTGCTGGGACTGCCATCATCTTCTCCGGCTCCAGCTCTGTGTTACTCGGGCAGGCGCTCTACAGAGCGCCGGGAGTCTGTCTCCTCCTGCAGAGGCCAATGGCAGTGGAAGGTCTGGCGGCAGAACCAGAATTTTTCTTGGTTCAATTTTGCCTTTTGTTGTCATTGCTTTTGGTGTTTTAGTCATAAAGTTTTTGCCAATGCCTATGTCCTGGATGGTATTGCCTACGTTTTCTTCTAGGGTTTTTGAGTTTTAAAGTCTTATGTTTAAGTCTTTAATCCATTTGAGTTAATTTTTGTATAAGGTGTAAGGAAGGGATCTAGTTTCAGCTTTCTGCATATGACTAGCCAGTTTTCCCAACACCATTTATTAAATAGGGAAGACTTTCTCCATCGCTTGTTTTTGTCAGGTTTGTCAAAGATCAGATGGTTGTAGATGTGTGGTGCTATTTCTGAGGCCTCTGTTCTGTTCTGTTGGTCTTTGTATCTGTTTTGGAACCAGTACCATTCTATTTTGGTTACGGTAGCCTTGTACTATAATTTGAAGTCAGGTAGCACCAAAGCCTCCAGATTTGTTCTTTTTGCTTAGGATTGTCTTGGCTATGGAGGCTGCCATTTGAACTTTGAATTAGTTTTTTTTCCAATTCTGTGAAGAAAGTCAATAGTAGTTTGATGGGGATTGCATTGAATCTATAAATTACTTTGGGCAGTGTGATCATTTTTATGATATTGATTCTTCGTATCCTTGAGCATGGAATGTTTTTCCATTTGTTTGTGTCCTCTTTTATTTCCTTTAGCAGTGATTTGTAGTCCTTCTTGAAGAGGTCTTTCACATCCCTTGTAAGTTGGATTCCTAGATATTTTATTCCCTTTGAAGCAATTGTAAATGGGAGTTCACTCATGATTTGGCTCTCTGTGTGTTATTGGTGTATTGGAATGCTTGTGATTTTTGCACATTGATTTTCTATCCTCAGTCTTTGCTGAAGTTGCTCATCAGCTTAAGGAGATTTTGGGCTAAGAGGATGGGATTTTCTAAATAAACAATCATGTCATCTGCAAACAGAGACAATTTGACTTCCTCTTTTCCTAATTAAGTATCCTTTATTTCTTCCTCTTGCCTCATTGTCCTGGCCAGAACTTCCAATGTTATATTGAATAGCAGTGGTGAGACAGGGCATTCTTGTCTTGTGCCAGTTTTCAAAGGGAATGCTTCCAGTTTTTGCCCATTCAGTATAATATTGCCTGTGGGTTTGTCATAAATAGCTCTTATTATTTTGATATACATTTCATCAATACGTAGTTTATTGAGAATTTTTAGCATGAAGGGTTGTTGAATTTTGTCAAAGGCCTTTTCTGCATCTATTGAGATAATCATATGGTTTTTCTCATTGGATCAGTTTATGTGATTGATTACATTTATTGATTTGTGTGTGTTGAACCAGACTTGCATCCCAGGGATGAAGCCGACTTGATTGTGGTGGACAAGCTTTTTGATATGCTGATGGATTCAGTTTGCCAGTATTTTATTGAGGATTTTCATATTGATGTTCATCAGAGATATTGGCCTAAAACTTTTTGTTGTTGTTTTGTCTCTGCCAGGTTTTGGTATCAACATGATGGTGGCCTCATAAAATGAGTTAGGGAGGATTTCCTCCTTTTCTATTGGTTGGAATAGTTTCAGAAGGAATAGGACCATCTCCTCTTCATACCTCTGGTAGAATTTGGCTATAAATCTGTCTGGTCCTGGACTTTTTTTTGGCTGGTGGGCTATTAATTACTGCCTCCTTTCCAGAACTTGTTATTGGTCTATTCAGGGATTCAACTTTTTCCTGGTTTAATCTTGGGGGTATATGTGTCCAGAAATTTATACATTTCTTCTAGATTTTCTAGTTTATTTGTGAAGAGTATTCTATGATGGTAATTTGTATTTCTGTGGGATCATTGCTGATATCCTGTTTATCATTTTTATTGTATCTATTTGATTCTTCTCTAATTTTTTCTTTATTAATCTGGCTAGCGGTCTACCTATTTTGTTAATCTTTTCAAAATACCAGCTCCTCAATTCATTGATTTTTTGAAGGGTGTTTGTGTCTCCATCTACTTCATTTCAGCTCTGGTCTTTGTTATTTCTTGTCTTCTGCTAGCTTTTGAATTTGTTTGCTCTTGCTTCTCCAGTTCTCTTAGTTTTGATGCCATGTTGTCAGCTGTAGATCTTTCCTGCTTTCTCTCATGGACATATAGTGCTATGAATTTCCCTGTACACACAGCTTTAAATTGTTCCAGAGATTCTAGCACGTTGTGTATTTGTTCTTATTGGTTTCAAAGAACATCTTTATTTCTGCCTTCATTTCATTATTTACCCAGTAGTCATTCAGGAACAAGTTGTTCAGTTTCCATATAGTTGTGTGGTTTTGAGTAAGTTTCTTAATCCTGAGTTCTAATTTGATTGCACTGTGGTCTGGGAGACTGTTAGTTATGATTTCCATTCTTTTGCATTTGCTGAAGAGTGTTTTACCTCCATTTATGCCATCAATTTTAGAATAAGTGCTTTATGGTGCTGACAAGAATGTATATTCTGTTGATTTGGGGTGGAGAGTTCTGTAGATGTCTAGTAGGTCCACTTGGTCCAGAGCTGAGTTCAAGTCCTGGATATCCTTGTTAATTTTCTGTCTCTTTGATCTGTCTATTATTGACAGTGAGTTGTTAAGTTTTCCCAGTATTATTGTGTGGGAATCTAAGTCTATTTGTTTGTATTTAAGAAATTGCTTTATGAATCTGGGTGCTCTTGTATTCGGCACATATATATTTATGATAGTTACGTCTTGTTGCATTGATCCCTTTTCCATTGTGTAATGACCTTCTTTGACTCTTGATCTTTATTGGTTTAAAATCTGTTTTATTAGAGACTAGGATTGCAATGGCCTTTTGTTTTTTGTTATTTTATTTTATTTTATTTTTTTGCTTTCCATTTGCTTGGTAAATCTTCTTCCATCTCTTTATTTTGAGCCTATTTGTGTCTTAGCACATGAGATGGGTCTCCTGAATACAGCACTCTTAGGGGTCTTGAGTCTTTATTCAATGTACCAGTCTGTATCTTTTAATTGAGACATTTAGCTTGTTTACATTTCAAGTTAACATTGTTATATGTGAATTTGATCCTGTCATCATGATGCTAGCTGATTATTTTGCCCACTAGTTAATGCAGTTTCTTCATAGCATCAACAGTCTTTACACTTTGGCATGTTTTTGAGTGGCTGGTACCGGTTGTCCCTTTCCATTTTAGTGCTTCCTTTAGGAGCTCTTGTAAGGCAGGCCTCGTGGTGACAAAAATCTCTCAGCACTTGCTTGTTTATAAAGGATTTTATTTCTCCTTCACTTATAAAGCTTAGTTTGGCTGAATATGAAATTCTAGGTTGAAAAGTGTTTTATTTAAGAATGTTGAATATTGGCTCCCACAGTCTTCTGACTTGCAGGGTTTCTGCTGAGAGATCTGCATTAGTTTGATGGACTTCCCTTTGTGCATAACCCAATCTTTCTCTCTGTCTGCCCTTAAGATTTCTTTCTTCATTACAACCTTGGTGAATCTGATGATTATGTGTCTTGGGGTTGCTCTTCTCAAGGAATGTCTTTGTGGTTTTCTCTGTATTTCCTGAATTTGAATGTTGGCCTGCCTTAGGTTGAGGAAATTCTCTTGGATAATATCCTGAAGAGTGTTTCCCAACTTGATTCCATTCTCCTTGTTACTTTCATGTACACCATTCAAACATAGATTTAGTCTTTTCACATAGTCCCATATTTCTTTGAGGCTTTGTTTGTTTTAACTCTTTTTTTTCCTCTAATCTTGTCTTCTCGCTTTACTTCATTAAGTTGATCTTCAATCTCAGATATCCTTTCTTCTGTTTGATTGATTTGGCTATTGATACTTGTGTATGCTTCATGAAGTTTTTGTGCTGTGTTTTTCGGCTCCATCATGTCATTTATGTTCTTCTCTAAGCTGGTTATTCTAGTTAGCAATTCATCTAACCTTTTTTCCAGCTTCTTAGCTTCCTTGCAGTAGGTCAGAACATGCTTCTTTACCTCATAGAAGTTTGTTATTACCCACCCTCTGAAGCCTACTTCTGTCAATTCATCAAACTTACTCTCTATCCAGTTTTATTCCTTTGCTGGCGAGCAGTTGTGATCCTTTGGAGGAGAAGAGACATTCTGGTTTTTGGAATTTTCAGTCTTTTTGCTGTGGTTTCTCCCCATCTTTGTGGTTTTATCTACCTTTGGTCTTTGATATTGGTGATGTTGATAATATTCCTTTCTTTTTGCTAGTTTTCCTTCTAACAGTCAGGCCTGTCTGCTGCAGGTCTGCTAGAGTTTGCTGGAGGTACGCTCCAGACCCTATTTGCCTGGGTATCACCAGTGGAGGATGCAGAACAACAAAGACTGCTGTCTGGTCTTACATCTGGAAGCTTCCTTCCAGAGGGGCACCTGCCAGATGCCAACCAGAGCTTTCCTGTATAAGGGGTCTGTCAGCTCCTACTGGAAGGCGTCGTCCAGTCTGGATACACAGTGGGTCATGGACCCACTTGATGAGGCAGTCTGTCCCTTATTAGAGCTTGGATGCTATGCTGGGAGAACCACTGCTCTCTTCAAAGCTGTCAGGCAGGGCCCTTTAAGTCTGCTGAAGCTGCGCCACAGCCACCCCTTCCCCCAGATGCTCTGTCCCAGGGAGCTGTGGTGGGTTCTGTCCAGTCCAAACACTCTGGCGGCTTTGTTTACACTGTGAGGGTAAAACAGCCTACTCAAGTCTCAGCAATGGCAGATGCCCCTCACCCCTCCAATCTTGAGTGTCCCAGGTCGACATCCAACTGTTGTGCTAGCAGTGAGAAATTCAAGCCAGTGGATCTTAGGTTTCTTGGCTCTGTGGGAGTGGGACCCACAAAGCCAGGCACTGGAGAGAGTCTCCTGGTCTACCCATTGTGAAGACTGTGGGAAAAGTGCATTATCTGGGCCAAAAGCACCATTCCTTATGATACAGTCTCTCATGGCTTTCATTAGCTAGTAAAGGGAAATCCCCTGACCCCTTGCACTTCCTGGGTGAGGCGACACCCCACTCTGCTTTGGCCCATGCTTTGTGGGCTGCATCCACTTTCCAACCGGGTCCAATGAGATGAACCAGGTACCTTAGTTGGAAATGCAGGAATCACCTGCCTTCTGTGTTGATCTCAATGGGAGCTGCAGCCCTAAAACTGTTTCTATTTGGCCATATTGCCAGCTTCTTATTTTTAATTTTTTTAAATTTTATCCGTGTTATTTCAAAATGCTTGTCTTCATGTTTTAATATTATTTCTTCTGCCTGAGATGGTCTATTGTAGCTTTAAAATGTACTTGTATTTTCTTCAATTATTCAGTTCCAGAAGTCCTATATTTTTTATCTTTCTTAATTATCTATCTATTTGGTAAAGTTTTCATTCATATTCTTTTTTTATGTGCTTAGCACTTTTTTTATTATACTGTGAACTTTAGGGTACATGTGCACAGTGTGCAAGTTTGTTACATATGTATGCATGTGCCATGTTGGTGTGCTGCACCCATTAACTCTTCATTTAACATTAGATATATCTCCTAATGCTATCCCTCCCCCCTCCCTCCACCCCTCAAAGGCTCCAGTTTGTGATATTCCCCTTCCTGTGTCCATGTGTTCTCATTGTTCAATTCCCACCTATGAGTGAGAACATGTGGTGTTTGGTTTTTTGTCCTTGTGATAGTTTGCTGAGAGTGATGGTTTCCAGCTTTATCCATGTCCCTACAAAGGACATGAACTCATCCTTTTTTATGGCTGGTTGTTTTGTATCTGGTTTTTATTTTTTCATTCTTAATTGTTGTTCTGATTTGTTTGCATTAATTTTCTGATTCCCTTGTTTTTCAATATGCTTCTTTGAAATCAGGATTTTGAATTATTGACCCAGAATTTTGTGAATTTCATTTTGACTGAAATCTGTTGTTTGCAAATTATTGTCTTTGATTGGTGGTGTTTTATTTTCTTGTTTGTTATGTTTTCTCTGTCCTTACATTAGTATCTACAATGGTGTAACAGTCACCTTTATAATTTTTTGAAACTGCATTCATTGAGAGAATTTTTTTCTGAAGAATATATGTGTTTTGCTGGTTGTATGGGATGATTTAACTTTCAATTTTTGGTGCCTACAATGGTATGATCTCCATATAAGTTTTTTGAGAATACACAGGATTAGTTGTAGGATCCTGTTGTGGATCCTGGGGTGGGGGGCAATTTTGGGCCTCCAGGGAGCTTATTCTGATAAGATATAGGGAGTGGCAGTGATAAGCCAAGCATATAGATGATCCTTAGGACTCCTGGGCAACTAATGAGATGAGGGTGATGACAGAAGCAGTAGTGGAGCAACCCACTGGAACCCTAGTAGTTCATGCTGACACTAGTAGTGGCAGTAGAGGTTTGGGTGGGCCAGTTCTCTGGTCCACTAGTGTGGCATGTTCAGGTTGATGTCAGCTGTGGTGGTAATGGCAGGTTGTGTTAGCCAGTGCTTAAATCCTGGGAGGAGCAACTGGGCTGAACAATTAATAGGCCTTGGATGTACTGGGATCACCAGAATATGCCAGCAGACTTGTTCTCAGGCTCCTTGGTTGTACATACAGTTGCTGACTGTGACTGAAAGAAAAGAATGTTCTTCAGGGCACCGGCAGAGTGCTCACCTGTCAGCTGTGCCAGCTATGCTGCAGGGCTGCCACTGGGAAGTGTGAGGCCTCTCTCAGCTGGAGCAGCATCAGGAGGTAACAGTGGAGAGTGTGGCCAGCCTTTCTTTTGGTCTCACAACATTCCATTGCTGTTGTGTTAGGATTTGTTGTATGTGGACATGGGAGTGCTCGGTCTTCCCTATCTTTTCTCAGACCAGTGGTGGCAACAGCAGTGACCACATCATTCTGAATTCAGGACAGGACACAGACTCTGTGAGTTAACTCTCATAATAATATTAAGCTGAAGCAACTCTGGACTCAAATGTTTGTAGTACTTTGTGTGATCTTTCTTTCTGGAACAATTTCTCCGTGCATTCTCTAGGCAGCTGTGTATGTTAGGTTTAATGACCACACAAGAGGAGAGATTCTCTCACAACTAAGATTGTTAAATCTCACAGTGCAAGTGTGAAGTTCTTTCTCTTACTTTTCTCCTGTATCTAGTGTCTTCCCCTAGCTCTAAGCCTATTGCTTTGCTCTCCTTCCTCATTTTTGGTGGTTCCTATCACATCTCTGTTGAATCTCAGTATTCCTTCTTCGAATCCATTTGAAGTATTGGTATTTTGCCATCTTGATTCTCCCTTCTCTCAAGTGGAAAAGTGGAATTTTTATCAAACCTTATGATTATGAGATAATCATAAGATTTTGTCCTTCATTCTGTGGATATTAATGGATTGGTGTTTGTTGGAACCATTCTTGCATCCCTGTAACAAATTCACTTGATGATGATGCATAATCTTTTGATTCACTGTTGAATTTTGTTTGCTACTATTGTGTTGAGTTTGTTTTTATCTATGTTCACCAGGGATAATGGCATTTTGTTTTCTTTTTTTGTGTGTTATCATAATTTGTTGGTCAAGGTAATGCTCACTTCACAAAATAAGTCAGGGAGTATTCCTTTATCCTGTTTTGAAATAGTTGGAGGAGAATTGGCCTTAGTTCTTCTTTGTAAGTGGGCACAATCCAGCAATTAGGCTTTCCCGTCCTGTACTTTTCTTTGTTGGAAGACATTTATTATTAATTCAATTGTTACTGATTATTGGTCAATTTTGATTATCTATTTCTCTTTAATTCAATCTTGGTAGGTTTTGTATGTGTTGCTATTTACTCATTACCTCTAGTTCTATTTTATTACTGGATAGCTGTTCATAACAGTCTCTGATAATTTTTTTTTATTTTTGCATCAGTTGTAACATATTTTTTTATTTCTGATTTTATTTATTTGAATTTTTTCTTTTTCTTAGTTCCACTAGTGGCTTATTAGTTTTATATTTTTTCAAAAAATTTATGTTTTGCTTTTTTGTGTGTTTTTAAGTCTCTATTTGGTTCAGTTCTCCTCTGATATTTAGTAGGTCCTTTCTTCTATGAGTTTAGGTGTTCTATTGTTTTGCTTTTTATTAACTTTTATTTCATCTTTCTCTCTTTATTATTATTATTATTATACTTTAAGTTTTAGGATACATGTGCACAACGTGCAGGTTTGTTACATATGTATATATGTGCCATGTTGGTGTGCTGCACCCATTAACTCTTCATTTAACATTAGGTATATCTCCTAATGCTATTCCTCCCCCCTCCCCCCTCCCCCCACCCCACAACAGGCCCCAGTGTGTGATATTCCCCTTTCTGTGTCCATGTGTTCTCATTGTTCAATTCTCATCCATGAGTGAGAACATGTGGTGTTTGGCTTTTGTCCTTGCGATAGTTTGCTGAGAATGATGGTTTCCAGCTTCATCCATGTCCCTACAAGGAGATGAACTCATCATTTTTTATGGCTGCATAGTATTCCATGGTGTATATGTGCCACATTTTCTTAATCCAGTCTATCATTGTTGGACATTTGGCTTCCTTCCAAGTCTTTGCTATTGTGAATAGTGCCACAATAAACATACGTGTGCGTGTGTCTTTATAGCAGCATGATTTATAATCCTTTGGGTATATACCCAGTAATGGGATGGCTGGCTCAAATGGTATTTCTAGTTCTACATCCCTGAGGAATCGCCACACCAACTTCCACAATGGTTAAACTAGTTTACACTCCCACTAACAGTGTAAAAGTGTTCCTATTTCTCCACATCCTCTCCAGCACCTGTTTCCTGACTTTTTAATGATCGCCATTGTAAGTGGTGTGAGATGGTATCTCATTGTGGTTTTGATTTGTATTTTTCTGATGGCCAATGATGATGAGCATTTTTTCTTGTGTTTTTGTCTGCATAAATGTCTTCTTTTGAGAAGTGTCTGTTCATATCCTTCACCTACTTTTTGATGGGGTTGTTTGTTTTTTCTCTTACATTTGTTTAAGTTCATTGTAGATTCTGGATATTAGCCCTTTGTCAGATGAGTAGGTTGCAAAAGTTTTCTCCCATTCTGTAGGTGTCTGTTCAATCTGATGGTAGTTTCTTTTGCTGTGCAGAAGTTCTTTAGTTTAATTAGATCCCATTTGTTAATTTTGGCTTTTGTTGCCATTGCTTTTGGTGTTTTAGATATGAAGTCCTTGCCCACGCCCTATGTCCTGAATGGTATTGCCTACATTTTCTTCTAGGATTTTTATGGTTTTAGGTCTAACATGTAACTCTTTAATCCATCTTGAATTAATTTTTCTATAAGGTGTAAGGAAGGGATCCAGTTTCAGCTTTCTACATATGGCTAGCCAGTTTTCCCAGCACCATTCATTAAACAGATTATCCTTTCCCCATTGCTTGTTTTTCTCAGGTTGGTCAAAAATCAGATAGTTGTAGATATGCTGCATTATTTCTGAGGGATCTGTTCTGTTGCATGTGTCTATGTCTCTGTTTTGGTACCAGTACCATGCTGTTTTGGTTACTGTAGCCTTGCAGTATAGTTTGAAGTCAGGTAGCATGATGCCTCCAGCTTGGTTCTTTTGGCTTAGGATTGACTTGGCAATGTGGGCTCTTTTTTAGTTCCATTTGAACATTAA
Organism: Homo sapiens; assembly: GCF_000001405.40. NCBI lineage: Eukaryota > Metazoa > Chordata > Mammalia > Primates > Hominidae > Homo > Homo sapiens. The sequence continues at coordinate 20,853,266 of NC_000024.10, forward strand.
AGTAGTTTTTTCCAATTCTGTGAAGAAAGTCATTGGTAGCTTGATGGGGATGACATTGAATCTATAAATAACCTTGGGTGGTATGGCCATTTTCACGATATTGATTCTTCCTACCCATGAGCATGGAATGTTCTTCCATTTGTTTGTATCCTCTCTTATTTCCTTGAGCAGTGGTTTGTAGTTCTCCTTAAAGATGTCCTTCACGTCCCTTGTAAGTTTTATTCCTAGGTATTTTATTCTCCTTGAAGCAATTGTGAATGGGAGTTCACTCATGATTTGGCTCTCTGTCTGTTATTGGTGTATAAGAATGCTTGTGATTTTCGCACATTGATTTTGTATCCTGAGAATTTGATGAAGTTGCTTATCAGTTTAAGGAGATTTTGGGCTGAGACAATGGGGTTTTCTAGATATACAATCATGTTGTCTGCAAACAGGGACAATTTGACTTCCTCCTTTCCTAATTGAATGCCCTTTATTTCCTTCTCCTGCCTGATTGCCCTGGGCAAAACTTCCAACCTCTGTTTAGTAGGAGTGGTGAGAGAGGGCATCCCTGTCTTGTGCCAGTTTTTGAAGGGAATGCTTCCAGTTTTTGCCCATTCAGTATGATATTGACTGTGGGTTTGTCATAGATAGCTCTTATTATTTTGAGATATGTCCCGTGAATACCTAATTTATTGAGAGTTTTTAGCATGAAGCGTTGTTGAATTTTGTCAAAGGACTTTTCTGCATCTGTTGAGTTAATCATGTGGTTTTGTCTTTGGTTCTGTTTATATACTGGATTACGTTTATTGATTTTTGTATGTTGAACCAGCCTTGCATCACAGGGATGAAGCCCACTTGATCATGGTGGATAAGTTTTTGAAGTGTTGCTGGATTCATTTTGCCAGTATTTTATTGAGGATTTTTGCATCAATGTTCATCAATGATATTGGTCTAAAATTCTCTTTTTCAGTTGTGCCTCTGCCAGGCTTTGGTATCAGGATGATGCTGGCCTCATAAAATGAGTCAGGGAGGATTCCCTCTTTTTCTGTTGATTGGAATAATTTCAGAAAGAATGATACCAGCTCCTCCTTGTACCTCTGGTAGAATTTGGCTGTGAATCCATCTGGTCCTGGACTTTTTTTGGTTGGTAAGCTATTAATTATTGCCTCAATTTCAGAGCCTGGTATTGGTGTATTCAGAGATTCAACTTCTTCCTGGTTTAGTCTTGGGAGAGTGCATGTGTCGAGGAACTTATCCATTTCTTCTAGATTTTCTAGTTTATTTCCATAGAGGTATTTATAGTATTCTCTGATGGTAGTTTATATTTCTCTGGGATCGGTGGTGATATCCCCTTTGTCATTCTTTATTGCGTCTATTTGATTCTTCTCTCTTTTCTTCTTTATTAGTCTTGCTAGCGGTCTATCAATTTTGTTGATCTTTTCAAAAAGGCAGCTCCCGGATTCATTGATTGTTTGAAGGGTTTTTTGTGTCTGTATTTCCTTCAGTTCTACTCTGATCTTAGTTATTTCTTGCCTTCTGCTAGCTTTTGAATGTGTTTGCTCTTGCTTCTCTAGTTCTTTTAATTGTGATGCTAGGGTGTCAATTTTAGATCTTTCCTGATTTCTCTTGTGGGTACTTAGTGCTGTGAATTTCCCTCTACACACTGCTTTAAATGTGTCCCAGAGATTCTGGTATGTTGTGTCTTTGTTCTCGTTGGTTTCAAGAACATCTTTATTTTTGCCTTCATTTTGTTATGTACCCAGTAGTCATTCAGGAGCAGGTTTTTCAGTTTCCATGTAGTTGAATGGTTTTGAGTGAGATTCTTAATCCTGAGTTCTATTTTGATTGCACTGTGGTCTGAGAGATCGTTTGTTATAATTTCTGTTCTTTTCATTTGCTGAGGAGTGTTTTACTTTGAACTTTGTGGTCAATTTTGTAATAGGTGTAGTGTGGTGCTGAAAAGAATGTATATTCTGTTGATTTGGGGTGGAGGCTTCTGTAGATGTCTATTAGGTCTGCTTGGTGCACACCTGAGTTCAATTCCTGGATATCCTTTTTAACTTTCTGTCTCATTGATTTGCCTAATGTTGAGAGTGGGGTGTTAAATTCTCCCATTATTATTGTGTGGGAGTCTAAGTCTCTTTGTAGGCCACTAAGGACTTGCTTTATGAATCTGGGTGCTTCTGTATGGGTTGCATATATATTTAGGATAGCTACCTCTTCTTGTTGAATTGATCCCTTTACCATTATATAATGGCCTTCTTTGTCTCTTTTGATCTTTGTTGGTTTAAAGTCTGTTTTATAAGGGACTAGGATTGCAACCCCTGCCTTTTTTTGTTTTCCATTTGCTTGGTAGATCTTCCTCCATCCCTTTATTTTGAGCCGTGTGTGTCTCTGCACATGAGATGAGTCTCCTGAATAGAGCAAACTGACGGGTCTTGACTCTTTACCTAGTTTGCTAGTCTGTGTCTTTTAATAGGAGCATTTAACCCATTTACCTTTTAGGTTAATATTGTTATGTGTGAATTTGATCCTGTCGTTATGATGTTAGCTGGTTATTTTGCTCATTAGTTGATGCAGTTTCTTCCTAGCATCAATGGTCTTTACAGTTTGGCATGTTTTTACACTGGCTGGTACTGGTAGTTCCTTTATATGTTTAGTGCTTCCTTCAGGAGCTCTTGTAGGGTTTGAGCCTATGTGTGTCTCTGCACATGAGATGAGTCTCCTGAATACAGCACACTGACGGATCTTGACTCTTTACCCAGTTTGCTAGTCTGTGTCTTTTAATAGGAGCATTTAACCCATTTACGTTTTAGGTTAATATTGTTATGTGGGAATCTGATCCTGTCATTATGATGTTAGCTGGTTATTTTGCTCATTAGTTGATGCAGTTTCTTCCTAACATCAATGGTCTTTACGGTTTGGCATGCTTTTACAGTGGCTGGTACTGGTAGTTCCTTTATATGTTTAGTGCTTCCTTCAGGAGCTCTTGTAGGGCAGGCCTTGCCCTGACAGAATCTCCTAGCATTTGCTTGTCTGTAAAGGATTTTATTTCCTCTTCACTTTTGAAGCTTAGTTTGGCTGGATATGAAATTCTGGGTTGAAAATTCTTTTCTTTAAGAATGTTGAATATTGGCCCCCACTCTCTTCTGGCTTGTAGGGTTTCTGCCGAGAGATCTGCTGTTAGTCTGATGGGCTTCCCTTTGAGGGTAACCTGACCTTTCTCTCTGCCTGCCCGTAACGTTTTTTCCTTCATTTCAACTTTGGTTAATCTGACAATTATGTGTCTTGGAGTTGCTCTTCTCGAGGAGTATCTTTGTGGCATTCTCTGTATTTCCTGAATTTGAATGTTGGCCTTTCTTGCTAGATTGGGGAAGTTCTCCTGGATAATATCCTGCAGAGTGTTTTCCAACTTGGTTCCATTCTCCCCGTCACTTTCAGGTATACCAATGAGATGTAGATTTGGTCTTTTCACATAGTCCCATATTTTTTGGAGGCTTTGTTTATTTCTTTTTATTCTTTTTTCTCTAAACTTCTCTTCATGCTTCATTTCATTCATTTTGTCTTCCATCGCTGATGCCTTTTCTTGCAGTTGATCGCATTGGTTACTGAGGCTTATGAATTCATCACATAGTTCTCGTGCCTTGGTTTTTAGCTCCATCAGGACCTTTAAGGACTTCTCTGCATTGATTATTCTGGTTAGCCATTCATCTATTTTTTTTTCAAAGTTTTTAACTTCTTTGCTGTTGGGTCAAACTTCCTCCTTTAGCTCAGACTAGTTTGATCTTCTGAAGCCTTCTTCTCTCAGCTCATCAAAGTCATTCTCTATCCAGCTTTGTTCCATTGCTGGTGAGGAGCTGCATTTCTTTGGAGGAGGAGAGGCACTCTGATTTTTAGAGTTTCCTGTTTTTCTGCTCTGTTTTTTTCCCATCTTTGTGGTTTTATCTACCTTTGGTCTTTCATGATGGTGACGTACAGTTGGGTTTTTGGTGTGGATGTCCTTTCTGTTTGTTAGTTTTCCTTCTAACAGTCAAGACCCTCAGCTGCAGGTCTGTTTGAGTTTACTGGAGGTCCACTCTAGACCCTGTTTGCTTGGGTATCAGCACTGGTGGCTGTAGAACAGCAGATATTGGCAAACCACAAATGCTGCTGCCTGATCGCTCCTCTGGAAGTTTTGTCACAGAGGAGTACCCAGCCGTGTGAGGTGTCAGTCCACCCCTACCAGGGGGTGCCTCCCAGTTAGGCTACTTGGGGGTCAAGGACTCACTTGTGGAGGCAGTCTGCCCATTCTCATATCTCAAGCTGCGTGCTGGGAGAACAACTACTCTCTTCAATGCTGCCAGACAGGGACATTTAAGTCTGCAGAGGTTTCTGCTGTCTTTTGTTTGTCTGTGCCCTGTCCCCAGAGGTGGAGCCTTCAGAGGCAGGTAGGTCTCCATGAGCCGTGGTGGGCTCCACCCAGTTCGAGCTTCCTGGCCACTTTGTTTACCTACTCAAGCCTGAGCAATGGCAGGCACCCCTTCCCCAGTCTCAGTGCCACCTTGCAGTTTGATCTCAGACTGCTGTGCTAGCAGTGAGTGAGGCTCCACAGGCATAGAACCTGCTGAGCCAGGTGCGGGATATAATCTGCTGGTGTGCCATTTGATAAGCCCATTGGAAAAGCACCGTATTAGGGTGGGAGTGACCCAATTTTCCAGGTGCCATCTGTCACCCCTTTCTTTGACTAGTAAAGGGAATTCCCTGACCCCTTGTGCTTCCTCACCCTGCTTTGGCTTACACACGATGCACTGCAGACAGTGTCCTGCACCCACTCTCCAGCACTCCCCAGCGAGGAGAACCTGGTACCTCAGTTGGAAATGCAGAAATCACCTGTCTTCTGCATCACTCACAGTAGGAGCTGTAGACTGGAGCTGTTCCTATTCAGCCATCTTGGCTCCACCGAGATGAGAGCATTATTTTCAATGGCATTTCCTGAGTCCTATGAAGTCTTTCTTCTAGTTCCATCCACACACTCCTCTGGAGACCTGAGGACAAATAGTGACAGATTAGATTAATTTATTCAATTAGAGATTTAGTCCATGTAGAGCAGTTCTGCTGTACATATTTGTATGCATTCTTTCTTTGTTAAGTTTTAAATATTAAGACCACAAGTATTTGTTAATTTTTTATTCCCTTAGAATACTTATAGTTATAAGGAAATATATATCAATATTTTAAAATCTTTCTTTAAATATTGAACTCTCAATGCTAGAGCCAGATTCTGTTGCTTGAGTTCAAAAGCATCTTTTTCTATTATTAAACTAACATGAGTTTTTGTATAACCTTTGTTAATTGATTCATGAATTGTTTGTTCTGTCTGCTTTACAAGCTCTATGAGAAAATTCATTCTTTACCCTCATGTAGAAAACATTTTCCAGACGTATTGCAGCTTGAACTTTCACTGAACAAGAACTCTCAGGCTTAAGTATTAAATTGTAGACATGGGGTGTGGATAATACCGTCATAGCTATGGAGAAAGTGGTAATGGTGTCACTGTGTTTGGAGGTGAAGGGCATATTAGACATCTCTCAACCTCATGTCTTGTTGAATACTGTGCACAGTTTTCTGCCTATATTAACTGGGACCAACAGTTAGTAGTCAGGCAAGAAGGAGGATCAAAGGGAGCTAGATAGAAACAGGTGAATATGAATGAAGATCTGGAAGTAAATTAAAACAATATATGAGAAAATAAGAAAGAACAGAAAGATAATTTCTCATTACATTGTGCTTTTATTTCTTTTTAATGAACTCATCTTTTACCTAATGCTACTTAATCTTGGTAATGCTGCCAGGTGTGTGGTGGATGCTCAAGGGGTAGTCAGATTTTCTCATGTCTGGTAGCCAAGGAGAGGAACTATGTCATGGAGAAAATTGGAAGTGGGTACAGATAACCCTGTGCTCTGTGCTGAATCTGTGCTGAATCTCTGAAATCGGCAAAACCAGTAGGCAAAACATAGGCAGTTATGGGGAACTACATGTTTACATACATCTTCACCTAAGCTGATTTGTCTTGATCTTGAAGAGGATTAAAAGGGAAAACATTTTATAGCTTCTCAATTTTGATCCACTTAAATGTTTTCCTCTCTCTCTGGTAAATCTTGCAAAGTAACCTAGGAGACTAGGAAACTTGGACAGCTATCTCAAATTTACTTCTCCCAGTGTACAGACTGAATCTAGGGGTTTTCTCCATGGGTTACTTTGTTTGCTTGGTGTAGGGGCTTTGTAGTTAAAGAGGACCATTAGCCTTACCATGTGCTCATGTTTCTTTCTTTATTCTGCATCCCAAGTGACTGTCACAGCCTCAGTTCATGTTCTGGAATGTTGGGGTGATAATGTTGCCTCTAGATTCGCTTGTATGTGGGTGACACTGAAGCCAGATAACTCCTACTTTGCCATTTTGCTGACATCACTGTCCTGTTTTGTCCTTTGTATTAGGGCCATGCTGTTATAAGTGTGGAAAGGAGGTCACTTTCCACCACATACTACTGCATACACTAGTGGTGCTGCCATCATTGAAGTGCGTAGGCTCCCTGTCATTCACTCGTCAATTCACAGGGGCCTGCCCATGTACCAGGGTTGTTTGAAAAAACAGATGCTGCCACTTGTTTCTCTGTTTATGATCAGGGGATTGAAAAAAGGGAAAGGCACATCCTTCTATCATTGGAAACACTATTTTCCCCATTGGCCTCTTCCTACAGATATAGTTTATATTTTACTAAGGCATTAGTGTTATTATTGACTATCTGCTGAAGAAGTATGAGACCCAGGGTATAACAGAAAACTGGGTGCACAGCAGCAATAAAGCATGTTCCTAAAGTGCCTTATTCTCTGTGTGGGCCCTGTATGAAGAAAAGAGCTGCCTTTCTAATACATTGTAATGAGTCATGGCATTCAGGTGACTATGTATGCAGAAAGTCATTGGTAGCAAGAATAGGTTATTTTTTACTCCATGGGCTCCAGGGTGTGCAATTGATGGCAGCAAGGTTCCTCAACACCAAACTCAAAAGTCAGTGGGAGCAGGATACTTAGGCTGAGGTAATAAAACCTCAGATAATGGGTTCAGGGACATAATTCGAGAAAAGTCACAATGTCATCCTGGGAAACACAATCTTTTTATGCTGGGACCTCTCCATAGCTGCAGAACAGTTCAAAAGTTCTGAACATTTGTCACTGCAATTTCAGGACAATTTTTAAAGCAATATCAAGAAACAGCATTATGTAGTGGCAGAAAGTAGCATAATAGAATACTGGCAAGCAGCAGGGAAACTAGAGAGGCAGACAGCAGTCTTCCAACCTAGTTTTCTGTATGATAAGTAGCTATGCAAAATGCATGAATCTTTCCTTATCTAAGAATCATTTGGGATTAATATTTCTAATTGTATGAGATTACTATTTATGAGATAGTGTAAAAAGTCTGATAGCAAGGGCAGTTGAACAGTTTGTCATGAAGCTATGGTTAAAGAATGGCTCTGCAGATGTATTTCTTGTTCATCTTGGTCAGGCTTGGCCAGGACTAGGCAGCAATCAACTGGTGTTTTCCTATTACTTTCCATACAATAACCTACATACATTTATTTGAAATAAATACATTTTCTAAAACCATACAAGCTATGAAACCTGGATCATGAAGATATAGAAACCTGAATGGACCAATAATGGAGACATTGAATTAGAAATAAAAACCTATCATTCAAGAAAAGTCTGGGATGAAGTGGCCTCATTTAGAAATAAACTTTAACAAGTGAAGTAAAAGAGATTTATACAGAAAATTATAAAATATTTATTAAAAGTTAAAAACAAAAGTAAAGAAAATACTTTTTGTGTTCACAATTTGGAAGACAATACTGCAAAAATGCCCCTACTATGCAAAACAACCTAAAGATTTTATCCTGGAACTTTCAAAATCTCAAGGACCTTTTAAACATAAAATTAGAAAAAATAAAAATAAAAACACTGATGTAGACTAAGAAAGGAAACCAGATATCAGCTTTCTGCACCTCTTGTTTGACGGTCACATCTTGGGCAGCACCAGCTCCATTCCTGAGACACTATGCAGAAAGTGAAGGTCAAAAAAATAGATTTGGCTCTATCAGGCACCTGGTGACCAGGGATGCTTTAGTTCTGACAAAGTAGATACTGTAACCATCAATGACCTCTTCACTGACCTTAATGACATTGTCTACATGTTTCAGTATCATTCTCCCTATGGCTAGTTCCACTGCACCAGCAAGGCTGAGAATAGAAAGTTTTTCACAAATGACAATCCCATCACCATCTTCCAGGAGAAAGATTCCACCAAAATCAAATACAATGATATTAGACACCGATTATGTTGTGGAGTCAAAGGGAATCTTCACTGGCATGGAGACATCTGGGGTTCACATAGATGGAAAGTCCTAAGGGGTTACAGTCTCTGCCTCTTCTACTGATGCCCTCATGTTCATGATGTGCATAAACCATAAGTAAAAAGTAAAAATAGTGTCATGATTATCAACAATGCTGTCTGCATCAGCAAGTTCTCAGACCCCAGGTGAAGGTTATCCATGATAAATGTAGCATCATGGAGAAAATCATGACCACAGTCCTTTACATCACTGCCACCCAGAATACCATGAATGGTCCCTCTGGTAAACTGTAGTGTCTACCATGGGGCTTTTCTGAACATCATTCCTGTATCTACTGGCACTGCCAAGGCTGTGGCAAAGGTCATCCTTGAGCTTAATTTGAAACTTACTGACTTAACTTTCTGTGTCCCAGCAATCAGTCTATCAGTTACTGGCCTGACATGGCATCAGGATAAACCTGCAAAATATGACAGCATAAAAAAGACAGTGAAGCAAGCACTAGATAAAACTTTCAAGGGCATCCTAGGCTTCACTGAAGAACAAGTTGTCTCCTCTGACTTTAATGGTGACATCCACTCTTCATCTTTCTTGCTGGTTCTTGGATTTTACTTAATGACTACTTTGTCAAGCTAAGTTCTTGGTAAACAATAAATTTGACTACAGCAACAAGGTGGTCAACCTTATTGTTCACATTGGCCTCCATGAATTAAAGAGCCCTGTCACCACTGGCAGTAGAGAGCATAAGAGAAAGAGATAGGGCCTTAGCATCTGGGGATCCCTCTGCTGCACTGAATCCCTACTGCACTGATAATTACTCCTCAACACAATTTTCAAGCTACATACCTGAAGAGGAAGGGGTCTAGGAAGCCCCACCTTGTCATGTACCATCAAGAATATCCACTGTACTCAAGAAAAAAAAAAGACACCAGGTGGCCAAAAAAAATCCTGAGAAAGAAGAAAATGCTGTAGATATCACATTTGCTGATTTCAAAATGAACACAAGCTATAGTAATCAAAGTGGCTTCGATAGGCATGAAAACACACATAGTGACCCATGAAATGAACATATTCACTAGAAATGACCTATATATGTACAATAAATCTTTGAAAAGGGAGGCAAAACTTTAAAATGTGAAAAGAAAATTCTCTTTAACAGAGAATATTCAGAAGTGAATCCACATACTAAAGAGTTATATATACATGCTAAAGGAGGGAACCATGTCATTATCTTACCCCATCCTAAAAATAAAATTAGAATGTATTGGTAACTTAAACATAAGACCTGAAATAAAAAGGCTTCTAGAGAAAGGCTTAGGAGAAAAGTTTCTAGCCACTGACTTTGAAAATAATTTATTAAATATGTTACAGAAGTGTAGTCATAAGAAACAAAAATAAACATTTTAGGCTATGTCAAATTGATAAGCTTCTTGACAGCAAAAATACCAATCAGCAAACTGAAAATATAACCTATAGAATCAGAGCAGCAAACCCAATATCTGATAAGTTGTTAATATCCCAAATACCAAAGGGACTCGTATACCTAAATAGGATAATAAAAGCCAAACAGTTGTTTGATTTTTTTGTAGGCAGTTTTAAAACCACCTACAATTAAGGAGATATTATAATGGGGCAATATTTTGAGTAGACATTTATTCAAAGACACACAGTTGACCAAAAAGTATGTGGAAAAGTTCTCAACATCACCAACTAGCAAAAAAAAAAAAAAAAAAAAAAAAAAAAAGTGTAAATTAAAACCACCATGAGTGGTTAAGACCATAGGGGAACACATAAAGATTTATAGGGCTTTCAGTTACTGTAAGTGCCTGCAAAGGTGAGGATCTTTTGTCGGTGGGTAAGAAGGTTGAATTTCAAAAATGGCCAGTCCATTCTGAATGTATTTGGGGCCATGAACATGCATGGCTCTATTCCATATCTACCTGTGCCTTACAGAATGAAGACATTGTGATTGGTCAGAGGGGCAAGTGGCTTAACCAGATTGTGGGGGTTTGGTTGGTTGGCATATATGTTAGTGGAGGTTGGTTGACTTCCAAGAAACCTCCATCAGCAGCTCGTTGTGCTGCATTACTAGATTCAGTATAGGGTCTCAAGGACTCTTGGAAGTTTCCAACAAGTTCTAGTCCAGTTGGATTTCTCAAACCTGCCTGGGTCAGCCCCATCTCCTGCCTCTTTGGCCATTGCTCAACTCTACACACAGAGCCATGCCCTTGGGGTAATCAAGAACTTATTCTAGGACTTCAGTCTCTCTCCCTACATTAAGCACCCAAAGTAGTGGCTGAAAGGGGTAATAAAGTAACATCTTACAATTCTGTACTGCCTGAATGAGGACCAGAGGCCTTTGGAAAACATGACTCCTGGGTGTCTCTTATCTGATAATTAATTAGCTGCCCCTATATGGTTTCTAGCTCCCAGAGTATCTGGCTTCCTCTGAGAAGTGAAAAATGAATGTTTTGGGGTCGTTTTATTTCATCTTCAGAGTCCAATTTGAGTCCTTTACTACACCTCAATCCATAACCATTACTACCTCCCCTGCCTGTCCAATCTTACCTGCTCTCATGTCAAAAATACCACAGCCACTGCAGATGGCTTCAGAACTTCCCTGCCTTATTTTTTAGAAAAATTCTCCACTCTATATGCCCTGATTAGGAGACTGACTGCTGGGATCTTCTTATTATTTTATTTATTTATTTTTTATTTTTTTAACTTTTTATTTTGAAATAGAGATTCACAGGAAGTTACAAAGGTAATACAGAGATCATCCATGTTTCCTTCACCTACTTTTCCCCTATAATTACATCTTAAAGTATGAGAAGCAGGAATTTGATATTGATGACATATGTTTGTGTAGTTCAGTGTATTTTATCAAATATGCAGATTTATGTGACCGCTACTGTAAAGAGCTATTCCATCACCACAAATATCACCCTTATGCCACCTCTTAACAGTCATACCTCTCTCCCTCCCCCAATAATTTCCTTTTTTAACATTTTTTAATTTTTTTATTATACTTTAAGTTTTAGGGTACATGTGCACAATGTGCAGGTTAGTTACATATGTATACATGTGCCATGCTGGTGTGCTGCACCCATTAACTCGTCATTTAACATGAGGTATATCTCCTAATGCTATCACTCCCCCTGCCCCCAACCCCACATGAGGACCCTGTGTGTGATGTTCCCCTTCCTGTGTCCATGTGTTCTCATTGTTCAGTTCCCACCTGTGAGTGAGAACATGTGGTGTTTGATTTTTTTGTCCTTGCGATAGTTTGCTGAGAATGATGGTTTCCAGCTTCATCCATGTCCCTACAAAGGACATGAACTTATCCTTTTTTATGGCTGCATAGTATTCCATAGTGTATATGTGCCACATTTTCTTAATCCACTCTATCATTGTTGGACATTTGGGTTGGTTCCAAGTCTTTGCTATTGTCAGTAGTGCTGCAATAAACATACGTGTGCGTGTGTCTTTATAGCAGCATGATTTAAAATCCTTTGAATATATACCCAGTAATAGGACAGCTGGATCAAATGGCATTTCTAGTTCTAGATCCCTAAGGAATAACCACTCACTTCCACAATAATTGAACTATTTTACAGTCCCACCAACAGTGTAAAAGTGTTCCTATTTCTCCACATCCTCTCCAGCACCTGTTGTTTCCTGACTTTTTAATGATCGCCATTCTAACTGGTGTTAGATGATATCTCATTGTGGTTTTGATTTACATTTCTCTGATGACCAGTGATGATGAGCATTTTTTCATGTGTCTTTTGGCTGCATATATGTCTTCTTTTGAGAAGTGTCTGTTCGTATCCTTCTCCCACCTTTTGATGGGGTTGTTTGTTTTCTTCTTGTAAATTTCTTTGAGTTCATTGTAGATTCTAGATATTGGCCCTTTGTCAGATGAGTAGGTTGCAAAAATTTTCTCCCATTCTGTAGGTTGCCTGTTCACTCTGATGGTAGTTTCTTTTGCTGTGCATAAGCTCTTTAGTTTAATTAGATCCCATTAGTCAATTTTGGCATTTGTTTCCGTTGCTTTTTGTGTTTTAGACATGAAGTCCTTGCCCTTGCCTATTTCCTGAATGGCATTGCCTAGGTTTTCTTCTACAGTTTTTATGGTTTTAGGTCTAACATTTAAGTCTTTAATCCATCTTGAATTAATTTTTGTATAAAGTGTAAGGAAGGGATCCACTTTCAACTTTCTACATATGGCTAGCTAGTTTTTCCAACACCATTTATTAAATAGGAAATCCTTTCCCTATTGCTTGTTTTTGTCAGGTTTGTCAAAGATCAGATGGTTGTAGATATGTGGCATTATTTCTGAGGGCTCTGTTCTGTTCCATTGTTTTATATCTCTGTTTTGGTACCAGTGCCATGCTGTTTTGGTTACTGTAGTCTTGTAGTATAGTTTGAAGTGAGGTAACGTGATGCCTCCAGCTTTGTTCTTTTGGCTTAGGATTGACTTGGCAATGCAGGCTCTTTTTTTGGTTCCATATGAACTTTAAAGTAGTATTTTCCAATTCTGGGAAGAAAGTCATTGGTAGCTTGATGGGGATGGCATTGAATGGGCAGTATGGCCACTTTCATGATATTGATTCTTCCTACCCATGACCATGGAATGTTCTTCCATTTGTTTGTATCCTCTTTTATATCATTGAGCAGTGGTTTGTAGTTCTCCTTGAAGAGATGTTCACATCCCTTGTAAATTGGATTTCTAGGTATTTTATTCTCTTTGAAGCAATTGTGAATGGGAATTCACTCATGATTTGGCTGTCTGTCTGTTATTGGTATATAAGGATGCTTGTGATTTTTGTACATTGATTTTGTATCCTGAGACTTTGCTGAAGTTGCCTGTCAGCTTAAGCGGATTTTAGGTTGAGATGATGGAGTTTTCTATGTATACAATCATGTTATTGGCAAACAGGGACAATTTGACTTTCTCTTTTCCTAATTGAATATCCTTTATTTCCTTCACCTGCCTGATTGCCCTGACTGGAACTTCCAACACTATGTTGAATAGGAGTGGTGAGAAAGGGCATCCCTGTCTTGTGCCAGTTTCAAAGGGAATACTTCCAGTTTTTTCCCATTCAGTATGATATTGGCTGTGGGTTTGTCATAGATAGCTCTTATTATTTTGAGATACGTCCCATCAATACCTAATTTATTGAGAGTTTTTAGCATGAAGCATTATTGAATTTTGTCAAAGGACTTTTCTGCATCTATTGAGATACTCGTGTGGTTTTTATCTTTGGTTCTGTTTATATGCTGGATTATGCTTATTGATTTGCATGTGTTGAACCAGACTTGCATCCCAGGGATGAAGCCCACTTGATCATGGTGGATACACTTTTTGATGTGCTCCATCAGGTCCTTTAAGGACTTCCCTGCATTGGTTATTCTAATTAGCAATTTGTCTAATTTTTTTTCAAGGTTTTTAATTTCCTTGCCATGGGTTCAAACTTCCTCATTTAGCTCAGACTAGTTTGATCGTCTGAAGACTTCTTCTCTCACCTCGTCAAAGTCATTCTCTGTCCAGCTTTGTTCCATTGCTGGTGAGGAGCTGCTTTCCTTTGGAGGAGGAGAGGTGCTCTGATTTTTAGAGTTTCCAGTTTTTCTGCTCTTTTTTTCCCCATCTTTGTGGTTTTATCTACCTTTCATCTTTGATGATGGTGATGTACAGATGGAGTTTTGGTGTGGATGTCCTTTCTGTTACTTTTCCTTCCAACAGTTGGGACCTTCAGCTGCAGGTCTGTTGGAGTTTGCTGGAGGTCCACTGCAGACCCTGTTTGCCTGGGCATCAGTAGCAGAGGCTGCAGAACAGCAGATATTGGTGAACAGCAAATGTTGCTGCTTGATCGTTCCTCTGGAAGTTTTGTCTCAGAGGAGTACCTGGGCGTGTGAGGTGTCAGTCTGCCCCTACTGGGGGGTGCCTCCCAGTTAGACTACTCAGGTGTCAGGGACCCACTTGAGGAGGCAGTCTGTCCATTGTCAGATCTCCAGCTGCATGCTGGGGGAACCACTGCTCTCTTCAAAACTGTCAGACAGGGACATTTAAGTCTGTGGAGGATTCTGCTGCCTTTTCTTTGGCTGTGCCCTGCCCCTAGAGGTGGAGTCTACAAAGGCAGGCAGGCATCCTTGAGTTGTGGTGGGCTCCACCCAGTTTGAGCTTCCATGCCGCTTTGTTTACCTACTCAAGCCTCAGCAATGGCAGGCGCCCTTCCCCCAGCCTCCCTACCACCTTGCAGCTTGATCTCAGACTGCTGTGCTAGCAATGAGTACAGCTCCATGGGTGTAGGACACTCTGAGCCAGGCACGGGATATAATCTCCTGGTGTGCCATTTGCTAAGACCATTGGATAAGTGCAGTATTAGGGTGGGAGTGACCCAATTTTCCAGGTGCCTCCACCCCTTTCTTTGACTAGTAAAGGGAATTCCCTGACCCCTTGCACTTCCCAGGTGAGGTGATGCTTCATCTTGCTTCATCTGATGCTTAGTGCTCTAGACCCACTGTCCTGCACCCACTTTCCAACACTACCTAGTGAGATGAACATGGTACCTCCGTTGGAAATGCAGAAATCACCCATTTTCTGCATCACTCACGCTGGGATCTGTAGACTGGAGCTGTTCCTATTCAGCCATCTTGGCTCCACCCACCCTTATTATTATTTGAAAAATAAAAGAACTTACTCTGGGAAAAAAAAAAAGGCCAGTTACCACAAATGGTAATGGTAGCTTGGGCTGAACTGGGTTAACACAGCAATGTCCTAGGGCTCTCTGTCTTAGAAGGGACTCAATAAAGGGTGTGTGTGTGTCTGTGTGTGTTTGTGTGTGTGTTTCTCTGTTTGGCTTCATTTCTCTCCTTTCTGCATGACTTTCACTGTTTGTTTATTTTGATTGCACATTAGTTCTGCTTGAAAGTCAGTGCATGGAGCTAGCTCAAGTGTCCTGGGGATTCACTGTGCCATATTTGCATAAGACTAGGGTATGTGCAGAGTGTGTAATGGAGTTCAGTTGTAATGACCTTTTGTTTTCTTATCCTAGTTTAACTCAAAAACCATCACCCTAATATTTAAGTACTGGCTCCATTTCCTGTCTATTTCATGGAAAGACCATTAATTTCATTGAGGTAGCAGCCCAGATCTAGTAAGTAAGGGGGTCTAATCTGGTATACATTAGAATAGTAACTGGCAATTTGGACTTTGTGTCATGGGTGAAAATTTCCAGCTTCTCTAGGTGGTGGGCAGAAGACTCACTTCCTTTGAACTCCACCCCCTCCAGAACACGCTTCTCCCATCCCAATGAGGACACTCTTTCGGAAACTTCCTTTAACCTTAAATAGAAGAGAGTCTTTCTTGATGGGGATGTTCAGGAAATGGAGCCAGTGCTCACATATTAAGGTGCTGGTTCTTGGGTTAAACCAGGCTAAGACAGCACCACATGAGGATGGGCTCAGGAAATAGCTCTGACAGGTCTCTAGTATTTTTTTCTGGTCCCTTGTTTGCAAATGCCTAGAGGGAGATCTCATTGGCCACCACAGTATGTTTGGGTGTGTGTGTGTGCGCGCATGTGTTCACACGCACGCATATCCCCCTGTGGGTTTGTGTGTATTCATTGCTTTGTTTTTCTCCTGTCTGCATTAAGCCTATGGACATGCTGAAGCACCTTGATGTTTACTGAAATCGGGGCAAATACACATACTTTAATACCTAAGGCCTCAATGTGTGACATTTACTCAAAAATGGTGTGTACATACTGACTGGGTGATGATGTTTAGAGACAAGAAACACTGATTTTTGTGCCCCATTGTTATTGCAAAATGACATTTTTAAAAACTGGATAACATAGTAAGTCTGTGGAGAGATCTACTCTGCCATAGGATGAGATAGCAGCCTGTGGTTCAGAACACTGGCTTGAGTCTAAAAAATCTTAAGGCCTCCAGTTGTTGGCAGAGACAAAGAAGGTAGAATGCATTTGTCTGAGGGTCATAGTTGGGGGTTTTACTTACTCCTACATAGTCCTGGATTTGTGTGAACCTTTTAGTGTGTAGTGCTAGGTGTTCTTTCTCCTGTGCCACAGGAAGGTCTAGGGAGCTGCTAAAGGGTGTGGGGACAGAGGGTCAGATGATGTTTGCAGAGAGTCTTACGGTTGCCTGTGGCAAAACAAAAGAGACTTAAATTCTTGATGGTGGGAAGGACAACAAAAGCCTATACAACCTGTTATTCTTAATCTGTCTCTTATCCTAATCCAGACATGGCTTAACACCCTTAGCTAGAGATTGCAAAGGAGACTGTGCCTGTGTGTGTTTGTGTGCCCTTGCATATTGGCAGATTCATATTGGTACCCCAAGCATCCATGCCTTTAGTTGCAGTTTCATTAAGCTCAGGTCCATTCTCATGCTAAAGAGTCTCTAAACTGCCTTAAGCTTCCTAGTGCATGCATGTGCAATTTGCTCCTCTTGTCTGGTTTGCCTTGGTAATTCTTGCTCCATTCTGCCAACTGATTCAGAACTAACTTATTAGCCATTATTTATAGAAGTTTAATTAGAAGTGAATCAGACAAAATGGAGACTTGAAACGGGTCAAGACTATTTTTAAGAGACATTATTGTTTCAGAAAACTTGTGAATGTACAGCAAAATTGAGGGCAGAATACAGAGAGTTTCCATATGCCCTCAGTTCCTATACACTCTCAGATGCCCCCACTAACAACATCCTACACCAGAGTAGAAAATGTATTACAATCAGTGAACTTATATTGACACAGTAATATCACATGGAATTCAGAGTTTACCTTAGGATTTACTCTTGTAAACGTTTGGAGAAATGTATAATTGCAATGAAACAAATGATTATTATGTCAGCTATTTTAATATTATGCAGCATATTTTTACTACCATAATAATCCTGTGTTCTACCTATGTATTTTTTCTTTATTTCCCCTAATCACCAGAAATCACTAATCTTTACAATTTCTTTGTAGATTTGCCTTTCTCTCAATGTCATCTACTGGGAATAATGTAGTAGATAACTTTCAGAATTGCTTCTTTCAGTTATTAATATGCATTCAAGATTTCTCTTTGTCTTTTCATGGCTCAATAGGTAATTTCTTTTCAAAGATGACCAATATATCATTTTCCAAATATAGCAAAGTTTTATTTATCAGTTAACTTATTGAAAGACACTTTTGTTTCACTTAACTTTTGGCATCTATGAACAAAGCTGCTATAATCACACATGCAAGTTATTGTTTAGACATCAGCTTTTATGCTATTTAAATAAAGACCAAGGTGTGCTACTGCCGGATCACATAGGAATAGTAGGTATAGTTTTGTCCATATTAATAGAGTATTTTAGATTGTAGAAGATAACATATTAATATACTGAGAAATTAATTCTATGAAGACAGTAAAACTTGAAGATTAAGAACTACATAATCATGAGAGCTGTTAAATGATAAAATTAGACACATTGAAATATTAAGAACTTTATTTAAAGAGTCAACAACTCATGAGTCTGTTAGACCCATATTACAAGTAGTTTAGAGACCCAAAAGAGTGAGTTAGTGAGGGTGGGCATAAACTTTTACAAGGTGAATGTTGGAGAAGGAGAAAAACATACATATATATTTGATTGGATAAAGTGAAACGGTGGCCTCATTGGAAATATTGCTACAGAACATTCTTCAGAGGTTCGTTGGTGGCTTCTGGTTGGTTGAGGTTAAGCTTCCCTTTATTATTTACATTGAGTCAAGTTTCACTATTTACACTGAATCAAGATTGGGTTTGTTTAAGGAGAGACTCAGGACACAGGAGCCTCCACAGCCTAATGGTTTCCCACTGATTTGATTATTTTTAACAGAGAAGATTATATTAAAAGTTAGACTGATGTCATCTAAGTCTTATTTTTTTATTTTAATTAATTAATTAATTTATTTGTTTATTTATTTTGAGACGTAGTCTCACTCTGTCACCCAGGCTGGAGTGCAGTGGCGCCATCTGGGCTCACTGCAAGCTCCACCTCCCAGGTTCACACCATTCTCCTGCCTCAGCCTCCTGAGTAGCTGGGACTACAGGCGCCCGCCACCATGCCTGGCTAATTTTTTGTATTTTTAGTAGAGATGGGGTTTCAATGTGTTGATCAGGATGGTCTCGATCTGCCAACCTCATGATCTGCCCGCCTCAGCCTCCCAAAGTGCTGGGATTACAGGCGTGAGCCACCACACCCAGCTGATGTCATTGAAGTCTTTTATCTCAGATTTGCCTTATACCAGAAGTAAGAGGCACTTTTTTCTTACATATTAGACAGAGGAAGATAAGGTAGGTACAGACTGTTCATATTACTTTCGGGAGCAATGGAAAAACAATTGGTTTTTGCCTGGCAAAATATATTTTTTAATAATTTGTCAAAATATTAGGTGGAAGAGGTTGAATAAAGGTTGAACATAGAAGATATTTGTTATACTTGTTGGGTTTCTGAAGAAATGGTATCACTGGAGAAACATAAATTTTTACTTATTTCTAGAAATATTTAGGGCCAATTTGTTGTGTGGATAATTTGAACTTATGAGAATACTTTCTGACCTCTGTTTAATACTCCTCTTGTTCATCTGAGTGGTGTCCTTGAGAAAACAAAGAGTGAAGCTCATCCAGAAATGGGATTGTGTCAGATAAAGGGAGAGCAGCAAGTGAGCGTCTAATGTGTTAATGAAAATTTGACTTCTGAAGTGGTTGAGGTAGAAGGAAACTAGTTCTGTGTGTTTGGCACTTTTTTTTTTTTTTTGAGACGGAGTCTCGCTCTGGCGCCCAGGCTGGAGTGCAGTGGCGGGATCTCGGCTCACTGCAAGCTCCGCCTCCCGGGTTCACGCCATTCTCCTGCCTCAGCCTCCCAAGTAGCTGGGACTACAGGCGCCCGCCACTACGCCCGGCTAATTTTTTGTATTTTTAGTAGAGACGGGGTTTCACCGTTTTAGCCGGGATGGTCTCGATCTCCTGACCTCGTGATCTGCCCGCCTCGGCCTCCCAAAGTGCTGGGATTACAGGCGTGAGCCACCGCGCCCGGCCGTGTTTGGCATTTTGAGTAAAGGGGAGGGTGGGTATACAGATCAGATGTGTTGTTTATTTATTCTCTTAACAGATAAAATTACAAGATTAATGAACTGTACTTCTTGACAAGGCTGAAGTATTTGTACAAATGCTCTGAAGGGTAGGATGGTGCAGTCAGTCTCTTTATTCAGAAATCAGTAGAACATGTCTACAAGCAGTGAAGAGAAATCATTTAAAAATATGTGAAAACAGAAGGTTTCTCAAAGCAAGTGGCACCATAATCATAACAGAATATCCCCAGAATAAACTGAGCTGTCTGCCTTCAGCCTTGGGTAGTGCCTATTGTCTGCCCCAGTGATATGTTACAATGATTTGTGATCACAGTGCCTCAAAATAGACTAATGTATATTGAGTAAAATTAAGCCCACAGTAAAGCTACCCAACCATCCCCACAGAGATAAACAATATGAATGGCTGAGGAGAAAAGGTACGCTTGCTGCACCCAGGGTAATGAGAGATGTAAAACAAACTGACAGAAATCAAAAGATGGATGATGTAATAAGAATAAACCCACATGCAGAGAATTATAAAACCAACAGAGACCAGGTCTTGTCCAAAATGCCTTTGGAGGCTTTGCTCATGATAACTTTGAGAACTTTTCCAGATCTGATGGCTGCTACTGGCATCTCTTCCTAGAAGAAGCACTGGTCACTTCATTGACTGCCTTCTGAAGGATGTCCAGAACCACTGGACTTCTCTGGAGGCACATTGGTGTCCTAGGTAATCACTGTGGTTTCTTACCTTACTACTGCCTTTGTATAGAATTAATTGCATAAATGATAGTGCCAAGGTTTTTTGATAAACGGTTAATGTCAGTGTACATAATTGGCTGTTGGTTGCTCTAAAACCTCACAGCTTTAGTAAGAGTTAGCACAGCTTGGAAGATTTCACCTTATTCACATTATTGGTGGGGATAATAGACCACTCACAGGCTGCTATAAAGTAATACCCAAGAATGTGTAATTAATAAATAAAAGACTTTGACTCACTGCTCCACATGGCTGTGGAGGCTTCAGGAAACTTAAAATCATGTTGGAAGACACCTCCTCACAGGATGGCAGGAGAGAGAATGAGTACAAGCAGGGGAAATTCCAGAGGCTTATAAAACCCTCAGATCTCATGAGAACTCACTCACTATCATGAGAACAACATGAGGGAAACCAATCCCATGATACAATTGCTTTCCAATAGGTCCCTCCCATGACACATGGGGAAATCTATCTGACAAAGGTCTAATATCCAGAATCTACAGGGAACTTAAACAAATTTATAAAAAACAAACAACCCCTTCAAAAAGGGGGTGAACACACTTCTCAAAAGCAGGCATTTATGCAGCCAACAAACATATGAAAAAAAAACCCATCACCACTAGTCATTAGAAAAATGCAGATCAAAACCGTAATGAGGTACCATCTCATGCCAGTTAGAATTGTTAGAAAGTCAGGAAACAACAGATGCTGGAGAGGATGTGGAGAAATAGGAACACTTGTCCACTGTTGATAGGAGTGTAAATTAGTTCAACCATTGTGGAAGGCAGTGTGGCGATTCCTCAAGGATCTAGAACCAGAAATAACATTTGATCCAGCAATCCCATTAATGGGTATAATCCAAATAATTATAAATCATTGTACTCTAAGGACATATGTATATTTATTGCAGCACTATTTACAATAGCAAGGACTTGGAATCAACCCAAAAGCCCATCAATAATAGACTTGATAAAGAAAATATGGCACATATATACCATGGAATACTATGAAACCATAAAAAAGAATGAGTTTTCATGCTTGTAATTCCAGCACTTTGGGAGGCCAAGGTAGATGATCATCTGAGGTCAGGAGTTTGAGACCAGCCTGACCAACATGGAGAAACCCTGTCTTTACTAAAAGATACAAAATTAGCCAGGTGTGGTGGTGCATCCCTGTAATCACAGCTACTCAGGAGGGTGAGGCAGGAGAATTGCTTGAACCCTGGAGGCAGAGGTTGTGTTGAGCTGAGATGATGCCATTGCACTCCAGCCTGGGCAACAAGAGCAAAACTCTGTCTCAAAAAAAAAAAAAAAAAAAAAGAATGAGTTCATGTCTTTGCACAGACATGGATGAAGCTGGAAACCATCATTCATTCTCAGCAATAACAAAAGAACAGAAAACCAAACACTGCAGTTCTCACTTATAAATGGGAGCTGAACAATGAGAACACATGGACACAGGAAGGAAAACATTATGCACCAGGTCCTTTCAGGGTGGGTGGGTGTGCAAAAGGAGGGAGAGCATTAGGACAAATACCTAATGCAAGTTGGGCTTAAAACTTACATGACTGGTTGATAGGTGCAGCAAACCACCATGGCACATCTATACCTATGTAACAAACCTGCATGTTCTGCACATGAGTCCCAGAACTTAAAGTAAAATAAAATTACAAAATAAAAACATTAAAAAATAACAAAAATGTGATCTGTATTATAATATGGAAATGTATGTATAAATTATATAGAAGCATAAATTAAAATATATGAATGAATAGAGATTTGAATTATGATCTGATCTGTGGTCAGCTATTTTAAATATTTTCTATATCATCTAAATTGGAAAGTATTGCCTAGTTGATTTTTTTTTTTTTTTTTTTTGAGGTGGAGTTTTGTGTTTGTCACCTAGGCTGGAGTACAATGGTACAATCTAGGCTCACTGCAACCTCTGCCTCCCAGGGTTCAAGCGAGTTTTCTTTAAGCATCATTTTCAATTGTTCATTGCTGGTATGCAAAAGTACAGTTGGTTTGTTTATACTGATGTTTTGTACTGCAACCTTGCTGAACCCATTTACTAGCTGTGATTTTTTTTGTATGGATTCCTTTAAATTTTCTACATACATAACATGTCATTTTAAATACAGGTAGTTTCACATCTTTTTTAATCTCTATACCTTTTATTTTTTTCTCTCTACCCCAAAACCTAATTGTGTTGGTTAAAACCTCTAGTATTGTATTGAAAAATAATTTATGTTTCACTTATTTTTGATATGAGAGAAAGTTTTCAGTCTTTTGTCAATAACGAGAGTCAAACTCTGTAAAATATTTTCAAGATTTTTTTTCTGAGACAAATATAAGTCACCATGGCCTTTGACACAGCCTGAGAATGTATGCTCAATGTGGTCATGGTGCAGCTTGGTTTTGGTTTTATATATTTTACAGAGGCATGAGACATCAGTTAAGAAATACATCGTATCCTGAGACTTTGCTGAAGTTGCTTATCAGATTAAGGAGATTTTGGGCTGAGACAATGGGGTTTTCTAGATATACAATCATGTCATCTGCAAACAGGGACAATTTGACTTCCTCTTTTCCTAATTGAATACCCTTTATTTCCTTCTTCTGCCTAATTGCCCCGGCCAGAACTTCCTATGTTGAATAGGAGTGCTGAGAGAGGGCATCCCTGTCTTGTGCCGGTTTTCAAAGGGAACTCTTCCAGTTTTTTCCCATTCAGTATGATATTGGCTGTGGGTTTGTCATAGATAGCTATTATTATTTTGAAATACGTCCCATCGATACCTAATTTATTGAGAGTTTTTAGCATGAAGGGTTGGGCATGGGCAAGGACTTCATGTCTAAAACACCAAAAGCAATGGCAACACAAGACAAAATTGACAAACGGGATCTAATTAAACTAAAGCGCTTCTGCACAGCAAAAGAAACTACCATCAGAGTGAACAGGTAACCTACAAAATGGGAGAAAATTTTCACAACCTACTCATCTGACAAAGGGCTAATATCCAGAATCTACAATGAACTCAAATAAATTTACAAGAAAAAAACAAACAACCCCATCAAAAAGTGGGCGAAGGACATGAACAGACACTTCTCAAAAGAAGACATTTATGCAGGCAAAAAACACATGAAAAAATGCTCACCATCACTGGCCATCAGAGAAATGCAAATCAAAACCACAATGAGATACCATCTCACACCAGTTAGAATGGCAATCATTAAAAAGTCAGGAAACAACAGGTGCTGGAGAGGATGTGGAGAAATAGGAGCACTTTTACACTGTTGGTGGGACTGTAAACTAGTTCAACCATTGTGGAAGTCAGTGTGGTGATTCCTCAGGGATCTAGAACTAGAAATACCATTTGACCCAGCCATCCCATTACTGGGTATATACCCAAAGGATTATAAATCATGCTGCTATAGACACATGCACACGTATGTTTATTGTGGCATTATTCACATTAGCAAAGACTTGGAACCAACCCAAATGTCCAACAATGATAGACTGGACTAAGAAAATGTGGCACATATACACCATGGAATACTATGCAGCCATAAAAAATGATGAGTTCATGTCCTTTGTAGGGACATGGATGAAATTGGAAATCATCATTCTCAGTAAACTATCGCAAGAACAAAAAACCAAACACCACATATTCTCACTCACAGGTGGGAAATGAACAATGAGATCACATGGACACAGGAAGGGGAACATCACACTCTGGGGACTGTTGTGGGGTGGGGGGAGGGGGGAGGCATAGCATTGGGAGATATACCTAATGCTAGATGATGAGTTAGTGGGTGCAGCACACCAGCATGTCACATGTATGCATATGTAACTAACGTGCACAATGTTCACATGTACTGTAAAACTTAAAGTGTAATAATAAAAGAAAAAAAAGAAATACATTGGTTTGGTCTAGAAAAGTGGGACAACCCAAAGCTCGGGGTGTGAGAGGGACTTGCAGACTCTAGGTAAATTTAAACATTTTCTGGTTGATAATTCGATGAGTTTATCCAAAGACCTGGGATTGATAAGTAATATTCAGGTTAAGATAAAATGTTGTGGAGACCAAGGTTCTTTTGAAGTCTTATAATGGCTACCCTTAGAGAGAATAGATGACAAATGTTTTCTATTCGGACCTTAGAAAAGTACTAGACACTTAATTCATCTCTTCAGAATTGGGAGGGCCTGGAAGAAAAAGATATACCTATATTAATGTTCTTTACAGATGCAAATTTACCCCCACAAAGGACAGGGTTGCAAGGCCATTTTAAAATATGGGAAAGAAACATGTTTTGGGGTAAACCATTTTTACTTTCTTCTTTGTCACATAGTGTTATGCCGGAATCAGATCGGAAAGTAAGTCATGATATATAAGCTTAAATAAAAGCCATCTGATGAGAATTTGTGGTTTGTAGGGCATGAATCCCCAGACCTTTTAGATAGTAATTTGGGCAAGATTAAAAATTGGAGCTTAGTTCTCAGACCCACTCTTGGTGAAACGCATTATGTAGAATACATGTGCAGGCCAACACACAGCAGCAGGTCTCAGGCCATTTAGGAAGGCTCATTCCTAGAGTTGTCTAATTTGGCTATCTGTCAAGTTCCCAGGGTGCTAGGAAGTCTTATTTCTAACGTTCTCTGCTTTGATGGTAATAGTTTTAAACATTAGTGATTTGGATCATGGTGGGAGGACATGGTTTGATCCAATGCAATAGCCAATTATTTAAGGAGTGAGATGAAATCAATCCTATAGTTTAGTAAAAAAAAAAAAAAAAATTCAGATCAGATCTATTTTGTGAGCTATCATGATCTGGGTCTTTAACTGTGCCTTTTTCTTTTGCTGTATCTGGCATCACACTTACAGGATATGAATAATGCTAATATAGTAACAAATATTATAAAGATAGGGAAGATTAGGAATCCAAAAAGTTTATATGTAGAATCAGTGGCAGTAAACAAGTGAACTAGTCAGACAAAAACCCTGTATGAATTATCATTATATGATATGCATATTCTTTGATCAGTCTCACAATATGTTTACCTGCTTTACCAAGCATTATGTGACCTTATGATAACTCTTATTTGAGGGTTGTAGAACTAACATTAAATCAGAATCCAAGAAATTTAGTCTCTATTCTGACCAATTTATCTCCACACATGTATAAAATCCCAAGGAGGGTATAAATCTGAATGCAAGGAATGCAGAGTCCTCAGTGCCTAAATTGTTATAGGACTTGTTAAAAGTGGAGGAAACCATTGTTCCCACCACTTTTATATTGCACCATGTACTGGTATTTGGGAGAGAAGAGGAGGCTCAGTTACAAGAGAAGTCATATAATTCTATAGTGCATTTTTTTTTCCCTCAGTGGGACTCCCTATGGCAGAGGACCTTAATAATCAAAACATTTATAGCCAATTAATTTTTTAAAAACATATAGGAATGGATATGGATGAGCATTCATTTCTTCTGAAATGAATTTTTATTTAAGGAAAAAATAGCCAACAACAAAACCAAAATGCAGGCTGAGTAGAGTGGCTCACACCTGTAATCCTAGCACTTTGGGATGCCAAGGCAGGTGATCAATTGAGGTCTAGAGTTTGAGAGCAGGCAGCCAACATGGTGAAACCTCACCTCTATTAAAAATAAATAAAACTAGATGGGTGAGGTGGTGAGTGACTGTAATCCAAGATAATCAGAAGGCTGAGGCAGAATAATCCTTTAAACCTGGGAGCCAGAAGTTGCAGTGAGCCGAGATCACACCATTGCATTCCAGCTGGGGTGACAGAGCAAGACTGTCTGAAAAAAAAAAAAAAAAAAAAAAAAAAAAAAAAAAGCAAAGTTGCAAGACTAAATCATTTTCAACTTCTATGGGTTGGACTACTGTAAGCTTGGTTTCTGTTACAGACTTATAGCAATAAGCTATAAAAACTTAAGCATGTTCTGAAAAACAATTAAAAATAGTTGTATAGATAGATATATTTATCTTCACAACCTGTAATTGAACATATTATACCCAGGAGACTTTGTTACAAGGTATTTTTATCTTGTTAGTAAATACTTTTCTTTATTTCTGTAGTAAAGAGAAAATGTTTATGGTTGGAGTGGATGCAAAGTAATACATGAATTTAGAAGGAAACTAAACTTGTTTTGCCAGCTGTTTGGCCCTTTTTGTACCCCATTCTCAATTTGGAGAGTTTGACCTTGACCTAATTTGATTTCTCAAAACCAGCCCTTATAATCTCACCTGCCTACCTCCTCCATGATGGTCTCTGGGCCTAAAGGCAGGCAGCTTGTATAGTTCTGGCAGCAGAGGCATTAGCAGTGAAACACATGCAGGCCCAGTGGGATGTCAAATGAGGAATACTCATATCTTTGTTCTTTAGAACACCATGATTTTGATTTCCTTGGAAGTAAAACAAAAAGAGATAAATAACATTTATATTTGAACAATTACAAGGGTAATTCATATGTCAGAACAACAACAAAAAGGAACCTGTTCTATTAGTGAACCAACTAAAAATATGAGAAAAAAATGATAATGTGGTACATCCTAGAGGACTATTGTAGCCAATAAATAATAATTTAATCTGCACTCAAAAAAGTCAGGGCTGAAATCTAATATTAGGTATTATGCTTTTTCTTTGAAACAATTTCTTTAGCTGCTTTTTTTTTATTAAAGATAAAATTATAGCAAGGCCAATTTGTATGCAAGGTGAATTTCAGGCTTATTATGCTTGCCTGATTGTTTGCATAAAATGCAGCAATAATTCATCGGCCATATAGACTTCTTTTTAAAGTTGGCTTCACTGGAACTTTACATAAAAATAGGCCATTTTAGTTTAAGTCTTGGTAAAATAACAAGGGTCTCAATGTTTTTAACTGTTACTGAAATAATGCAGACAACTATACTTTCATAAAATTACAATCTGAATTTTGAGAACTCAAAAGGTAAATTTGCTTACAAAGACATAGTTTACCCAAATAACTTAAAAGAAAATGATTTTCTTCACCCTTCTTTAACCAGAGCAGCAGCTTTTAAAACAAGATGTTTGTTTACCTTAGAAATGCCATATACAAACTGAACAGGTCATCAGAGATGTTAGGCACTGTAGAATTTTGTTGCTTCTCACAGTTAGTCTTAGGAAAGAGGCCTAGGTAGAAAGATTTTATATAAACCATTTTCATTTTATTGTAAACCTTTTGGGAAACTTTGTTTGCATTAGCATAGGGTTAGGTTCAGTTAATATTTTATAGCAAGGCTGTAAATGCCACATGAAGTAGAAATAATCTAGTTCAGTTTTTGTTATTGAAAGGTATTCATAGTTTTTGCCAGCAGCCCTGAAAAAAGCTTCAGATAAAGGGCTATGCAATGGAGGATAATCCAACTAGCACTTCAGCTTTTATCCTCTATTTTGTGGGCTTAGGTAATTTACCAGTTCCCATTTAGCATGAGCAATTAACATTTCATAAAAGAAATTCATATACCTTCAGTTTAATAGTACTAGACAGGCGAAACATCCCCCAGTTAGATATAGTACCCATTTTCATAAGACTTTTAGGTAAAGGAGTCATATAGTTTGGCTGTCTCCCCACTAAATCTCAACTTTAATTGAATGTCTCAGAATTCCCATGTGTTGTGGGAGAGACCAAAGGGGAGCTAACTGAATCAAGAGGACTTCTTTTTCCCATGATATTCTTGTAATAATAAGTATATCTCATGAGATCTGATGGGTTTATCAGGGGTTTCCACTTTCTTCTTCCTCATTTACTCACTGCCACCATGTAAGAAGTGCCTTTTGCCTCCTGCATTGATTCTGACACTTCCTCATCCACATGGAACTGTAAGTTAAATTAAAACTCTTTTTCTTCCCAGTCCCAGGTATATCTTTATCAGCAACATGAAAACAGATTAATGAAAGTAGTTACAAACACCTTATATAAAACTTGTTTAAACACCTTAAATTATGTAATTCTATTACAGTATACTTTTTTATGTTCTGGTTTCAGGAACCCTTTTTAGGAGACTGTTTTAACTTTTCTGGTGAAAGAGGTTTTGGTTCACAACAGGGAGTTGCGTCTGTAGGACCTGTGAGGGACAGCAAATTTGATAAAGCTTCTTAAACACTCCTGTGATTCTGAGGGAAAGATACCAATGTAAAAGTGGCCCCCTTAACCTGAAATTTACCATGACCTTCACAATAAGAATATCTGGTGAAAGGATATCCAAGTTATCATAAAGCTAGTCCAACGTGGCTTGCGTAAGAAGCATATTAACTGCTTTGTCTGGGGTGGTCCACTTTGTATTTTATACAGAGTTGTACAGTTCCCTTATGAGGTCAAACAAACCTTACAATGGCATTATGTGACCCACTAGGCTGATTGCTTTCTCAGGAATAAGCCCCTGTGAATTTTTAACACATATACTTACTGATTGTTCATTAATAAGCTGTGGTTCCTGCCTTAATCCAAACAAGCGCTTTAATTCTATAGCATTTTCAATTAAAAATTTTGTCTTTTAAGTGGTTATTTTTATCATCCCCTATAGTAAAAATTTTTTAAAGAAGCTGAATGATTCCAGTCTATAAAATGAAATAATTACTTTACATTACACCCCCTAGCTTTTTATTTTTATTTTTATTTTTTTATTTTTTATTTTTTTATTTTTTGAGATGGTGTCTAGTTCTGTAGCCAGGCTAGCGTGCAGTGGCATATCTCAGCTCACTGTAACCTCTGCTTCCCACGTTTAAGTGATTCTACTGCCTCAGCCTCCCAAGTTGCTGGGATGACAGGCACACACTGCCATTCCCACCTAACTTTGGTATTTTTAGTAGAGAGGGAGTTTCACCATATTGGCCAACATGTTCTTGATCTCCTGATCTTGTGATAGGCCCATCTTGGCCTCCCAAAGTTCTGGGATTACAGGCATGAGTCGCTATGCCTAGCCCACCCTGTGGCTTTTAATGGTTACTTAGTTTTACCCTTCCCCCTACTATTTTTTTGGTAAACACGGGGGCTCAGAGTTATTAAAAAATCCACTCATTTTTTCTGTATAATTTCCTTCATATAAAGCATCACAAATAGTTTCTTAACAAACACAATTCTGTGTTTTATAAAATTCTAGAAAAAAGCGTATTTTATGCTCCTACTATTTTAACTTTCTAGTAACCTTTCCAGTCATGGGGGATCTCAAGGGTTTAACATGACTTTAAGAATTTAAACTACTAGAAAATTTTGAGATGAAATTTACAAAGATTAACAAGACCATGTTAATTAATAGCTTCTACCAATCTGATAGGCATTTACTTTTGTTTAAAGATGCTTGATTAAAGCTCTTTCACATAGTTTGGTAGTGAAGTATCACTTCCACATGACACATAAAGATAGAGATATAACAGGGATGTAGAATTAAAAGACAGGTCAAAAAGCTATTTTATTTGCCTGCTTTCAAAAAAAATCTTTCACTTTAGATAATTAATAATAGCTACATGAGCCCACAATAGGTGAAGGAGAGAGCAATTATTCAAGTCCTTTTCAAAACAGAAAAAGGTGAACTTCTGAGATATCAATCTGAAGAATATTAAAGATACAGACTATAGAGTATTAAAATATAAAAATCTTGCATTAAGTCAAATATTTTAATAAAATCTGGTTTTAACTAATTTTTTCATTTCGTATTAGTGTACTTTTATTTTTTAGTATTAAAGGCCCATCTCTAGAAATAACTATTTCACTTTCTTCTTAATCATGGCCAACTAAATTATACAACACCCTTAAAAACACCTTTTACTGGCTGGGCTCAGTGGCTTATGCCTGTAATCCCAGCACTTTTGGAGTCTGAGGTCAGTGTATCACCTGTGGTCAGAAGTTTGAGACCAAGACGGCCAACATGGTGAAACCCTGTCTCTACTAAAAATACAAAAAATCTGTACGATGTGGTGGCATATGCCTCTAATCCCAGCTACTCAAGAGGCTGAGGCAGGAAAATCACTTAAATCTGGGAGGCAGAGGTTGCAGTGAACTGAGATTGCACAATTAAACTCCAGTCTGTGCAACAAGAGAGAAACTCTGTCTCAAAAAAAAAAAAAAAACAAAAACAAAAATGTTTTTACTAACCTTATTGCAACTTACATAGACCATTCACAATGTGCTTAGAACTGATGTTCTCTTAAATAACCCTCTTTCCTGGGCAACCAATTCATTTTATTTTAAAACAAAAATTCACTACACAAGATTTTTTTAATATAACACAACTTTTATTTTTACCTTCTTCAACAAAACTCCTCCATATATTTATAACTCATCCACATATTTATATCTCTTATTTTCTGATTAATTACATGTCCTATATATAATTTAAATATACCTTGAGTTAGACAGAGATATTTTACCTTTAATAAGAACACTTTAAAAAAGTGTTTTTCTATAATTTTATACTGGAAATTATCCAGATACATAATATCAAATAATAGCCTTTGATCCTAAATTATGACAAGTTTGTTTATAGCATTTAGTTTTTTACATTTGTTATAGGAGTTACTAAGCAATTATTTTAGGCTGGGTATGATGGTTCAGGTCTGTAATCCCAGCATTCTGAGACGCTTTGGTGGGTGGATCACCTGATGAAAGGAGTGTGAGATCAGCCTGGCCAACATGGTGAAACCCCATCTCTACTAAAAATACAAAAAATTAGCCATGCATGGTTGTGGGTGCCTGTAATCCCAGCTACCTGGGAGCCTGAGGCAGGAGAATTACTTGAGCCCATGAGGCAGAGGTTGCAGTGAACCATAACCTTGCCATGCGTTCCTGACTGGACAAGAGTGAGACTGCATCTCAAAAAATAATAATAATAAAATAAAAAAAAAAGAGGAATAAGAAGAAATTATTTTAGGCAGATAGAGAGGAAAAGGAGTCCTTGGGTACTTTTTGTTCCTTTTAAAGCAGCTCCAGAAGTGTTTCTTGTCTAGCTGCAAAGCCCAGGCTCTTAGAGCCAGGCAAGTAAGTTTTGATAAGCAGATGCTGGCCATTAGAAACTGGGTCCATCCAAACATGCTGACTCCTGCTGTCTTCTCTTTGGCCTTGCCCCAACATATGCCTGGCAACATAGTGGCCACCATACATACCCACGTCAGTAGAACACCTTGGTGCCCTGCATTTCCATACTAAAAGGTTAGAGAGTGAGGGACTGTTTTTTTGCAGGCTACGTGAAAGACATGCCTGGTCAAAACAATCCCCGGAGCCCTATGGAAATCAGACACCACCTCTTCCAGCCATCTCATATAAGCAGCCACATTTCTGCCACACATAGGGGTTTTCTCTCTGTTTGAATTCCCCCTCCTTATGCCTCTATACTGGGCCGTTGTTTTCTTCTTCCTTCTTTCTTTCTTGCCTACTAAACATTTTGCTCCTTGAAACCACTACATGTATGTCCTTGTCATTTTATCCAAACTGGAATGAGATAAAGGGACCTTGTGTTCCTCCAGTGATTGGAGCTATATCATTTGGTTGCATGTTCTGGGAATCTGAAGTACAGCCTTCAACAGAGCAAAACATATGGGAGTGAGGATAAAATATGTCCTATCATTCAGTAGTGCCTTTAGCGTCTATATTAAAATAAATCAAATCAATAAGCATCCATCAGCCTGGTACATACACTTAGTATTGGCTGCTATGCTAAAGACTCAGATGTGAGGTTTGCTGAGGAGAAGGTGGAGAAACCTCCATTACCAATGGGTATTGGGAATGTTGACCATGTTTGAGCTAGCTTCTTTTCATGGGGAGATCTTGCCATTGCAGGAGGCTGGGAAACGTTTTGAGGCAACTGAGAATTTCTGGCCAGGGAGCATTCTGGCATAATTCGAGGCCTCTGGACTGGACAAACCCTTCAACAGCCCATTACTGGTGTTGGCAGAAAATCCTCAACCATTCTATTGCAAATATCTCCTTCCTTAGGAGAGGGAGACACACAAAAAAAACTCTTCAATAAATCAATGAATCCAGGAGCTGGCTTTTTGAAAAGATCAACAAAATTGATAGAATTCTAGGAAGACTAACAACAAGGAAAAGAGAGAAGAATCAAATACACCCAATAAAAAATGATAAAGGACATATCATCACCAATCCCACAGAAATACAAACTACCTTCAGAGAATACTATAAACATCTCTATGCAAATAAACTAGAAAATCTAGAAGAAATGGATAAATTCCTGTATACATACATACTCTCAATCTCTGAATAGACCAATAACAGGCTATTGGTCTGTTGAAATTGGTCTATTGAAATTGAGGCAATAATTAATAGCCTACCAACCATAAAAGCCCAGAACCAGATGGATTCACAGCTGAATTCTATCAGATGTAGAAAGAGGAGCTGGTACTCTTCCTTCTGAAACTATTCCAATTAATAGAAAAAGAGGGAATCCACCCTAACTCATTTTATCAGGCCAGCATCATCCTGATACTATAGCCTGGCAGAGACACAACAAAAAAAGAGAATGGTAGGCCAATACCCCTGTGAAAATATCAATGTGAAAATTCTCAGTAAAATACGGGAAAACCAAATCAAGCAGCACATCAAAAAGCTTATCCACCACAATAAAGTCAGCTTCATCCCTGGGATGCAAGGCTTTTTCAAGATACACAAACCAATCAATGTAATCCATCACATAAACAGAATCAAAGACAAAAACCACTATTATCTCGATAGATGCAGAAAGGCCTTCAACAAAATTCCATAGCCCTTCATGCAAAGAACTCTTAACGAACCAGTCGTTGATGGAATATATCTCAAAATAATAAGAGCTATTTAAGACAAACCCACCGACAATATCATACTGAACGGGCAAAAACTGGAAACAATCCCTTTGAAAACAGGCACAAGAAAAGGATGCCCTCTCTCACCACTCCTATTCAACATAATGTGGGAAATTCTGACCAGGGCAATCAGGCAAGAAAAAGAAATAAACTATTCAATTAGGAAAAGAGGAAGTCAAATTATCTCTGTTTGCAGATGACATGATTGTATATTTAGAAAACCCCATCATCTCAGCCCAAAATCTCTTAAACTGATAAGCAACTTCAGCAAAGTATCAGAAAAAAATAAATGTGCAAAAATCACAAGCTTACCAATACACCAATAACAGACAAATGGACAGCCAAATCATGAGTGAACTCCCATTCACAATTGCTACAAAGAAAATAAAATACCTAGGAATCCAACTATGGTGAAAATTGTCATACTGCCCAATGTAATTTATAGATTCAATGCCATTCCCATCAGGCTACCAATGACTGGAAAAAACTACTTTAAATTTCATATGGAACCAAAAAAGAGCCCACATAGCCAAGACAATCCTAAGCAAAAAGAACAAAGCTGGGGACATCATGCTACCTGACTTCAAACTATACTACAAGGCCATAGAAACCAGGACGGCATGGTACTTGTACCAAAATAGGTAAATAGACCAATGGAGCAGAACAGAGCCCTGAGAAATAACACCACACATCTACAACCATCTAATCTTTGACAAACCTGAGAAAAACAAGCAATGGGGAAAGGATTCCCTATTTAATAAATGGTGCTGGGAAAACTGGCTAGCCATATGTAGAAAGCGGAAACTGGATCCCTTCCTTACACCTTATACAAAAAGAGAAATGCAAATCGAAACCACAATGAGATACCATTTCACACCAGGTCGAATGGCGATCATTAAAAAGTCAGGAAACCACAGATGCTGGAGAGGATGTGGAGAAATAGGAATGCTTTTACACTGTTGGTAGAAGTGTAAATAAGTTCAACCATTGTGGAAGACAATGTGGCGATTCCTCAAGGGTCTAGAACTAGAAACACCTTTTGACCCAGTGATCCCATTGCTGGGTATATACCCAAAGGATCATAAATCATCCTAGTATAAAGACATATGCACACGTATGTTTACTGTGGCACCATTCACAATAGCAAAGACATGGAACCAACCCAAATGTCCATCAATGATATACTGGATTAACAAAATGTAGCAGCTGCATGTTGTCACTCATAGGTGGGAACTGAAAAATGAGAACGGTTGGACACAGGGTGGGGAACATTGCACACGGGCCTGTCCAGGGGTGAGAACTGGGGGAGGGTTAACATTAGGAGAAATACCTAAGTTAAATGCTGCGTTGATGGGTGCAGCAAACCAACATGGCACATCTATACTTATGTAATGAACCTGCACATTGTGCAAATGTACCCCAGAACTTAAAGTGTGTGTGTCTGTATATATATATTATATATAATATATATAAAATTATACATATTATATAATATAAATTATATATATATTATATTATATTATAACATAATGTGTATTATATATAATATAATTATATATAAATATATAATATATAATATAATATATAAATAATATACATTATAAAATATATATTTTATTTTATTTTTATATTGTGTAAATATATATTATATAAATACATATTATATTATATTTTATATATATATAACAGCCTCTTACTCTTTCTGTGTGTGAAATGTGCAAGTAGCTTTACAGTCTAGGGACAGTTTTCATCCCTTTGCAGCGAAGATCCTCACTACCACTTCTCTGGTGACCACATATTTTTAATCCAACACTGCCACTTATTGGAAATGGAATTCCCTTACATGAGGCACACTTTTCAAAGTGACATAGCAGCTTCCTTTTACACTGTGAGGAATCAGGCTCTATTCAGAGATTCAACTTCTTCCTGGTTTAGTCTTGGGAGGGTGTATGTGTCAAGAAATTTGTCCATTTCTTCTAGATTTTCAGTTTATTTGTGCAGAGGTTTTTATAGTATTCTCTGAAAGTAGTTTGTATTTCTCTGGGATCAGTGGTGATATCCCCTTTATCATTTTTTATTGTGTCTATTTGATTCCTCTCTTTTCTTCTTTATTAGTCTTGCTGATAGACCAATAACAGGCTCTGAAATTGAGGAAATAATTATTAGCTTACCAACCAAAAAAAGTCCAGGACCAGATGGATTCACAGCCAAATTCTACCAGAGGTACAAGGAAGAGCTGGTACCGTTCCTTCTAAAATTATTGCAATCAATAGAAAAAAGAGGGAATCATCCTAACTCATTTTATGAGGCCAGCATCGTCTTGATACTAAAGCCTGGCAGAGACACAACAAAAAAAGAGAATTTTAGACCAACATCCTTGATGAAGATTGATGCAAAAATCCTCAATAAAATACTGGGAAACCAAATCCAGCAGCACATCAAAAAGCTTATCCACCATGATCAAGTGGGCTTCATCCCTGGGATTCAAGGCTGCTTCAACTTATGCAAATCAATAAATGTAATCCAGCATATAAACAGAACCAAAGACAGAAATCACTTGATTATCTCAAGAGATGCAGAAAAAGCCTTGACAAAATTCAACAACGTTTCATGCTAAAAATTCTCAATAAATTAGGTATTGATGGGATGTAAATCAAAATAATAAGAGCTATCTATGACAAACCCACAGCCAAAATCATCCTGCATGGGCAAAACCTGGAAGCATTCCTTTCGAAAACTGGCACAAGACAGGGATGCCCTCTCTCACCACTCCTATTCAACATAGTGTTGAAAGTTCTGGCCAGGGCCATGAGGCAGGAGAAGGAAATAAAATGTATTCAATTAGGAAAAGAGGAAGTCAAATTATCCCTGTTTGCAGATGACATGATTGTATATCTAGAAAACCCCATTGTCTCAGTCCCAAATCTCCTTAAGCTGATAGGCAACTTCAGCAAAGTCTCAGGATACAAAATCAATGTGGAAAAATCACAAACATTCCTATACACCAATAACAAACAGAGAGCCAAATCATGAGTGAACTCCCATTCACAATTGCTTCAAAGAGAATAAAATACCTAAGAATCCAACTTACAGGGACATGAAGGACCTCTTCAAGGAGAACTACAAACCACTTCTCAGTGAAATAAAAGAGGATACAAACAAACGGAAGAACATTCCATGCTCATGGGTAGGAAGAATCAATATCATGAAAATGGCCATAGTCCCCAAGGTAATTTATAGATTCAATGCCATCCCCATCAAGCTACCAATGATTTTATTCACAGAACTGGGAAAAACTACTTCAAAGTTCATATGGAACTAAAAAAGAGCCCGCATTACCAAGTCATTCCTGATCCAAAAGAACAAAGCCGGAGGCATCATGCTACCTGACTTCAAAGTACACTACGCAATACCATTCAGGACGTAGGTATGGACAAGGACTTCATGTCTAAAACACCAAAAGCAATGGCAACAAAAGCCAAAATTGACAAATGGGATCTAATTAAACTAAAGAGCTTATGCACAGCAAAACAAACTACTACCAGAGTGAACAGGCAACCTACAGAATGGGAGAAAATTTTTGCAATCTACTCATCTGACAAAGGGCTAATATCCAGAATCTACAATGAACTCAAACAAATTTACAAGAAAACAAACAACTCCATCAAATAATGGGCAAAGGACATGAACAGACACTTCTCAAAAGAAGACATTTATGCAGCCAAAAAACACATGAAAAAATGCTCATCATCACTGGCCATCAGAGAAATGCGAATCAAAACCACAATGAGATACCATCTCACACCAATTAGAATGGTAATCATTAAAAAGTCAGGAAACAACAGGTGCTGGAGAGGATGAAGAGAAATAGGAACACTTTTACACTGTTGGTGGGACTGTAAAATAGTTCACCCATTGTGGAAGTTGGTGTGGCAATTCCTCAGGGATGTAGAACTAGAAATACCATTTGCGCCAGCCATCCCGTTACTGGGTATATACCCAAAGGATTATAAATCATGCTGCTATAAAGACACATGCACACATGTTTATTGCAGCACTACTGACAATAGCAAAGACTTGGAACCAACCCAAATGTTCAACAATGATAGACTGGACTAAGAAAATGTGGCACATATACACCATGGAATACTATACAGCCATAAAAAAGATAAGTTCATGTCCTTTGTAGGGACATGGATGAAGCTGGAAACCATCATTCTCAGCAAACTATTTCAAGGACAAAAAACCAAACATCACATGTTCCCACTCATAGATGGGAATTGAACAGTGAGAACACATGGATGCACGAAGGGGAACATCACACACTGGGGCCTGTTGTGGGGTGGGGGGTGGGGGGAGGAATAGCATTAGGAGATATACCTAATGTTAAATGAAGTGTTAATGGGTGTAGCACACCAGCGTGGCAAGTGTATACATAAGAAACTATCCTGCACGTTGTGCACA
Organism: Homo sapiens; assembly: GCF_000001405.40. NCBI lineage: Eukaryota > Metazoa > Chordata > Mammalia > Primates > Hominidae > Homo > Homo sapiens. Next base: position 20,890,790 of record NC_000024.10, read on the forward strand.
TGTACCCTAAACCTTAAAGTATAATTAAAAAAAAGAAAGAAAGAAAAAAAAGAAATCAGGCTCTAGGCCACTTTTCAGAACAGGAAATTTCTACTTTTAACAGTTAAATGTAAAATGTCTTCCGTGACCAGATTTTCTTCCTGATATATCCCATCAGTAGGAAAATGGACATTTGGCTTCTAAATGCTTTTGAGACACCTATTCTAAGCAGTATTTAAGTAGTACAGGAATTTTTATTTTGTAAGTTAATCAGAACTATTTTTTTTGTTTTGTTTTTGAGATGGAGTCTCACTCTTGTCACCCAGACTGGAGTGCAGTGGTGCGATGTTGGCTTACTGTAACTTCTGTCTCCTGGGTTCAAGTGATTCTCTTGCCTCAGCCTCCTGAGTAGCTAGGGTTACAGGGGCCAACCACCATGCCTGGTTAGTTTTTGTACTTTAGGTAGAGATGGGTTTCATCATGTTGGCCAGGCTGGTCTTGAACTCCTGACTTCAGTTGATCCAGCTACTTTGCCCTCCCAAAGTGCTGGAACTACAAGTGTGAGCCACTGGACCTGGCCAATAACTACTTTTTTTAAGTGCAGTTCTAACCTGCCCAACAAAACAGGCAATAATAAACTACAGGTCTCCATCTTGTTTCACGTACTTCGGAAAGTGAACTGTAACCATGTGGCAACACCATAGTCTCTGCCATTTTATAATGGTGGCTGTCTTCTTGTGCTAAGTCAGTTCCTTGGGGAGGGCCACAAAATCAGATAAGCCAGTTCATTAGTCTGGTGGTGTTACCTGATCCTTCACGGGCGGGGGTTTACAAGCTATCTTAAGTAATAATCTTGAGAGCAGTTTAGGGAGGGTTAAAATCTTGTAGCCTCCACCTGCATGACTCATAAGGCATGGTTTCTAATCTTAAGGCTAGTTTCTTGGTCTGGTCCCCAGGCAAAATAAAAGTGTATCTTAAAAAGAGGCTGTTATCGTCTTTGTTGTAGTCTATAAATTGTAAACCAGGCTCCTTCCAAAGTTGCTGTAGCCTATGCTCAGAGGTGGAGAAGAATGGCTTGAGGGCTGCAAACAAGAGGGAATTGTTTGGGTTGGATGTGTTTCACTGTCTCAGTCACAATTTTTCAATGACAGTTTCAAAAGCTGCCTATAGCTTCTTTAAAAATACCTGTACCCCTTGTGACTTTTGTGGTTAAGTCACAACCTAATTAAGGCTTGTCAGTTTCATTAAGGCTTGTCAGTTTCATTAAGGCTTGTGAGGTTACTTTTTGTAAAGTTCAAAATCTGAAAATCTTTGTTGCTTGGCATGGGTAAAGTTGAGTAACAAGGGATTTAACAGAATTTTCTTAAAGAATACTCAGCTTAATTAAAAGTGAATATTCAAATTATAGCTATATTTAAAAGACCTTTATATTTTTCTCTTGGATCTTGTTTTTCTGGAAAAAGTCTGTTTTCTTCTCAGTCAACTGAATTATTTTTTCCATTTTTGTCTTACCAATGAATGCATACATGAGAGGTCACAAGATAACTTCTCGTAACATGGGACTCCTTGGGAAAAACAGACGGTGCCACAGACACTGTTTTTGGAAAAAAAAATCTCTGTTTTCCTCAGAAAACCTCCAAAATTAGAAGAAGATAATTCCTTCAAAAAAATCAAAGGCTCTATTAAGCTTTGTGTTATTTACCATTTAGAGTCTTGGGGGTACCAAATTACTTCACATTATGAAAGACTGGGGTGTGTAATAACTAGGTAGAAAATATACTTAAGAGATGGCTAATAGTAGTTATAAATCAGAGAAGCATGCTCTTGGCTACCTGAAAGACATGAAAAATATTTCCCACTAAGAGATGAGACTCCCATGGGGAAAGGGCTAATTATAAAATAAACTGAGTGACTTTGGGTTGCCTTGCAATGAAATGCATGGTAGAGGGACTACACTGTCTTCTCCCATAGTATCTCCCACCTTTTGGGGACCTGAGATCCAGTATAAAATGACACCTTAATTTTAGGAATCTGCCTTTGTCTTCAGCTGAGCCTGCTTATCATGCCCTAAAAATGCGTATTATTTAGTTCCTTCCTCCAAGGGCTCCACCCTAAAGCCAGCAATTCAATTAAGAAGTTGTAAAATGAAAATTCTTACAATTGTTGAATCTTGTGTCTGTTTCTGTTGCTATATGTATGTTTTGTGTAATGTGTATTACAAAAAGCTCTAATTTATTGGTTTAGGGGAAAACAAGGACTTAAATTAAATATTTTTTAGTTCCTGTGAATTTAAGATACAAAAATGTTCTTCAGGATTATTGGTAAAATGCAAGTGTTGTCAAAATGCAAATAGGTGGTCTAAATCATGCAACTTAGATACTAGGTTTTCTAAATGTTCCAAAGTTGTATACTGCGTGCTTTACAAATAGATAAGGCCTAAGACACATGGAGCTAGATGTTGTAAATTCAGACATTATTAGCAATTCTGCCTGGGTCCTTGGAGCCAGAACTGGTACATAATTAAAATAGCTTACTAATCAGGTTTTTCACCAAAAACAAAAGTTGCTAAAGGTTAACAGTGCAACATGTATTTGAGATTATGAAACAGTTTTACATGCAAGACATATAAAAAAGTAAAATTTGTTTTTTAGTAAATGATTATAAGAAAGCATGGAAATATAAATTTTTCCCTATGATGAGGAATTATGTTAAACTTGATGAAATAGAAGTAGATGTTTAAGCAAGTTACAGAAAGATTGTAAAACTAATCTTGCAAAAAATGTGTAAACATTAACTAAACACAAAAGAGTATTATATGGTCTTTTCATAAATTGACCACTGAAAGAAAAGCACAGCAAGGAGATCTTAAGACACAGAATTTTCATGGCATACTAAAGGCTAATGGAAGATTTTTGCCTTTTGAGTCATCATTTTGGCAAAATAAGTAATTTATCACAATCTGGAATTTTATTTCATAACATCAAGTGTCTTAAACTTCTAACACTTAACAGGTGTCCCAATATAAAACTTCAAATTTCAAAATTGTCCTTCCTGATGCCTGGAATTTTGGGTTCTTCAGAGGGCCCAAGAAACATTCAGAAAAGAGATAAACAGTATTATTTGACATGTTTAGTCACATGAAATTGCCAAACAATTTCTAATCTTTAAGTTATATCTTCTTGAATAATACCAATACATGTTCTAAAATCATATGGGATTGTAAAATTATAATGTCTAAAATGATAATGTCTAAGTATATGCTCTCAATTTTAATTAAGAGTAAAGGTATTGTAAATCACAGAGATATATAAACATATTTGTCAGTCATGCTTTTAACTGTAAGTTTCCTGAAAATTTTGTCATTCATAGACAATTGTTGTCTTCCTTTGTTCCATCTTAAAAGATGGTTTATAATCAAGCTATATTAAGGACTTCAAGAGGTGTTCTCAAATGAAAGTTTTTATTAGTTTTGAAGATTGTAACATTGGAATAGAGAAAAAAACTACAGGACTCATGAAGAACTGACATGTTTACAAATATCAAGCAAAGCAAGAGTTAACTAAATGGACTTTTAGTTTTTAAATGACATTTGCTGGGAATATTGCTGACCCTTGTTTTGTTTTTCAGAGTCAAGGAAATTTATTTTGAACTGTTTATGGCCTTTAATAATTGAATAAGGGATACTCCTGTGAACAAAATTTGAAGCATGTTTTTTTTTCTTTGCCTGATTCCTCTAGAATTTGGAATCTGTGAGTACTCTTAACCTATGGCAATATAGTTTTTTGCATCAGAGCAATTAGAATCCGTTTTTCCTTTTTCAACAGGACACTAGTGGAAAAACGGGTTATTTTACCAAGGCTTTGACTGAAAGGCCATACTGCCTTTCAAGGAATCAAGCTTTATATGCAGAGCCAATAAAAGCCACTTGGGGAGAGCTGGCCTCATACCTTGTCTACACAGTGCCCACTTACGGTTTCTAATCTGTGTCAGTAAAGAAAGTCACTTTCTAACACGTCCAGAATCTCCAAGTTTATCTTGGGAATCTCAAGAGGAAAGAATCACCCAACTCAGGTATTTGGGGATACAAACCCATGGCTGGACTTGGCTTTAAACGTCTTTTCTGAGATTCCTGTGGAACAGAGGTCCACCAAAGCCAATCCAAAGGCCTATGAAGAAATAACCATTCTTGCCTCACTTCATGCAAAAAATCAGGCCAAGTATAAGATATAAAGTTCATTCTGCAAACAACAAACATGGTCCTATCATAATTTGTTTTTACCAAAAATGAAAACTGGAGAGAGAAATTGTGCTCCAAAACTTATACATTTGCCATTGAATCCTAGTATCATTCATTGTTTTCAAGTATTTGCCTATATTTTAGACTCACTCTACTTATTCCTGCTAATCAAGTGGTGATCTCCTGCAGGTTGGAAGAAACAAAAAGGGTTGGGTAATGTAAAAATCTGGATCAATATGCTAGTTCTTGGCAATTATACTCCAAATTCTTCCAGGTAATGAAAGTGAGTAGGGTGCCAATAACCTGGAGGTTTTTTTGTTTGGGAAAATAAAACCAAGGAACTTCACAGTCAACAGTGGGAAATTCAGTATCTTGGCAAGTAAAATTGTAGATGGAAATTATCTCCTACATCAAACTTGTGAGAATTGCTGTACTCACTTTCCTGTTTGCAATAGGGTTACAGGCATTTAAAGATCAAATCAAAATTATTGAAAGGCTAAGGGAAAATGCAGCCTTCAGCCCCTGATGGCTACAATCTCTCTTTAATGAATTTCAGTCTCTTTATGAGATTGTTTACCCATTTGTTAATCCATCTCTTGCTTATATGTCTTATATTACTATATGAACCTGTGTGCTCAATACTATAACTTGAAATTGAATTGTCTCCTATCAACTAGAAGCAATCAAACTCTATCTGGTGCTGCAAACTGAACCACGTATGGACACACCATTCTTCTGAAGGTCCTTAGATCAGCCTCAGGGGGGTCCTAGCTGCTGTTCTCCATTCAACACCTCTTTCCAGCAGAAAGTAGTCAGAAAAAGTCATCTTCCCAAATCCCCTAACAGCAGTTAGCGTGATATCTTCATGGGAAAAATGTTATAGAAGTTATTAAGAAATTATTTCAGGCAGAGATTGGGGAAAGAGGTCCTTGGGAAGTTTTTGATTCTTTTACAGCAGCTCCAGAAGCATTTCTTGTCTAGGAGGAAATCCCTGGCTCTTAGAGCTGGCTGGCAAGTTTTGATATGCAAATGTTGGCCATTAGAAACTGAGTCCACCCAAACATGGTGATTCCTGCCATCTTCTTCTTGCCCTTGCCCCACATGTGCCTAGCAACATGGCACACCCCCGCATATCCCCACATGGGCAGAACATCATGGTGCCCTGCATTTGCATATTAAATTCTAGGGTGTGAAGGTCAATTTTTTTGCGGGCTTCATCAATAACAAGCCTGGTTAAACCAATATCCTGAGCCATATGCAAATCAGACACCACCTCCTTCACCCCTCTCATAGAAGAAGACACTTTTCTACCACAAATGGAGTTTTCTCTTTGTTTGAATCCCCATTCCTGTGTCCCTGTACAGGGCAGATGTTTTCTTCTTCCTTCCTTCTTTCTTGACTATTAAACTTTTCACTCCTTAAAACCACTGCATATGATGGGGTGATGGGTGCAGTAAACGCCATGGCACATGTATACCTGTTAGCCCTCTGAGCAAAGCTAAGGCATCATATCTCCTGTGACCTGCATGTATACATCCAGATGGCCTGAAGAAAGTGAAGAATCCCAGAAGAAGTGAAAATCGCTGGTTGCTGCCTTAACTGATGATATTCCACTATTGTGATTTGTTTCTGCCCCACTTCAACTGAGTGATTAACCTTGTGAAATTCTTTCTCCTGGCTCAGAAGCTCCCCCATTGAGCACCTTGTGACCCCCGCCCCTTCCTGCAAGAGAAAAACCCCATTTGACTGTAATTTTCCATTACCCACCCAAATCCTACAAGACAGCCCCACCCCTGTCTCCCTTCACTGACTCTCTTTTCAAACTCAGCCCGCCTGCACCCAGGTGATTAAAAAGTTTTTTTGCTCACACAAAGCCTGTTTGGTGGTCTCTTCACATGGACGTGCATGACATTTGGTGCAGAAACCTGGGACAGGAGGACTCCTTCAGGATACCAGTCCCCTGTCCTTGCCCTCATTCGCTGAGGAGATCCGCCTATGACCTTGAGTCCTCAGACAAACAAGCCCAAGGGACTTCTCACCAATTTCAAATCAGGTAAGTGGTCTTTTCATTCTCTTCTCCAGCCTCTCTCACTACCTTTCAATCTCACCCTCTCACTACCCTTCAATCTCTCTCTCCTTCCAACTCCAGTTCTTTTTCCCCTCTAGTAGAGACAAAGGAGACACATTTTACCCATGGATGCAAAACTTCGGCACCAGTCATGGTGTTTAATCACTGTGGGGATGCTGGCCTAATTATTCACCCACATTTCATTGGTGTCTGATCACCAGGGGATGTCTACCTTGGTCATTCACTCACATTCCCTTGGTGGCAAGTCAATTGCAGGGACGCCTACTTTGTTTGCTCACCCACATTGCAGACCAAGGCTGCTCACCACCCCCTTCTCTTTGTCTCTAACTTTCTATTTAAACTTACCTCCTTCATTATGGGAAATCTTCTGCCCTCCATTCACCCATCTTCTCCCTTGGCCTGTGCTCTTAGAAACCTAAAACCTCTTCAACTCACACCTGACCTAAAACCTAAAAGCCTTATTTTCTTCTTCAACACCACTTGGCCCCAATACAAACTTGATAATGACTGCAAATGGCCAGAAAATGGCACTTTCAATTTCTCCATCCTATAAGACCCAGATAATTTTTGTCAAAAAACGGGCAAATGGTCTGAGATGCCTTACATCCAGGCATTTTTTTTTTTTACACTTCATTCCCTTCCTAGTCTCTGTTCCCAGTGCAACTCATCCCAAATCCTCTTTCTTTCCCTCCCACCTGTCCCTTCAGTCCCAACCCCAAGCATCACTGAGTCTTTTGGATCTTCCTTTTCTACGGACCTCTCTGACCTCTCCCCTCCTCCCCAGGCTGCTCCTCACCAGACCAAGCCAGGTCCCAACTCCTCCTCATCCTCTGCTCCTCCTCCCTGTAATCCTTCTATCCCCTCCCATCCTCAAACCCTGTCTGACTTACAGTTTTGTTCCGTGACTCTCCCCCACCTGCCCAACCATTTCCTCTTAGAGGGTTGGCTGGAGCTGAAGGCATAGTCAGGGTACGTGTGCCTTTTTCTCCATCAGACCACTCTCAGATCAGTCAGTGTTTAGGCTCTTTCTCATCAGACACCACTAAATATATATAGGAATTCTGATATCTAACTCTGTCCTACAATTTATCCTGGAGTGACTTAAATGTCATCGTAACTTCTACTCTCTTGCCAGATGAATGGGAAATAGTTTTTTTCTCTGACCCAATCTCATGTTGACAGCTGCTGGCTCCATGAGCCAGACCTCTGGGAAGGCATTAGAGCAGTTCACTGAGAGGATCCCTAACGGAACTATCAGATTCCCCAGGTATAGCTAGGTGAGATTACATGATTTCCTGCCTAGTTGAAAGGCTTAAAATGGCAGCTTACAAAGCTGTTAATTATGACAAGCTTAAAGAAACTACCCAAGGTAAAGACAAAAATCCAGCCCTGTTCATGGCCCACTTAACAGCAACCCTTAGATGCTTTACCACGCTAGACCCAGAGGGGCCAGAAGGCTGCCTTATTCTTAATATGCATTTTATCACCCAATCTGCTCTTGACATTAGGAAAAACCTCTGAAAATTGGATCCTGACCCTAAAATCCAACAATAGAACTTAATTACCCACATCTTTAAGGTGTGCAATGATAGAGAAGAGGCAGCCAAGTGACAACACATCTCTGAGTTACAGCTGCTTGCTTCTGCTGTAAGACAACCCACAACCAGGTGTCCAGTGTAGAAAAAATTCAGAACATCCAAGCCACAGCTCCCAGGTACTCCTTCAAAACCTCCACATGGACATTGCTTCAAATGGGAAAAACCTGGCCACTGGGCCTTAGAATGCCCATAGCCCAGGATTCCTCCTAAGCTGTGCCCTGTCTGTGCAGGCCCCCACTGGAGTGTGGACTGTCTGACTCACATTGCTGATGCTTCTAAAGCTCCTGGAGCCTAAACCCAAAATTCCTTGGCTGACTCTATCCCAGATTCCCTCAGCTTAGCAGCTGAAGAATCACACTGCCCAATCACCTTGGAAGCCCCCGGACCATCACGGATGCTGAGCTTTTGGTAACTCTTACGGTGGAGGGTAAATCCATCCCCTATTTAATCGATACAGGGGCTACCCACTCCACATTACCTTCTTTTCAAGGGTCTGTTTCCCTTGACCCCATAACTGTTGTGGGTGTAGACAACCAAGCTTCAAAACCCCTTAAAACTCCCCAACTCTTGTGCAGACTTAGACAGCATTCTTCTATGCACTCTTTTTTAGTTATCCCCACCTGCCCAGTTCCCTTATTAGGCCAAGACATTTTAACCAAATTATCTGCTTCCCTGATTATTCCTGGACTACAGCCACATCTCATTGCTACCCTTCTAGCCAAACCAAAGCCTCCTTCGTGTCTTCCTCTTGTACCCCCCGACCTTAACCTACAAGTGTGGGACACCTCCACTCCCTCTCTGGCAACCAATCACAGGCCCATTACTATCCCATTAAAACCTAATCACCCTTACCCAGCTCAATGCCAGGATCCCATCACACAACAGGTTCTTAGGGGATTGAAGGCTGTTGTCTCTTGCCTGCTACAGCATGGGCTTCTAAAACCTAAAAAGTCTCCTTGCAATTCTTCCATTTTCCCTATTCAAAAACTGGACAAGTCTTACAGGTTATTTCAGGATTTGTGCCTTATCATCTAAATTGTTTTGCCTAACCACCCTGTGGTTCCCAACTCATACACTCTTTTGTCCTCAATATCTTCCTCCACAACTATTCCATTCTTGACCTTAAAGATGCGTTTTTTGCTATTCCCCTGCACCCGACATCCCAGCCTCTCTTTGCTTTTACCTGGACTGACCCTGACACCCCTCAGTCCCTCAGCTTACCTTGGCTGTATTGCCACAGGGTTTCAGGGATAGCCCTCATTACTTCAGCCAAGCTATTTCTCATGATTTACTTTCTTTCCACCTATCTGCTTCTCACTTTATTCAATATATTGATGACCTCCTACTTTGTGGCCTCTCCTTTGAATATTCTTGATGGCAGTTCCACCAGGCCTAATCACCACTCACCAGAAAGGCAGGCTATGCCATAATATCTTCCACATCTATCATTGAGGCTACTGCTTTGCCCCCCTCTACTAGCTCTCAGAAAGCCAAACTCAATGCCTTAACTCAAGCCCTCACTCTTTCAAAGGGACTATGCATCAATATTTATACTGATTCTAAATATGCCTTACATATCCTGCACCACCATGCTGTTATATGGGCAGAAAGAGGTTTTCTTACTATCTAGGGTCCTCCATTATTAATGTCTCCTCAATAAAAACTCTTCTCAAGCCCACTTTACTTCCAAAGGAAGCTGCAGTCATTCACTGCAAGGGCCATCAAAAGGTATCAGATCCCATCATTCTGTACTCTTCAATAGAATGAAGGGTATACATCCCTTCATTCTATTAAGTCTAGTCATCCTTGCCCTACTTTTTGCAACAGGGCTTTACACAGTCACTCCCACTATTTGGAATGCACCCCAAAAACTTGTCATCCCTAATATCTTCTGTCTAGTCATACTCCTATTCACCATTCTCAACTACCCATAAGTGCCCAGCCCTTGTTTACACTGCCAGTTTACAGTTTCTCCAAGCCATCACAGCTGATATCTCCTGGTGCTGTCCCCAAACTGCGACTCTTAACTCCCTTATAGAGTGGATAGATGATCTTTGCTGGCAGGGCACCCTCCAATACTTTCACCCTGATGAAGTTCTATTATTTGCTTGAGCTGAGTTTTTGCTTACTGTTCACCACTGCTGTTTGCTGCCATCACACATCCACCACTGACTTCCATCCCTCCAGATCTGGTGGGGTGTCCACTGTGCTTCTGTTCCAGTGAGGCATCCATTGCCACTCTGAATCAGGCTAAAGGCTTGCCATTGTTCCTGCATGGCTAAGTGCTTGGGTACATCCTAATCAAGCTGAGCACTAGTCACTGGGTTCCATGGTTCTCTTCTGTGACCCATGGCTTCTAATAGAGCTATAACACTCACCACGTGGCCCAAGATTCCATTCCTTGTAGTCTGTGAGGCCAAGTACCCCAGGTCAGAGAACACAAGGCTTGCCACCACCTTGGAAGTGGCCCGCCACCATCTTGGGAGCTCTGGGAGGAAGGAAGCCCCAGTAACAGTGGGCTTGGTTTTACAGTTTATAACCCTATGGTAAATCATAGTATTCTGCAGGAATAAACATAAGGCCACTTGGTTTAAAAAAAAAATGCTAGCAAAATGCTAATAATTTTTAAGACATTGCTAATACTATTTTACCAATAATTTTAAAGCCACTTTATTTATTAAATATTTTGCTTAAGTCACATAAACTTGAAAAATCATTTGACTAGACTTCCTTTAAATATCTGATTTAAGCACTTTTTTAAAGCCAACTAACTACAGCTGTTTTATATATTTTTAGTAGTGAAATACTGTGTATACAACACATAAATGCATAGATTTATTTAGGCATGCTGATAAAATACATCTTAGATTTATAAAGACTTCTTTTCTTCCTTTTTTCCTATCTTAGACTTTCAAATTGTTGATAACATGTTGCATCACCCTAGGCAGTTGTCAGCTAAATAGTACTGCATTTGCATATTAAAGAAATCAACTCAGGTGAATGTCAGATAGCAAAATTTACATCATAAGGTGGGGGAGAAAAAGTTTGGTGTGCTAGAGGGAAATTAAATTGGATTTAACTGCCAGCTGAACATAAAACTGTAGAAATTATTAAAAACCTTTTATTTATTTATTTATTTATTTATTTATTTATTTATTTATTGAGAGTTCATCTTGACTTTTATTACATACTAGACATATGAACTAACCAGAAATGTGAATGATTCTCTCTACTATTAAAATCGCAGGAAATATATTTCCACCTCCCCATTTTTTTCTGATATTGCAGTAGCATTTCAGATTTTGGGGATTAGTTCAGGGCAAAGTAGAATTCATGGAAGGCAGTGCATAAATAATTATGAAGCTACTTTTCTGAAACTAGTAGTGACTTACTTCATAATAATCACAAGGGTGTGCAGCATTCACAATGCTGCCACTAATCAACTACATATTTTGAACATCTACTGTTACTGGATACCAAAGAAAGTGAGATACTTAAGAATCTTCCAGTCTTGTTATAAGCTTCCTATGATCCACTAACTTCTCAAAGGCTTTACAAAGTGCAAAAGTCCTTGCTTTTTGGAATTTTTTTTTGTGCACCCAGGATGTATAAATGCAACCCTTTTTGCTTCTTGTGCAGGTGTGTGCTTTAACAATCAGTGCTGCTTTTGGCATCAATGTAGTATGAGCTATTAAGAGCTTCTAAAAATACTGACCTAAATAGTCAGTTGCCTTCACCCTGTATACTATTCAGGCAAGTCTTCAGAAAGTATAGTGTTGTATTGCTAGTCCAAAATAAGGTAGGCATGAATATACTCAATCTTGTTTGCACATGCAGCAAAGAATAATTTAAATTTTTGCCCTTAAGGAGTTTTGTGTTAGGCAGGAGGAAAAACATATTCAACTTCAATTTTGAGGTTGGTAATCAACAGGAAAGAGAAAAATACAAGGCAGTCTAGGATCTAACCTCTGTCTACGTTTCTAGGCCTATGTCTTAATACTCTTGAAGTGGCACAAGATAGGTTATTTCTAGTTCTTAACAGGTGACTGTTCTTTTGCACAATGTTCTCAAGTTCAGCTTAAGCAATGCTCCTCTGGAAGTTCACACCCTAACTGAACAGTCACCTTTTTTGTTTTCTTCTGGAATCCTGGTATTATCTGAATAATAAAGGCCATCACATTGTACTTTGTAATATATACTTCATCTCTTTCACCTGTGCTCTATGTATTGTCACATGTGTCCGTGTGAAGAGACCACCAAACAGGCTTTGTATGAGCAATAAAGCTTTTTAATCACCTGGGGGTAGGTGGGCTGTGTCTGAGAAGAGAGTGAGCAAAGGGAGATGGGGTGGGGCCTTTTATAGGATTAAGGTAGGTAGTGGAAAATTACAGTCAAAGGAGGTTGTTCTCTGGTGGCCACAAGGTGCTCAGTGGGAGAGCTTCTGAGCCAGGAGAAGGAATTTCACAAGGTAATGTCATCAGTTAAGGCAGGAACCAGTCATTTTCACTTCTTTTGTGATTCTTCAGTTGCTTCATGCCATCTGGATGTATACCTGCTGGCTTGGGCTCAGAGGCCTGACATTCCTGTCTTCTTATATTAATAAGGAAAATAAAACAAAATAGTGGTAAAGTGTTGGGTTCGTGAAAAATTTTGTGGGTGATATGGAAAGATAATGGGCAATTTTCTCAGGGCTTCTTTGAGCAAGATTATGGGTCACATGGGAAACTAGAGTGGGAGAGATTAAGCTGAAGGAAGATTTTGTGGTAAGCAGTGATATTTTGGGATTGTTAGAAGGAGTATTTGTCATATAAAATGATTGGTAAAGGCCTAGATATGGCTTTGTAAGAATTGAGAAACTAAATGGAAGACACAAGGTCCAAATAAGAGAAGTAGAAAAAGAGGTATTCAAGGACTAAGAATTGTGAGGACCCAGTACATCAAATTAGAGAGTGCCCAAGGGGATTCAGTTTGGGTGGTGAGTTTTTTGGCTCTATACTTGACAGAGCCCTCCTGTTTCAGTTGGATGCTGAGCTCGGTGAGGTGTATTTTTAAAAGACCATTAGTCTGTTCTACCTTTCCTGAAGATTGAGGATTGTAAGGGGTATGAAGTTTCCACTGAATACCAAGAGCCTGAGAAACTACTTGGGTGATTTGGCTAATAAAGGCCTGTCTGTTATTGGGCTATACAGAGGTGGGAAGGCCAAGCCGAGGAATTGTGTCTGACAGAAGGGAAGAAATGACTGAAGTGGCCTTGTCTGACTGTATGGGAAAAGCCTCTACATATCCAGTGAAAGTGTATGCCTAGACCAGGAGGTATTTTAGTTTCCTGTCTCAGGGCATGTGAGCAAAGTCAATTTGCAAGTCCTGGACAGGGGCAAATCCTCATGCTTGATATGTAGGGAAGGGAGAGAGTCTGATAAATTCCTGAGGAGTAGTAGAATAGCATATGAAACACTGAGAAGTGATATTTTGAGGATAGATTTCCATGATGGAAAGGAAATGAGAGGTTTTAAGAGGCAGGCTAGCAGCTTGTAACCTACAAGGAAGAGGTTATGAAATGATGACAGAATAGAATTGGCCTGTGAGGCTGGAAGGATATATTTTCCTTGGTCCAAAACTATTTGCCTTGTGTGGGAAGAGATTGATAGTTGGAAGTTTCAGGTGGGAAGTAGTTGGGAGTGACTGATGAGAAGGAGAAAAACTGACCATGAGGGACAGAAGTTGGAATGCTAACCGCTTCTTTAGCTACCATATCAGCATAAGAATTGCCCTGAGAGATGGGATCTGGGGCCTTTTGGTGGCCCCTGTGGTGAATGACTCCAGCTTCCCTTGGAAGTAAAGCAGCCTTGAGAAGCCTTCTTATTAAAGAGGCATTAATGATGGAGGACACTTGTGTAGTGAGCAAACCTCTTTCAGCCCATATAACAGCATGGTGGTGTTTTGGCACCAAATGTCATGCACGTCTGTGTAAAGAGACCACCAAACAGGATTTGTGTGAGCAACAAGGCTGTTTATTTCACCTGGATGCAGGTGGGCTGTGTACAAAAGAGAGTCAGTGAAGAGAGATAGCAGTGTGGCTGCTTTATAGGATTTGGGTAGGTATTGAAAAATTGTAGTCAAAGGGGGTTGTTCTAAGTGGGCAGGGGCAGGGATCACAAGGTTCTCACTAGGGGAGCTTCTGAGACAGGGGAAGGAATTTCACAAGGTAATGTCATCAGATAAGACAGGGACCAGCCATTTTCACTTCTTTTGTGATTCTTTAGTTACTTTAGGCCATCTGGATGTATATGTGAAGTCATGGGCTCAGATGCCTGACACTAAGTTCTCCCAATTCTTAGTCCTTTAACACTTCTTTTTCTCCTTCTCTTATTTGGACCTTATGTCTTCTGTTTAGTTTCTCAATTCATACAAGATAGCATCAAGGCCATCCCCAATCATTCTATATGACAAATGCTCCTTCTAACAACCCCACAATATTGCCCCTTAACAAAAAATCTTCCTTCAGGTTAATCTCTCCCACTCTAGGTTCACATGCCACCCCTAATCCCACTTGAAGCAGCTGTGAGAAACCCTGCCCGTTATCTTTCTGTAAGACCCTGTAAAATTTTTGCTGCTCCAACACTTCAACACTATTTTGTTTTAGTCTTCATATTAATATAAGGAGACAGGAATATCAGACCTCTGATCCCAAGCCTGCATGTATACATCCAGATGGTGTGAAGCAACTGAAGAATCATAAAAGAAGTGAAGTTGGCCAGTTCCTGCCTTAACTGGTGACATTACCTTGAGAAATTCCTTCTCCTGACTCCGAAGCTCCGCCACTGAGCACGTTATGACCCCCCATCCCTGCCCATGAGAGAAAAACACCCTTTGACTGTAATTTTCCACTACCTACCCAAATTCTATAAAATGGCCCCGCCCCTATCTCCCTTTGCTGACTCTTTTTTTGGACTCAGTCCACCTGCATCCAGGTGATTAAAAAGATTTATTGCTCACACAAAGCCTGTTTGGTGGTCTCTTCACACGGAAACACATGACATGAGTTACTACGGGGAAGAATCTGTGTGCCTATCTTCCTGTTTTCAGTGATGATATGCTGAAAGAATGGTGTAGGAATATAAATATTCCGTTTATCAGTGCTAAGTCTTTTTCACAAAACAAGGCAGAGATCTACTCATTTTTGCTCTCTAAACTTGGAAAAGTTAATTTATCCAAATCTTTATTTTTTCCTAACTAGACTGTTCATCTTATTACTAAGATGAAGGAATGTATTGCAAGTTACATGTTACTATCATTCCCAGTATGAAAGAGCTACTTTGAATTTGAACATGTAAGAGCATTCAACATAGTGCCTGGCACAGTAGAACAGGGCATTAACAGGACACTGGACTTGATCCTCAAATTATTTAAGCTGATTGATTAACTGCAAACAATCTAATTAATATTATCTACTATTACTCCTATATATCTATTTTTAGCTAAGATTTAGGTCCTTCTTAGCATTGAAATTTTAACTGAATTTCAGTTGAACCTTAAGAAATGTTAACCATGACCTTAAAATAACTGCTGTATTCTAAAATTTGAAGTGATATTCCCAATATTCCTCTTGCCTAGATTAAAAATTGTTGAAGGTCTTCTTTCACTATCAAAGTTCAAAGATACACCACAGCATACAAATCAATATATTTAAAAACTATTTATCACGTCCAAAGTAATAAAAGAGATCCCAGTTCAAGTTGACAAAACACAAACTGGATTTAAAGTACTGTATTAAAAAAGAAAACAAAATGAAAATAAGTTTGTTTAGGGCAATTAAAATAAATATTTCATTTTTAAAGCCATGACACTAAAAAGAATGAAAAACACCTGTAGGATAGTTTTTTTATATATTTTTTTCATTCTAAGGATCTTGTGCTTTTCAGAGAAAGATAGCTTTCTCGTAAAAGTTCATGCACAAAACACTTACCTATACCTGACAAGAGGTTTCAGAGCCTAATCTGCCATTTGGTGAGTCTAAATCCACTAATGTTACATATCAACAATTTCCCACTACTTCTTTTAAGTTATGTCTCATTTACCTTCCTCCTTAAGAACTTCATAAGCTTGTTTTAAATATTTTATATACTTGTCATAAACTAGAGTTTGCTAAGAGTACCGGTACTCTGGTTAATGATCAAAATGGTGTGCCCAGAGGAAAAGCAAGCACTCTTAAATATGAATGCAATCCTTATTAACACAAACTGAGACATTTTAATAAAATGTTAGCCCAAAAAACATCTCATTCTATAAAGATTAAACCATTTCCAAATCACAGTGAAAGGAACTTGAGTAATGAACAAATTTTGTTAACTATGTGCCTTAGAGACATCTCACTAAAATTTGGGTATCTGACACAATAGAATAACATTTGCAGAAAGTAATATTGTAGGTACAGTACTCAGATTGATTGTTACAGACTATTAAATGGTTACATCTTAATTATTTATACAGAACATTGGTCCAATAACATAAAAACAGAGAAAAGCATCTAGAAATTTATCTCTTTCAATGTTTGGAGATAAAACAGTTAACCATCTTTTCCATTATTTTCTGCAGTAAGTCCTTGTACACAATGAAAGTTGATGGCAATTAAATTCAGGAATTTTCCCCAGCTACTGTATGAAGAGAATGTTGAAGCCCATTACTATACAGCACACTGCAACATAAGGAATCTTCCATTCACCAATTCTGACACACTTCCAAAATATACCCAACAATTCAGTTTCATTTCTGTCCATGAGGCTGGGTGCCAAGGATTGAATATAAACACAGGTACATATAAGCAGCAAGATTATGGTCAATAGACTCTGAAAATTGAAAATAGCAGACATAGCAAGGATGGCAATGCCACAGCCACGTCACCCTTCCGGGCCCCAGGTGGCTTAAAAACCTTTTAAATATACACACACATACACATACACATACATATACATAAAAACACAAACATTCCATAGTATTACTTCAGTACTTTGAACATGAGATAATAAAAAACTCCCCAGCTTGCAAATTACAAAAATTCTGTTAGCACTAAATTGTGGTTTTTATATTAGTAGAAAAGCAAGAGCAGATTAAAAGCTGGCAGAAAATGAAATAAAACAAAAAAAAGAGAGAATATGAATTCTGTAGTTTGCAAGTCAATCATAGGGCTGTTTTTCCTTAATGTAAATGTGCATAAAAACCATATTACTTCTATTTTACATATACTATAGCAAGCTGTGGTGCCACAAACCTACAGAGTGCTTGAAAAAAGATTATTCTCTTTGTTTTTGTCTTTTTCATAGATTATTTGTTTTACACATTTATTTCTTTCTTCAAAGGGGGCACTGAGCTGCGCCCTAGTGTTTCTGTGTGGTGGACTGATATGCTGCTTGTAGGCAGGACTTCACAGTGTGTCACCACTGATTCATTTCACCTGCTTACACACATCCCATGAAAAGTCTATAACCTTTGAGAGGGCTCAAGACACTAGGTGATCAGCCCTTATACTCATTTTCTGGATGAACCATTTGTACAACAAAATTTTTTGGGGGATTACTTTGTGTGACTGCTGCACATCATGGGAGATCAACCACCCAGCCAGTCCCATGAAGTCTCCTGTCACTCAGGGGTGTCTTTCAGCTGGGAGGCACAAATGCCCTTTTCCTTTGGAGCTGAGAAATCTCAGACTCTGCTTCACCTACGTAAACAGCAGTCCATTTCCTCACGCAAATGTGCACAAACTGAATTAAGATTAATTCTGGGGAAAAAAAAGAGAGAAAACACTTTAAAATGCATCTCTGAACTAGAATTAGAACCCTAAAACAACAGCTTTCTAGGAGAAAACCCAGCTTGAATAAATCCAGAACTGTCAACCAAAACAGAGATCTCGGGCCCAGGAGGACTTACCATCTCCACTGGAGGAGAAGCTTGAAGTTGCATAGGCTCTAATGGGTCCTGCAGGTGCCTTAGCTCTAAGTTTGGGTAACTCCTTTGGGGTTCTAAGTCTTCTCTGAGGCCCCACATATTGAGGCACAAAATTATATTCAATGAAAAGTGTCAAACTGTAAAATATTTTGAAGAGATTTATTCTGAGCCAAATATGACTGACCATGGCCCATGATGCACCCTCCAGCAGACACTGAGAACATGTTCACAAGGTGGTCTGGATGGCGCTGCTTTTTTTTTTTTTTTTTTTTTTTTTTTTTGTATTTTAGGGAGGCTTGAGACATCAATCAAATATATTTCAGAAATACATCGGTTTGGTCCAGCAAGGTGGGACAAGACAACTCGCGGGAGAAGTAGCTTCAAGTTTATACACTAATTTAAACATATTCTGGTTGACAATTGAATGAGTTTGTCTAAAGACCTGGGATTGATAAAAAGGAAATATTCAAGCTAAGCTAAAACATTGTGGAGACCAATGTTCTTTTGAAGTTTTATAGGGGCTGCCTTTAGAAAAATGACAAATGCTTCCTATTAAGGCCTTTAAAATGTGCTAAACTATTAGTTTAACTCTTCAGGATTGGCAGGGCCTGAAGAAAAAGATCTAGCCATGTTAATAGGGATTCTTTTCAGACACAAACTTGTCCCCACAAAGGACAGCTTTGCAAGACCATTTCAAAATACTGGAAATACACGTTTTGACATAAAATAGTTTGACTTCCTTTTCATTACATAATGTTATCCCAGAATTGGATTGGAAAGTAAGACACAGTATATAGGGTTAAATAAAATCCATCTGTTTAGAATTTATGGTTTGTAGGAGATGGCTACCCAGACCCCTTAGACAGGAATTTAGGCAAATTTTAAAAATCAGATCTTAGTCTTCGCATTTGGCAGAAAATATTATGCTATATTATATTTTTCTTATTAGATGTCATTTGCTACTTTGGCAAAGTATTGTTTTCTGAGTGTTTTTATTCTGAAATGTGTTGTATTTTGCAAAATGAGATATTTTCTGTCTATTGAGCTGATCCTGTGACTTTTGTCTAGTATTCTATTGATGTGATATATTCCATTGATTTTTATATGTTGAATCCATTCTTGTTGCTGGAATAAATCTTAGTTCATTGCTGTGTATTATCCTTTTAATATGTTGGTGGGTTTGGAGAGAAGGGGGAGAGATGGGAGAGAGAGAGGGGGAAGAGCAAGTAAGAAGAATTCCTCCTCTTACTTTCAGGAATGTCCTTCTCTCTGTGGATTATCTGTTCTTTTACCACTTTACTTTCCTAAGAAATTTGGTCTTACTTTGCACTGCGGATTCACTATGATCTATTTCTTGATCAAGATCCAAGAACCCTCACTTGGGGTCTGGATTGGCACCCCATTTCTGAAACATATTTCTGGTGACTACAGAAGGGACTCTGGTGCACAAACTCTGACCTAATTGCTACCTTTGGATAGGTGTTGGGGTCTTGTAACATATTTCTGGAGACCACAGAAGGGACTATAGTGCGAAAACTACCGACTTTGGGTAAGTGGTGGGGTCCTATAATGTATTTCTGGTGAACCAGGGATGACACTGAAGAGACTACCTGACCCAAAGGAAAATCATCTGTGTGCAACAATTGGCTGACTTTGGGTAAGTGGAGTGCATATATCTTGGTAAAGAATGGGATTGGATTAGAGGCCCAACTCATGGGAGCTACAGTATCCTAAGATAGAGTAGGTTAGAGGTCCTTCTTAATAAAAGGCAAGAGGCTTGGTGTGATGACTCACAACTGTAATCCCAGAACTTTTGAAGGGTGAGGCAGGTGGATCATGAGGTCAGGAGATGAAGACCATCCTAGCCAATATGGTGAAACCCCATCTCTTCTAAAATATAAAAAAATTAGCTGGGCATGTTGGTGCACACTGTATTCCCAGGGACTTGGGAGGCTGAGGCAGGGGGATCACTTGAACCCGGGAGGTAGATGTTGCAGTGAGCTGAGATCTTGCCACTGCTCTCCAGCCTGGTCACAGAGTGAGACTCCATAAAAAACAAAACAAAACAAAACAAAACAAAACAAAAAACAATAAAAAGTCAAAGACCCTTGACTGATCTTGGGTTAGAGGCCTGATTTAGAAGGGTTAAAGTTTCTTCTAAGATTTATGTGGTTAGAGACCGCTCTGAGTAAAGTTACCTTTGGCTAACAATGGGTTTGGCACACACCACAAGCTATGCTGGTTGTATTAATCAGCTTTATCTTATTTACTCAATGAATACATTTCTTGGTTGCTGTCTCTCTTTCACTGTCATTTTCAGGAGACTCTTTAACTGGTCTTAGGGCTTTTAACTTACTCTTTCCCTGTGCGCATCTCAATTTTCATCTATTTGCTTATAAAAGACTGGGAACAAAAAGCATTGAAGCTATTGTCTCTAAAATTGTTGATTTAGATTCGGTGTTTAACGGCTATAAGAAATAGGTTTAAGTAGATATGGTTATGTTTTGTTGCCACCTTTCAGACCATCAAGAACAACTAGGATGGAAATAAGGGGTCTTTTCTCCTTGATGTTTTGTTTCATTTTGCACACTAAAAAAAACACTACTTTCTTGAACTTCAGCAAACCAGCTTTGTTTGTCTGCTATTGCTCAGGGCCTGCTTGCTCTGGTCATTCCCATCTAAATCCTCTTTATCTCCTTTGCTTTAATTTGATATTTCTGTGGAAGTCCATGTTGTGATTTACCTAAGATTCATGGCTTGTTTCACTTACATTATTTGGATAATGTGAATAAGAGAATTCAATTTTCAGCAGGGATCCCCTCATTAATGCAGCTGGTCTTAAAAACCTCTCATTATTTTTAGTGGCCAAGCTTGAATGCTGAGACTAGTTTAAGCTGAACGGGCTTAAAAGGAGAAAACTGGTGTTTCTATGTAATACCATTTGGTCTCTGTATTATTCCAAAAAACAAGAGAAATAGCCTTTTACTGGAACTACAGCTATAATAGTATACTTCAACTCAATTTAATTTGTAAGTGGGAGATAAAAATACTATATGTTCAAGCATTTTTTTGCTGCTCAGTCAGGATAAAACTCTGCATGTTTGATGAGAGAAAAATAGGAAAAAGAGCTAAACATACTAGATGACCCTTTAATGCAAACCCTCTCCTTCTGGTTCAGTGGGCATTTTTGGGTGGAGCAGAGCTTCCTTCTGTCAGCTCGAATGTTCAGGTGTATTGGCCCTTTCCCTCTCTAGTCCACTTGAAAGTTCTATAGGGACCACTTAATCTATTCCAGTCCCCCTCTATGCCTACCATGCCCTGAGGAACTTAGGCCAGCAAGTACTACTTATAGTGGAGCCTCCTGTTTACCTTTAAAGTGAAATCTTTGTCCACTCACAGGGGTGGCAAATGGGGAAGAAGTCGCTGTGAAAGTGCATGTTCTCTTTTCTATGTCTGCTTTTGGTCCTACATAAAGAGAAAATCATTTTTTTCTGAAAATCTAGGAAAATTTACAGATAAATTTGGGAAATTCACTCTAACCTATAGTTTAACTAGGCAGGATCTGCATGTTTTGTTGTCTGTGTGTTGTACAGTGGAAGAGAAACAATGCATTTTGGGGGTAGATAGGTCCATGCACATGAAGTATTGGGTTAAAACCAAAATCATAATATATGTCAGGCAGGAGGTATAGCCTTTTGAGATCAAGATTCAGAGAGGAACTATCAAAGGAGCAGTGAGGACTTGGGGATGAGAGATGATACGGTCAGTTGTTTATTGAGAGGAATGAAGAAATATACAAAAAAGCCTTTTAACTGTGAAAAAGTTAAGGAAGTTTCTCAGCACAAATGTGAGAATCCAGATTTGTTTCAAGGGCTTTTAATTGAGAAAATCAGGTAATATACTAACACTGATCCTGCCTCAAGGGAAGGACAAAAGCTTTTTGGAGTGCATTTTGTAACCCAGTCTGCCCCTTACATCCATAGGAAACTACAAAAAGCAACTATGCGTCCTCAAATTCCTATGTAACATCTTTTGGATATGGCATTTTTAGTTTTTAATAACAGGGAAAAAGCAGAGGAAGCAGAAAGAGCAATAAAGGCCTCCCACAAAGTGCAGCTCAAAGCTGTAACCTTAAGCTTACTGTCCATATGAGGTTGCCCTCCTGGCTCTTGGCCTGAACAAGTGAAGCTGAAAGTGGGAATTACAAAGCTCAGTGTCCAAGTCACCATGGCTTAGGCATGAATCAGTGTGCACACTGGAAGAAAACTGGCCATTGGAAGAGAGATACCCAGCATTCCAAAGGGAGCCATTGGCACACAAACCAATGATGACCAAAATAGTCAGGCAAGCACAAGAGTTATGGGGTCTGAAAACTTCTGTTATAACTCCCATTGGACAACTAGCCATGTCTCCAGAGGAACCTCAGGTAACACTTGATGTGGCAGGTAAGTTTGTTAACTTCTTTCTGGACTGCTGACTCAGTTTTCATTCATTGTAATGGACCTCTGTCACCCAAAATTGTATGGTCATGGAGATAGATGGCCAAACCTATAGAAGCAATTTTACCTATCCTCTAAACTATTCTTATGGACTTTGGTTTTCTCACATTACTTTCTTATTATGTCTGGATGCCACAGGGCAGTAGCAGCAACTGTTCTTTTAGTAGATGAAGCCAATGAACTGCTTTTAGGACAATATATGGAGGCTTTAACTTCACACCAAGTATAAGGAGTACTGGAAGCTAAAAGACACCAGTGGATGACAGGGGGATGCTTATTGAAATATCAGGCTTTGTTACTAGAAATTCTTGATGAACTGTTAATACCAGGTGACAATCAGTGAAAAAAAGTTAAGCATTTGCATGACTGTACTCATTTGGGAAGAAATTCTATGTTTCAATTAACGTCACAGCTTTTTACAGGAAAAGGCTTACTTAAAAGAGTAAAGCGAGTAACTCAGACTTGTGAACATGTGCACTTTTACCAGTTGGGTTCAGGACTTTCCTAAGCAATCTCAAAAGGAAATAGAGGTTTCTGAACTCCTACTAAAGGAGTAATTGCTAGATTTTGGTGGCCTAAAAACTTACAGAGAGATAATGCCCCATCGTTCATAATGACAATTACAAAAAACCTATCTTCATCTCCAGGAATTCCTTAGTACCAAAATTGTATTTAAACTTCTGGGAATAAAGTTCTGGGTCCACTTATATCGATTTAATCCTGTCTCTTATGAAAACTCACAGGCTGATGGAACACAAGAGATTGATCCCATTTATTCCTGTGAACCAATCAGTGACTTCTGACTTCTGTTCAGAAGAAATGAAAGTGATGGGTAACATAAAGATATGGATTGGTATTCTACTTTTGGGTATAAATTGGAATCAAGCAGACAGTAACTTATTTACTGAGGGGGCACAGATTTTAGCATCTCTATATAACCAAAAAAACCATTAGGTATGAGGAGAATTGCTGCCATTCTCTACCGTTGTGTTGCCCTGGCATATTCAACCAACCAACTTAAGTTTATAAGGATTTTATTATTATTAGGAAACTGAACATTATAAATATAGCCCCTCTTCTCCCATGTATCACAGCCACATGGGGACTTAGGTGCTTCCCTTTCTATGAAGAGACAAGAAGGCACCTTTGTTTTTTTATTATTATTTTTTATTTTTCTTTTATTATTATACTTTAAGTTTTAGGGTACATGTGCACATTGTGCAGGTTAGTTACATACGTATACATGTGCCATGCTGGTGTGCTGCACCCACTAACTCGTAATCTAGCGTTAGGTATATCTCCCAATGCTATCCCACCCCCTCCCCCGACCCCACAACAGTCCCCAGAGTGTGATATTCCCCTTCCTGTGTCCATGTGATCTCATTGTTCAATTCCCACCTATGAGTGAGAATATGCGGTGTTTGGTTTTTTGTTCTTGTGATAGTTTACTGAGAATGATGATTTCCAATTTCATCCATGTCCCTACAAAGGACATGAACTCATCATTTTTTATGGCTGCATAGTATTCCATGGTCTATATGTGCCACATTTTCTTAATCCAGTCTATCATTGTTGGACATTTGGGTTGGTTCCAAGTCTTTGCTATTGTGAATAATGCCGCAATAAACATACGTGTGCATGTGTCTTTATAGCAGCATGATTTACAGTCCTTTGGGTATATACCCAGTAATGGGATGGCTGGGTCAAATGGTATTTCCAGTTCTAGATCCCTGAAGAATCACCACATTGACTTCCACAATGGTTGAACTAGTTTACAGTCCCACCAACAGTGTAAAAGTGTTCCTATTTCTCCACATCCTCTCCAGCGCCTGTTGTTTCCTGACTTTTTAATGATTGCCATTCTAACTGGTGTGAGATGGTATCTCATTGTGGTTCTGATTTTCATTTCTCTGATGGCCAGTGATGATGAGCATTTTTTCACGTGTTTTTTGGCCGCATAAATGTCTTCTTTTGAGAAGTGTCTGTTCATGTCCTTCACCCACTTTTTGATGGGGTTGTTTGTTTTTTTCTTGTAAATGTGTTTGAGCTCATTGTAGATTCTGGATATTAGCCCTTTGTCAGATGAGTAGGTTGCAAAAATTTTCTCCCATTTTGTAGGTTGCCTGTTCACTCTGATGGTAGTTTCTTTTGCTGTGCAGAAGCTCTTTAGTTTAATTAGATCCCATTTGTCAATTTTGTCTTGTGTTGCCATTGCTTTTGGTGTTTTAGACATGAAGTCCTTGCCCATGCTTATGACCTGAATGGTAATACCTAGGTTTTCTTCTAAAGCTTTTATGGTTTTAGATCTAACATTTAAGTCTTTAATCCATCTTGAATTGATTTTTGTATAAGGTGTAATGTAAGGAAGAGATCCAGTTTCAGCTTTCTACATATGGCTAGCCAGTTTTCCCAGCACCATTTATTAAATAGGGAATCCTTTCCCCATTGCTTGTTTTTCTCAGGTTTGTCAAAGATTAGATGGTTGTAGATGTGTGGTATTAATTCTGAGGGCTCTGTTCTGTTCCATTGATCTATATATCTGTTTTGGTACCAGTACCATGCTGTTTGGTTACTGTAGCCTTGTAGTATAGTTTGAAGTCAGGTAGTGTGATGCCTCCAGCTTTGTTCTTTTGGCTTAGGATTGACTTGGTGATGTGGGCTCTTTTTTGGTTCCATATGAACTTTAAAGTAGTTTTTTCCAATTGTGTGAAGAAAGGCATTGGTAGCTTGATGGGGATGGCATTGAATCTATAAATTACCTTGGGCAGTATGGCCATTTTCATGATATTGATTCTTCCTACCCATGAGCATGGAATGTTCTTCCACTTGTTTGTATCCTCTTTTATTTCCTTGATCAGTGGTTTGTAGTTCTCCTTGAAGAGGTCCTTCACATCCCTTGTAAGTTGGATTCCTAGGTATTTTATTCTCTTTGAAGCAATTGTGAATGGGAGTTCACTCATGATGTGGCTCTCTGTTTGTCTGTTGTTGGTGTATAGGAATGCTTTTGATTTTTGCGCATTTATTTTGTATCCTGAGACTTTGCTGAAGTTGCTTATCAGCTTAAGGAGATTTTGGACTGAGACAAAGGGGTTTTCTAGATGTACAATCATGTCATCTTCAAACAGGGACAATTTGACTTCCTCTTTTCCTAATTGAATACACTTTATTTCCTTCTCCTGCCTAATTTGCCTGGCCAGAACTTCGAACACTATGTTGAATAGGAGTACTGAGAGAGGCCATCCCTGTCTTGTGCCAGTTTTCAAAGGGAATGCTTCCAGTTTTTGCCCATTCAGGATGATATTGGCTGTGGGTTTGTCATAGATAGCTCTTATTATTTCAAAATACATCACATCAATACCTAATTTATTGAGAGTTTTTAGCATGAAGCGTTGTTGAATTTTTTCAAAGGCCTTTTCTGCATCTATTGAGATAATCATGTGGTTTTGTCTTTGGCTCTGTTCATATGCTGGATTACATTTATTGATTTGCGTATATTGAACCAGCCTTGCATCCCAGAGATGAAGCCCACTTGATCATGTTGGATAAGCTTTTTGATGTGTTGCTGGATTCGTTTTGCCAGTATTTTACTGAGGATTTTTGCATCAAAGTTCATCAAGGATATTGGTCTAAAATTCTCTTTTTTGGTTGTGTCTCTGCCCAGCTTTGGTATCAGAATGATTCTGGCCTCATAAAATGAGTTAGGGAGGATTCCCTCTTTTTCTATTGATTGGAATAGTTTCAGAAGGAATGGTACCCATTCCTCCTTGTACCGCTGGTAGAATTCGGCTGTGAATCCATCTGTTCCTGGACTCTTTTTGGTTGGTAAGCTCCTGATTATTGCCACAATTTCAGATCCTTTTATTGGTCTATTCAGAGATTCAAATTCTTCCTTGTTTAGTCTTGGGAGAGTGTATGTGTCAAGGAATTTATCCATTTCTTCTAGATATTCTAGTTTATTTGCAGAGAGGTGTTTGTAGTATTCTCTGATGGTAGTTTGTATTTCTGTGGGATTGGTGGTGATATCCCCTTTATCATTTTTTATTGCATTTATTTGATCCTTCTCTCTTTTTTTCTTTATTAGTCTTGTTAGCGGTCTATCAATTTTGTTGATCCTTTCAAAAAACGAGCTCCTGGATTCATTAATTTTTTGAAGGGTTTTTTGTGTCTCTATTTCCTTCAGTTCTGCTCTGATTTTAGTTATTTCTTGAAGAAGGCAACTTTTTAATCTAATTAGAAAACAGCTAACATCCGCCCCAACTTTAGGTTATGCTATACATAATGAAGTTGTGTGAATGTCAGCTGTTCAAGTGCAGTTATCAGACAAAGCACCTCTATGTTTTGAAAGGCACAATAATAGTTACCACCAGACTGAAGTCCGTTGTATGAGATAGCTCTCATCTTAACAATGTAATCAGACCCTTCTTTAACCAACAACATGTGAATGTGATGGCAAGATAATTTGCCAAAAATGAGTTCCTACCCTTCTTCTTGGGGATGGTTATGGGCATGTAGAACTCATGGCTGGCCATACTTACATTATAACTGGACAGGAAGTTGTACATGGGGTCACCCTTATCTCCCAGGAGGTATCCTCACAAAATTGGACTCTCCCCCATCTAACCAAGAAATTGTAAAAGCTTCCCATAGGCAACAAAAATGGTCATCTTGGTGGTTCTATCTGATGGCTATGTTTTCCCCACAGGTAGCTACAATTCTAAGTACAATCAAGTTAGAAGTTGAAGCTTTAGCCGAACACACTGCTACAGATTTCAATAATGCAGGCCATGCCCTTACCTTTTTTTAAATATATTTTTTATAAGACAGCATCTCAACTCTATCACCCAGAGTGGAGTGGAGTGGTGTGATCTTGGCTCACCACAATTTCCACCTCCTAGGCTCAAGCAATTCTACTGCTTCAGTCTCCTGAGTAGCTGAGATTACAGGCATGTGGCCCTACCATGTGGCTAATTTTTGTAATTTTAGGAGAAACTAGGTTTCAGCATGTTGGCCAGGCTGGACAACATGACCTGACCCCAAATGATCCACCCACCTCGACCTCCCAAAGTGCTGGGATTACAGGTGTGAGCCATTGTGCCAGGCCCCTTACCTTCTTAACTGTGGAAACTTCTCAGATTATGCAGGTAGTCTTACAAAATCATATGGCTTTGGACATTTTAACAGCAGCTGAAAAGGGAACTTGTGCTCTGTTCAAAACTTAATGTTGTGTGTATGTTCCAGACTATTCACATAATATTACCGAGGCTATGAAAACTTTAGACACTCATATATCTGCCATTGATGTGCTATCAGTTGACCCTATATTGGCTTGGTTCAAACAACTGCCCAATTCTTGAAGGCCTCCCTGTTAAGTTTACTTGCAATATTTTTCTCATTTTGCTTTGCTGTTGTGGAATCCATTGTAGTTGTATTCTTTGTGTAGGAATGCAAGATAATCTCACTCAATGCTTTCTTAAATTGGCCACTTATTAATCTTCCAGATATCACCTTTTGCTGAGACTTAGAGTTATGAAGGACCTTAAATATACTAATCCTCTCTGACTGAGCTTCTCTCTACCCTGAATGCAAGAAACCCTAATAGTTAGGTAGGAATATCGTTGGCCCTATTCAGCCTGAGGAAGTTACAGAAGATGGATCTTTGCCCCTCTGCAACGCTTAGGATTAAAGGTCCTCTTGTAAAGGGAGGGAGCAATACATCAGAGGGACTGGAACCAGAGTGACTCCATTTGTCTGATGGCCAGAACATTGAGGCTTGAGACTTGCTGGGCTGTCATTCCAGAAAGTTAGCCATTCCTAGTCTCTACATGTTTACAGTCAAGAGAACAAATTAATAATGTTTACTAAACAGACCCAGACTTGGGAGTGTCCAGATATTTCAATATCTGGAGGACAAAGGCATTTCTAATTTTGCTTTAAATATAATCATATTGATTCTTGAGATATAAGTTGTAATTAAGAAAATTAATTCTTTATTACAAATTCTTGTAGCAGAACACATCTACTGATATATACAAGCTTTGTACTTAAGGTGGATGCGTTCCTCTTCTTACTTTCAAGAACATCCTGTTCTGTCTATGCAGTAGTTGTTCTTTTACCACTTTACTTTGTTAATAAACTTGCCTTTACTTTTTGCTGTACACTCATGCTTTATTCTTTCTTGAGATTCAAAAACCATCTCTTAATGTCTGGATGGGGACTCCTTTTCTGTAGTAGAAGGGGGTTACTTATATCATTTTTACATATTTTAATAACATACTCTTCTCAAATAAATGCAGTTGAATTCTAAAGAAAAAAGTTAGCTCTAAACCATGAGATGCCTTGTAGTCACATATTTGTTTTTTACTTTTATGCTGGGTGTATTCATTTTTACATGTTATTGGATGTATCAAATCTTAAAACTGATGTCTTTCTGACAAAATACTCTTCTGCACTGACCCTTTTTATTGCTGAGAATTTTTTTTTTTTGCCTTGAAGACAATTTGACCTGATTTCATAAAAGTGCTAAGAGCTTTTTCTGTTGTTTGTTCTATGATAATTTCTTTTTGTTGACTGCTTTTATTTCTTCTTCTTATGCTTTAGTGTGAGTCTAAAAACACCTGACAATCTATAGTTGTGAACAGGTAAGTTTAGCCTATTTGCACATAGTTACTTCAAAAATAGCACTTTTTTTTCCTTTTTGAGACAGAGTCTCACTCTGTCACCTAAGCTAGAGTGCGGTGATAAGATCTCATCTTACCGCAAAACCTGCCTCCCAGTTTCTTTTTTTTTTAAATTATTATTATACTTTAAGTTTTAGGGTACATGTGCACAATGTGCAGGTTAGTTACATATGTATACATGCGCCATGTTGGTGTGCTGCACCCATTAAATCGTCATTTAGCACTAGTTATATCTCCTAATGCTATCTCTCCCTCCAACCCACAACATTCCCTGAAGTGTGATGTTCCCCTTCTTGTGTCCATGTGTTCTCATTGTTCAATTCCCACCTATGAGTGAGAATATGCAGTGCTTGGTTTTTTGTCCTTGTGATAATTTGCTGAGAATGATGGTTTCCACTTTCATCTATGTCCCTACAAAGGATATGAATTCTTCATTTTTTATGGCTGCATAGTATTCCATGGTGTATATGTGCCACATTTCCTTAATCCAGTCTATCGTTGTTGGACATTTGGGATGGTTCCAAGTCTTTGATATTGTGAATAGTGCCACAATAAACATACGTGTGCATGTGTCTTTATAGCGGTATGATTTATAATCCTTTGGGTATATACCCAGTAATGGGATGGCTGGGTCAAATGGTATTTCTAGTTCTAGATCCCTGAGGAGTCGCTACACTGACTTCCACAATGGTTGAACTAGTTTACAGTCCCACCAACAGTGTAAAAGTGTTCCTATTTCTTCACATCCTCTCCAGCACCTGTTGTTTCCTGACTTTTTAATGATTGCCATTCTAAATGGTGTGAGATGGTATCTCACTGTGGTTTTGATTTGCATTTCTCTGATGGCCAGTGATGATAAGCACTTTTTCATGTGTTTTTTGGCTGCCTAAATGTCTTCTTTTGAGAAGTGTCTCTCCATATCCTTTGCCCACTTTTCACCCACTGTTTGATGGGGTTGTTTGCTTTTTTTTGTAAATTTGTTTGAGTTCATTCTAGATTCTTTATATTAGCCCTTTGTCAGATAAGTAAGTTGCAAAAATTTTCTCCCATTTTGTAGGTTGCTTGTTCACTCTGATGGTAGTTTCTTTTGCTGTGCAGAAGCTCTTTAGTTTAGATCTGTTAGATCCCATTTGTCAATTTTGGCTTCTGTTGCCATTGCTTTTTCTGTTTTAGACATGAAGTTCTTGCCCATGCCTATGTCCTGAATGGTATAGCCTAGGTTTTCTTCTAGGGTTTGTATGGTTTTAGGTCTCACATGTAAATCTTTAATCCATCTTGAGTTAACTTTTTTATAAGGTGTAAGGAAGGGATATAGTTTCAGCTTTCTACATATGGCTAGCCAGTTTTCTCAATACCATTTATTAAATAGGGAATCTTTTCCCCATTTCTTGTTTTTGTCAGGTTTGTCAAAGATCAGGTGGTTGTAGATATGCGGCTTTATTTCTGAGGGCTCTGTTCTGTTCCATTGATCTGTATCTCTCCTTTGGTAAGAGTACCATGCTGTTTTGGTTACTGTGGCCTTCTAGTATAGTTTGAAGTCAGGTAGCGTGATGCCTCCAACTTTGTTCTTTTGGCTTAGGATTGACTTGGCAATGAAGGCTCTTTTTTGGTTCAATATGAACTTTAAAGTAGTTTTTTCAATTCTGTGAAGAAATTCATTGGTAGCTTGATGGGGATGACATTGAATCTATAAATTACCTTGGGGACTATGGCCATTTTCATGATATTGATTCTTCCTACCCATGAGCATAGAATGTTCTTCCATTGGTTTGTATCCTCTTTTATTTCATTGAGTGGTGGTTTGTAGTTCTTCTTGAAGAGGTCTTTCTCATCCCTTTTAAGTTGGATTCCTAGGTATTTTATTCTCTTTGAAGCAATTGTGAATGGGAGTTCACTCAAGATTTAGTTCTCTGTCCGTTATTGGTGTATAAGAATACTTGTGATTTTATACATAGATTTTGTTTCCTGAGACTTTGCTGAAGTTGCTTATCAGCTTAAGGAGATTTTGGGCCAAGACAAAGGGGTTTTCTAGATATACAATCATGTCGTCCGCAAACAGGCACAATTTGAATTCCTCTTTTCCTAATTGAATACCCTTTATTTCCTTCTCCTACCTAACTGCCCTGGCCAGAACGTCCAACACTCTGTTGAATAGGAGTGTGGGTTTATCATAGATAGCTCTTATTATTTTGAGATATGCCCCATCAATACCTAATTTATTGAGAGTTTTTAGGATGAAGGCTTGTTGAATTTTGTCAAAGGCCTTTTCTGCATCTATTGATATAATCATATGGTTTTGTCTTTGGTTCTGTTTATATGCTGGATGCTGGATTACATTTATTGATTTGCATATGTTGAACCAGTGTTGCATCCCAGGGATGAAGCCCACTTGATCATGGTGGATAAGTTTTTGATGTGCTGCCGGATTTGGGTTGCTAGTATTTTATTGTGGATTTTTGCATCAATGTTCATCAAGGATATTGGTCTAAAATTCTCTTTTTTGTTGTGCCTCTGCCAGGCTTTGGTATCAGGATGATGCTTGCCTCTTAAAATGAGTTAGAGTGGATTCCCTCTTTTTCTATTGATTGGAATAGTTTCAGAAGGAATGGTACCAGCTCCTCCTAGTACCTCTCGTAGAATTCGGCTGTGAATCTACCTTGTCCTTTTTTTGTTGGTAAGCTATTGACAATTGCCACAATTTCAGAGCCTGTTATTGGTCTATTCAGAGATTCAACTTCTTCGTGGTTTTGTCTTGGGAGTGCATATGTGTCGAGGAATGTATCCATTTCTTCTAGATTTTCTAGTTTATTTGCATAGGGGTTTTTATAGTATTCTCTGATGGTAGTTTGTATTTCTGTGGGATCGGTGGTGATATCCCCTTTACCATTTTTTATTGTGTCTATTTGATTCTTCTCTATTTTCTTCTTTATTAGTCTTGTTAGCAGTCTATCAATTTTGTTGATCTTTCCAAAAAAACCAGCTCCTGGATTCATTAATTTTTTGAAGCGTTTTTTTTTTTTTTTTTTTGTCTCTATTTCCTTCAGTTCTGCTCTGATTTTAGTTATTTCTTGCCTTCTGCTAGCTTTTGAATGTGTTTGCTCTTGCTTCTCTAGTTCTTTTAATTGTGATTTTAGGGGGTCAATTTTGGATCTTTCCTGCTTTCTCTTGTGGGCATTTAGTGTTATAAATATCCCTCTACACACTGCTTTGAATGTGTCCCAAAGATTCTAGTATGTTGTTCTTTGTTCTCGTTGATTTCAAAGAACATCTTTATTTCTGCCTTCATTTTGTTATGTACCCAGTAGTCATTCAGGAGCAGGTTGTTCAGTTTCCATGTAGTTGAGTGGTTTTGAAGGAGTTTCTTAATCCTGAGTTGTAGTTTGATTGCACAGTGGTCTAAGAGACAGTTTGTTATAATTTCTGTTCTTTTACATTTGCTGAGGAGTGCTTTACTTCCAAGTATGTGGTCAATTTTGGAATAGGTGTAGTGTGGTGATGAAAAAAATGTATATTCTGTTGATTTGGTGTGGAGAGTTCTGTAGATGTCTATTAGGTCTGCTTGGTGCAGAACTGAGTTCAATTCCTGGGTATCTTTTTTAACTTTCTGTCTCATTGATCTGTCTAATGTTGACAGTGGAGTGTTAAAATCTCCCATTATTATTGTTTGGGAGTCTAACTGTCTTTCTAGGTCACTAAGGACTTGCTTTATGAATCTGGGTGCTCCTATATTGGGTGCATATATATTTAGGATAGTTAGCTCTTCTTGTTGAATTGATCCCTTTACGTAATTGCCTTCTTTGTCTCTTTTGATCTTTGTTGGTTTAAAATCTGTTTTATCAATGACTAGGATTGCAATCCCTGCCTTTTTTTGTTTTCCATTTGCTTGGCAGATCTTCCTCCATCCTTTTATTTTGAGCCTGTGTGTGTCTCTGCACGTGAGATGGGTTTCCTGAATACAGCACACTGATGGGTCTTGACTCTTAATTCAATTTGCCAGTCTGTGTCTTTTAATTGGAGCATTTAGTCCATTTACATTTAAAGTTAATATTGTTATGTGTGAATTTGATGCTGTCATCATGATGTTAGCTGGTTATTTTGCTCGTTAGTTGATGCAGTTTCTTCCTAGCCTCAATGGTCTTTACAATTTAGCATGATTTTGCAGTGGCTGGTACCAGTTTTTCCTTTCCACATTTAGTGCTTCCTTCAGGAGCACGTTTAGGACAGGCTGGTAGTGACAGAATTTCTCAGCATTTGCTTCTCTGTAAAGGATTTTATTTCTCCTTCACGTATGTAGCTTAGATTGGCTGGATATGAATTTCTGGGTTGAGAATTCTTTTCTTTAAGAATGTTGAATATTGGCCCCCACTCTCTTCTGGCTTGTAGAGTTTCTGCTGAGAGATCCACTGTTAGTCTGATGGGCTTCCCTTTGTGGGTAACCCGACCTTTCTCTCTGTCTGCCTTTAACATTTTTTCCTTCATTTCAACTTTGGTGAAGCTGACAATTATGTGTCTTGGAATTGCTCTTCTCGAGGAGTATCTTTGTGGCATTCTCTGTATTTTCTGAATCTGAATGTTGGCCTGCCTTGCTAGATTGGGGAAGTTCTCCTGGATAATATCCTGCAGAGTGTTTTCCAACTTGTTTCCATTCTCCCCATCACTTTCAGGTAAACCAATCAGATGTAGATTTGGTCTTTTCACATAGTCCTCTATTTCTTGGAGGCTTTGTTCATCTCTTTTTATTCTTTTTTCTCTAAACTTCCCTTCTCACTTCATTTCTTTGATTTTGTCTTCCATCACTGATAACCTTTCTTCCAGTTGATCACATTGGCTCCTGAGGCTTCTACATTCTTCACGTAGTTCTTGAGCCTTGGCTTTCAGCTGCATCAGCTCCTTTAAAGCATTCTCTGCATTGGTTATTCTAGTTATCCATTCATCTAATTTTTTTTACAGTTTTTAACTTCATTGCCATTGATTTGGATTTCCTCCTGTAGCTTGGAGTAGTTTGATCATCTGGAGCCTTCTTCTCTCAACTCATCAAAGTCATTCTCTGTCCAGTTTTGTTCTGTTGCTGGTGAGGAGCATCATTCTTTTTGAGGAGGAGAGGTGCTCTGCTTATTAGAGTTTCCAGTTTTTCTGTTCTGTTATTTCCCCATCTTTGTGGTTTTATCTACTTTTGGTCTTTGATGATGGTGACATACAGAAGGGTTTTTGGTATGGATGTCCTTTCTGTTTGTTAGTTTTCCTTCTAACAGACAGAACCCTCAGCTGCAGGTCTGTTGGAGTTTGCTAGAGGTCCACTCTAGACCCTGTTTGCCTGGGTATCAGCAGCAGTGGCTGCAGAACAGTGATTCCTGTAGAACAGCGGATCTTGGTGAATGCAAACGCTGCTGCCTGATCGTTCCTCTGGAAGTTTTGTCTCAGAGGAGTACCCGGCTGTGTGAGGTGTCAGTCTGCCCCTACGTGGGGGTGCCTCCCCGTTAGGCTGCTTTGGGGTCAGGGACCCACTTGAGGAGGCAGTCTGCCCATTCTCAGGTCTCCAGCTGCATGCTGGGAGAGCCACTACTCTCTTCAAAGCTCTCTGACAGGGACATTTAAGTCTGCAGAGGTTACTGCTGTCTGTTTGTTTTTCTGTGCCCTGCCCCCAGAGGTGGAGCCTACAGAGGCAGGCAGCCCTCCTTGAGCTGTGGTGGGCTCCACCCAGTTTGAGCTTCCTGGCTGCTTTGTTTATCTAATCAAGCCTAGACAATGGCTGCAGCCCCTCCCCCAGCCTCACTGCCGTCTTGCAGTTTGATCTCAGACTGCTGTGCTAGCAATCAGCTAGACTCTGTGGGCATAGTATCCTCTGAGCCAGGTGCAAGATATAATCTCCTGGTGTGCCATTTTTTAAGCCTGTTGGAAAAGCGTAGTGTTAGGGTGAGAGTGGCCCGATTTTCCAGGTGCTGTCTGTCACCCCTTTCTTTGACTAGGAAAGGGAACTCCCTGACTCCTTGCACTTCCTGAGTGAGGCAATGCCTGGCTCTGCTTTGGCTCATGCACGGTGCAGTGAACCCACATTCCTGCACCCCCTGTCTAGCACTCCCTAGTGAGATGAACCCAGTACCTCAGATAGAAGTGTAGAAATCACCCATCTTCTGCATCACTCACTCTGGGAGCTGTAGACAGGAGCTGTTCCTATTTGGCCATCTTGGCTCCACCCCCTTTCATTTTTTTTAACTGAGATTCTTGGATAGGTAGATTTGTGTTTAACAGTATATTTAGAAAGTTTCAACCATTTTTTATTCAAATATTCTTCCTATTCCTATCTCCTTTTCCTGTGAGACTCTTATTATGGATATGTTGATATGCTTGATGGTGTCCCATGGCTGACTTAGTTTTGCTTATTTTCCTTTATTGTTTTTCTTCTCTTATTCCTTAGACTGAATAATGCTAAACAGTTCATCTGCAATTTCCCTGATTATGGTTTCTGCCTGTTTATGCATCTTATTCAATCCCTCTAGTTAGAGGATATTGATTCCATTATTTAAAATTATGTATATGTATTCATTGGTATTCTGCATTTATTGAAAACTTGTTCTCCCAGCTTCCCTTAGGGCTTTGAGAACATTTAAGTAAAGTGAAATAAAATATTTGCCTAGAAAGAACCATGAATTACTAGGGAGGATTGCTTAAGTCCAGGAATTGAGACCATTAGGGGTAACAAAACAAGACCCTGTCTCTAGATAAAATAAACATTAGCAATGTTAGTGGCATGCACTTCTGGTCTTAGCTACATGACAGGCTGAAGTGAGGGGGTCACTTGAGCTCAGGAGTTCGAGGCTGCAGTGAACCTAGTTCTGCCTGTGTGACTGAGGGATACCCTGTCTCAATAAAGTGAAATAAAATAAAACAATAAAATAAAGATATGACAAATAATTAAGAAAAGTATCTGTGCTACTAGCACACTTTTTATAACAAACAATTTTTGACACTAAAACAGAGAAAGGTAGGGGCAGCAGTATGGAAAAACTTGTATAATGTCCACAGTAAATTGTAATTCACTGTATATTATTATAAATTTAAGATATCAATACAATCCCCCTAATGGCCACCATGAAAATAACTCTTAAAATGTACTGAAAATAAATGAGGAGGCAGTAAAAATGGTACCCTTAGAAAAACAATCAAATGCAAAAATGAGCAGGTTTTGAAGCAATTGAAGAAGAAATAAGTGACTTGTGGAAAACAAGGAGCAAAATAGAATGAATTATTTTCTTATCAGTGATTTAAATGCAAATTCATTAAACTCCAGTTAAAAGACACAGATGGGCAGCATGGTTTTTAAAATATTTTTTTTGAATGGAGGCATTCAATTTTATGTAAACATTAACAAAAAAAGAACTGGAGAAACTATGCTAATGTCAAAAAAGTTTAATCCATCAAGAAGATATAACATACATATACCTAATAATAGATCCTTAGGATGTATGAAAGAAAAACCAACAGATTTGAGGAATTAGA
The DNA here is from genome assembly GCF_000001405.40 of Homo sapiens. NCBI lineage: Eukaryota > Metazoa > Chordata > Mammalia > Primates > Hominidae > Homo > Homo sapiens. Next base: position 20,927,308 of record NC_000024.10, read on the forward strand.
CAGTTCTGCAATTGTGTCTGAAGATTTCAACATCCCACTTTCAACAATACATGAAACAACTGAACAGAAGATCAATAGGAAAACGTATGTCTTAAATAGCATTATACACCAAATAAGGCTATCAAACATATAAAAAACAGTTTAGTTTCCAAACTGACTACACATCCTTCTGAAATGTACACGGGTTATTCTCCATGTTGTTTCCTGAACAGACTACATGGTACACTACAAAACAAGTCTCATTATATTTAAAATGGTTGAAATCACACATAATATTTTCCCCAACCACAGTGGAATAAAACTAGAGACCCATTTTCAAAAAACTAGAAGTGTAAAATAGGTGGAAATAAAACAATAAATAAAACAATGGCTCACTAAAGAATCTGCAAGTAATTATGAATTACTTGCAGATAAATGGAAAAATACCACATACTAAAACTTCTGGAATACAACAAAATCAATTCTGAGAAATATATAATTGTAAAATATACATAAAAAAGAAATATAAACTCAATAATATAAAATTACACACAAAGACGTAGAAAACTGCAAACTAGAGGAGAGAACTGTTGGCATAGTAATGAAAGCTTGCATCACTCCCTCCAACCCACCATCCAACTCAAACCCCCAGAACATACATAGGAAACAACAACAAAACAACTATATATACACATATGAGAGGTTATCACCGGTTATCACCAACAGTATCTTAGAACTCAAATAGGAGAATGAGACAGTTTCTAGGGTAACACAGAAGTGAAAAAACTCCATGCAGATCGTAAAACAGTTGGGTTCTACATTCATGACACTTCCATATTCATGACACTTTTCTAGTATGCCAACAAACTTGTGTGAAAAAAAAATTCCCCTGACTTATGGTTACTAACTAGAAAAAATAAGATTCAGATGGACAACCAGCTTTCCAATCATTTCGGGTTCCCTAGAAGAACTCTTTCTTCCTTAACTCATGGGAAGCCTTGTAATGTCTTAAGGTAAAAAATTTCCTGAGGAAATCCAGGGATAAAGCATGGAGGCAGCACTACTGTTTCCAGCCTGGTTATTTCAGCCACAGAAGATGTCAAATCAGAGTGCCTGTGCAGCAGTACCATGTAGTATATGGTATATTTCACGATTTCCCTAAGCACAAACCAATGGCCAGCCTTCCCACCCTGCTAGGGTATCCCCTTCAGGATCTCCCTAATAGGGGATTAGCACTGCTTGAAGCTTGCTAGAGCTGAGACAGACCTGGGCTTAAGGCACCATTTATGGCCAAAAAAGAGGTACTGACCTAGTCAAAAACAAAGAAATGAAACCTCAACAACAAGTATGTTGTAAAGAAACCTCAAAGCAAACATATCCAATAAAAAACAAAATAAGACAGAGATAATATTGGACTAAATAACTAATCCTTCAATAAAAAGATATGGATATATAACCACAAGAAATACCAAACAGGGAACCATAACCTTCCCAAATGGATGAAGCAAGGAACCAGTGACCAATGCTAACTAATGAGATGGCTATCAGTGAGTTCTCTGATCAAGAATTCAAAATAGCAGTTTTCAGGAATCTCAAGTCTCCAAATCATCACTAAAAAGGAAAAAATAAACAAATGAAATAAAATAATTAAAAATTTTAAAGATCCTGGAACTGAGAAATATATTGGCTAAAGTAAAAATCTCACTAGAGGCTCTGAAAGCAGAAGAGATGTAATAGAATAAACAATCAGTGAGCTCTATAACAGGTTTTTAGAAAATGCACAAAGAAGTAGAACGGAAAACAATGAAAAGGAATAAAGAACACTTACAAGATATACACAATTAACTCAAAAGAGCAAATCTAATAATTAGTGATTTGTAAGATGGAGCTCAGCAAGAGGAATGGACAGAGAGAATATTCAAATGAATAGTAACAACTTTCTAAAATGTGACAGAGATATAAATCTACAGGTTCTGAAAGATCAGAGAACACCAAACAGATTAAAGCAACCAAATAAAACTACCACAAGGCAAATAATAATTGATGTCTAAAACATCAAGAATACAGGGGATCCTTAAAGCACTAAAGGAAAAGAAACAACAAACAGAAAAGCTTGAAATTATTTGGAAACAGATTTGTTGACAGGCCAGGAGGGGTTGGAATGGCATATTCAAAGTGCTGGAAAAGAACAATCATTCCAAGATGGCCAAATAGAACAGCTCCAGTCTATAGCTCCCACTGTGCTCGATGCAGAAGATGGGTGATTTCTGCATTTCCAACTGAGGTACCTTGTTCATCTCATTGGGACTGGTTGGACAATGGGTTCAGCCCAGGGAGTGTGAGCCAAAGCAGGGTGGGGCATCGCCTCACCTGGGAAGTGCAGAGTTGGGGGATTTCCCTTTCCTAGCCAAGGGAAGCTATGACAGATGGTAACTGGAAAAGTAGGACACTCCTGCCCTAATGCTGCACTTTTCCAATGGTCTTAGCAAACAGTACACCTAGAGATTATATCCTATGCCTGGCTTGGTGGGTCCCACACCAAGGGAACCTTGCTCACTGCTAGCACAGCCGTCCCATATCGAACCGCAAGGTGGCAGCCAGGCTGTGGGAGCGTCAGCTGCCATTGCTAAGGCTTGACTAGGTAAACAAAACAGCCAGGAAGCTCGATCTGGGCATAGCCCACTGCAGCTTAGCGAGGCCTGCCTGCATCTATAGGCTCCACCCCTTGGAGTAGGATATAGCTGAACAAAAGGCAGCAGAAACTTCTGCAGACATAAACTTCCCTGTTTGACAGCTCTGAAGAGAGCAGTGGTTCTCCCAAGCACAGAGTTTGAGCTCTGAGACAAAGCTTCCAGAGGAAGGATCAGGCAGCAATATTTGTTGTTCAGTAATGTTTGCTGTTCAGCAATATTTGCTGTTCTGCAATATTTGCTGTTCTGCAGCCTCTGCTGGTGACACCCAGGAAAAGAGGGTCTGAAGTTGACCTCCAGGAAACTCCAACAGACTTGCAGCTGAGGGTCCTGGCTGTTAGAAGGAAAACTAACAAACAGAAAAGAATAACATCAACATCAACATAACATAAAGGACATCTGCACAAAAACTCCATTTATAGGTCACCATCATCTAAGACCAAAGGTAGATAAAACCACAAAGATGGAGAGAATTCAGAGTAGAAAAGTTGAAAATTCTAAATACTGAGTGCCTTTTCTCTTCCAAAGGCTTGCAGCTCCTTTCCAGCAATGAAACAAAGCTGGATGCAGAATGACTTTGATGAGTTGACAGAAGTAGGCTTCAGAAGTTTGGTAATAACAAACTTCTCTGACCTAAAGGATGATGTTCAAAACCATTGCAAGAAAGCTAAAAACTTTGAAAAAATATAGATGAATGCCTAACTAGAAATAACAGCATAGAGAAGAATTTAAATGACATGATGGAGCTGAAAAACATGGCATGAGAACAGTGTGATGCTTGCACAAGCTTCAGTACCCAATTAGATCAAGTGGAAGAAAGGGTATCAGTGATTGAAGATAAAATTAGTGAAATGCAGCAAGAGGAGAAGTTTAGAGAAAAAAGAAATAATCAAAGCCTCCAAGAAATATGGGACTGTGTGAAAAGACCAAATCTGTGTTTGATTGGTGAACCTGAAAGTGATGGGGAGAAGGGAACCAAGTTGGAAAACACTTCAGGGTATTATCCAGGAGAACTCCCCCAACCTAGTAAGGCAGGTCAACATTCAAACTCAAGAAACAGAGAGAATGCCATAAGGATACTCTTTGAGAAGAGCAACCCCAAGACACACAATTGTCAGATTCACAAGGTTGAAATAAAGGAAAAAATGTTAAGCACAGCCTGAGAGAAAGGTCAGGTTTTCAACAAAGGAAGCCCATCAGACTAACAGCAGATCTCTCAGCAGAAACTCTACATGCCAGTAGAGATTGGGGGCCAATATTCAACATTCTTAAGGGAAATAATTTTCAACTCAGAATTTCATATCCAGCCAAACTAAGCTTCACAATTGAAGGAGAAATAAAATCCTTTACAGACAAGCAAATTCTGAGAGATTTTGTCACCACCAGACCTGCATTATAAGAGCTCTTGAAGGAAGCATTAAACGTGGGAATGAACAACCGATACCAGCCACTGCAAAAACATACCAAATTGTAAAGACCATTGATGCTAGGAAAAAACTAGAAAAAAACATCATAATGACAGAATCGAACTCACTCATAACAATATGAACCTTAAATGTAAATGGCTTAAATGCCCCGATTAAAAGACACAGACTGGAAAATTGGATAAAGAGTCAAAACCCGTCAGTGTGTTGTATTCATGAGACCCATCTCATGTGCAGAGACAGACATAGGTTCAAAATAAAGGGATGGAGGAATATCTACCAAGCAAATGGAAAACAAATAAAAAGCAGTGGTTGCAAACTTAGTCTCTGATAAAACAGAGTTTTTACCAACAAAGATCAAAAGAGACAAATAAGACCATTACATACTGGTAAAGGTATCAATTCAACAAGAAGATAAAACTATCTTATATATGCGCCCAATGTGGAGAACCCAGATTCATAAAGCAAGTCCTTAGAGATCTACAAAGAGACTTAGACTCCCACACAATAATAATGGGAGATTTTAATACTCCATTGTCAACATTAGACAGATCAATGAGACAGAAGGTTAACAAAGATATCCAGGACTTGAACTCAACTCTGCACCAAGTGGATCTAATAGACATCTACAGAACTCTGCACCCCAAATCAACAGAATATACATTCTTCTCAGCACTGCATCATACTTATTCCAAAACTGACCACTTAGTTGGAAGTAAAGCACTCCTCAGCAAATGTAAAAGAATAGAAATCACAACAAACTCTCTCAGACCATAGTGCAATCAAATTAGAACTCAGGATTAAGAAACTTAACCAAAACTGCACAACTACATGGAAACTGAATAACAAGCTCCTGAAAGATAACTGGATAAATAACGAAATGAAGGTAGAAATAAAGATGTTCTTTGAAACCAGTGAGAACAAAGACACACATAACAGAATCTCTGGTCACATTTAAAGCATTATGTACATTAAAAATTTTAGTACCAAATGCCCACAAGAGAAAGAGGGAAAGATCTAAAACTGACACCCTAACATCACAATTAAAAGAATTAGAGAAGCAAGGGCAAGCCAATTCAAAAGCTAGCAGAAGGCAAGAAATTACTAAGATTAGAGCAGCACGGAAGGAGACAGAGACACAATAAACCCTTCAAAAAATCAATGACTCCAGGATCTGTTTTTTTTGGAAATATCAACCAATAGACCACTAGCAAGACTAATAAAGAAGAAAAGAGAGAATAATCAAATAGATGAAATAAAAATGATAAAGGGGATATCACCACCGATCCCACAGAAATACCAACTACCATCAGAGAATACTGTAAACGCCTCTATGCAAATAAACTAGAAAGTCTAGAAGAAATGGATGAATTATTGGACACATACACCCTCCCCAGATTCAACCAGGAAGAAGTAGAATCCCTGAATAGATCAATAACAGGCTCTGAAATTGAGGCAATTATTAATAGCCTACCAACCAAAAAAAGTCCAGGACCAGACAGATTCACAGCTGAATTCTACTTGAGGTACAAAGAGGAGATGGTACCATTCCTTCTGAAACTATTTCAATCAACAGAGAAAGAGGGAATCCTCCTTAACTCATTTTATGAGGCCAGCATCATCCTGATACCTAAGCCTGGCAGAGACACAACAACAAACAAGAGTTTTAGACCAATATCCTTGCTGACCATAGATGCAAAAATCCTCAATAAAATACTGGCAAATCAAATCCAGCAGAACATCAAAAAGCGTATCCACCACGATCAAGTTGGCTTATCCCTGGGATGCAAGGTACGTTGAACTGACACAAATCAATAAACGTAATCCGTCACATAAACAGAACCAAAGACAAAAACCACGTGATTATCTAATAGATGCAGAAAGGGTCTTTGATAAACTTCAACAGCCCTTCATGTGAAAACTTCTCAATAAACTAGGTATTGATGGGACATATCTCAAAATAATAAAAGTTGTTTATGACAAACCCACAGTCAATATCATATGGAATGGGTAAAAACTGGAAGCATTCCCTTTGAAAACTGGCACAAGACAGGGATGCCCTCTCTCACCACTCCTATTCAACATAGTGTTGGAAGTTCTGGCCAGGGAAATCAGAGAGGAGAAAGCAATAAACTGTATTCAGTTAGGAAAAGAGGAAGCCAAATTGTCCCTGTTTGCAGATGATATAATTGTATATTTAGAAAACTGCATCACCTTAGCCCCAAATCCATTTAAGCTGGTAAGCAACTTCAGCAAAGTCTCAAGATACAAAATCAATGTGGAAAAACCATAAGCATTCCTATACACCAATAACAGACAAACATAAAGCCAAATCATGATCGAATTCACATTCACAATTGCCTCAAAGAGAATAAAATACCTAGGAATCCAAATTACAAGGGATGTGAAGGACCTCTTCAAGAAGAACTACAAACCACTGCTCAATGAAATAAAAGAGGACACAAACAAGTGGAAGAACATTCCATGATCACAGATAGGAAGAATCAATATAGTGATAGTGGCCATATTGCCAATGTAATTTATAGATTCAATGCCATCCTTATCAAGCTATCAATGACTTTCTTCACAGAATTGGAAAAAACTACTTTAAAGTTCATATGGAACCAAAAAATATCCTGTATTGCTAAGGCATTCCTAAGCCAAAAGAACAAAGCTGGAGGCATCATGCTACCTGACTTCAAATTATGCTACAAGGCTACAATAACCAAAACAACATGGTACTGGTACCAAAACAGAAATATAGACAAATAGAATAGAACAGAGCCCTCAGAAATAATACCACACATCTACAACCATCTGATCTTTGATAAACTTGACAAAAACATCAATGGGGAAAGGATTCCCTATTTAATAAATGGTGCTGGGAAAACTGGCTAGCCATATGTAGAAAGTTGAAACTGGATCCCTTCCTTACACCTCATATAAAAATTAATTCAAGATGGATTAAAGACTTAAATGTTAGATCTAAAACCATAAAAACCCTAGAAGAAACCCTAGGCAATACCATTCAGGACATAGGCATGGGCATGAATTTCATGACTAAAACACAAAAAGCAATGGCAACAAAAGCCAAAATTGACAAATGGGATCTAATTAAACTAAAGAGCTTATGCATAGCAAAATAAACTACCATCAGAGTTAACAGGCAACCTATAGAATGGGAGAAAATTTCTGCAATCTACTCACCTGACAAAGGGCTAATATCCAGAATCCACAAATAACTTAAACAAATTTACAAGAAAAAATCGAAAAACTCCATCAAAAAGTGGGTGAAGGATATGAATAGACACTTCTCAAAAGAAGATATTTATGCAGTCAAAAGACACATGAAAAAATGCTCATCATCACAGGTCATCAGAGAAACACAAATCAAAACCACAATGAGATACCATCTCACATCAGTTAGAATGGCGATCATTAAAAAGCCAGGAAACAGGTTCTGTAGAGGATGTGGAGAAATAGGAACACTTTTACACTGTTGGTAGGAGTGTAAACTAGTTCAACCATCGTGGAAGACAGTGTGGCAATTCCCCAAGGATCTAGAACTAGAAATATCATTTGACCCAGCGATCCCATTACTGGGTATATACCCAAAGGTTTATTAATCATGCTACTACAAAGACACATGCACATGTATGTTTATTGTGGCAGTATTCACAATAGCAAAGACTTGGAACCAACCCAAATGTCCATAAATAATAGACTGGATTAAGAAAATGTGGCACATATGCACCCTGGAATACTATGCAGCCATAAAAATGGATGAGTTAATGTCCTTTGTAGTGACATGGACGAAGCTGGAAACCATCATTCTGAACAAACTATCACAAAGACAGAAAACCAAACAACACATGTTCTCATTCATAGGTGGGAACTGAACAATGAGAACACTTGGACACAGGGCTGGGAACATCACACACTGGGGCCTGTCATGGGGTTGGGGGAGTGGAGAGGGACAGCATTAGGCAAAATACCTAATGTAAGGGATGAGTTAAAGGGTGCAGCACACCAAGGGGGCACATATGTACATATGTAACAAACCTGCACGTTGTGCACATATACCCTAAAATTTAACATATAATAATAATAAACAAATAAATAAAATAAAGTGCTGGAAAAATAAAAGAAAATAATTGGAAAATTTTTCACCACCAGACCTGTCTTATAAGTAATGCTAAAGAGAGTTCCTCACCCTGAGAAAGAAGAAAAAAAAAAAAATCAAACACTGATGTACAAAAACACTTGAAGGTATACACCCACTGGTGATAGGAGGTACAGACACATTCTCAGAATACACTACTACTGTAATTGTGGTGCCCAATCTGTTTATAATTCCAGTAGTAAGATTAACAAATTAATCTATTAAACATAGTAAGATCGGCTGGGTATGTGGCTCAAGTCTGTTATCCCAACACTTTGGAGACTGAGGTGGGTGGGTCACTGGAGGCCAGGAGTTCAAGACCAGCCTAGCCAACATGGTGAAAACCCATCTCTACTAAAAATACAAAAATTCACCACGCATGGTGGCACACACCTGTATCCCCAGTAACTGGTACAGGCTCCTGTAACCCCAGCAACTAGGGATGCTGAGGCAAGAGAGTTGCTTGAACCTGGGAGGTGGAGATAGCACCACTACACCCCAGCCTGGGTGACAGAGTGAGACTACATGTCAAATAATTAATAATAATAATAAGGCTGGATAAAAGTTTTAAAAGGCAATATAGGTCAGGTGCGGTGGCACACACCTGTAATCCCAGCACTTTGGGAGGCGGAGATGAATGGGTCACTTGAAGTAGTCATTGAAGACCAGCCTGGCCAACAAGGAGAAACCCCATCTTTATTAAAAATACAAAAATGAACCAGACATGGTAGTACACATCTGTACTCCTAGCTACTCAGAAGGATGAAGCCAGAGAAGTACTTGTACTCAGGAGGCAGAGATTGCAGTGAGCTGATGTTGCACCACCGCACTCCAGCCTGTGTGACAGAGTGAGGCCCTGTCTCAAAACAAAACAAAACATTTAAAAATGCATAAAGGCAACATCAAGTAAAAAGAGAGGTAGGCAGAAGTCAAATATAGAGTTTTTTAAATGTTTTTGTTTGTTTTTAGTGTAATCAAAGGTAAGGTATTGGTTTAAAATAAGTTGTTGTACCTATGTGATTTTTTTTAAGCCTCAGGGTAACCACGAAGCAAAAACCTTTAATAAATGCACTAAAAAGAAAGACGAGGCAGGGCGCATGGATCACGCCTGTAATCCCAGCACTTTGGGAGGCTGAGGCGGGCAGATCATGAGGTCAGGAGATCGAGACCATCCTGAACAACGTGGTGATACCCCGTCTCTACTAAAAATACAAAAAAATTAGCCAGGCATGGTGTTGGGCACCTGTAGTCCCAGCTACTCATGAGCCTGAGGCAGGAGAATGGCGTGGACCCAGGAGGTGGAGCTTGCAGTGAACCGAGATTGCGCCACTGCACTCCAACCTGGGTGACAGAGTGAGACTCTGTTTCAAAAAAAAAAAAAAAAAAAAAAAAAGGAAATGAAAGACACGCAAATTAAAAATACTACCAAAAAATCACTTAGCCACAAAAGAAAAAAAGGAAGAGAGCCATAGCAAAACAATCAGAAAAGAAGTAACAAAATGGCAGTAGTTAGTTCATACCTGTCATACCTATGGCAGTAGTTAGTTCATACCTATCATACCTATCACTGATTGTGAAAGAATTGATTCACTCCAGAAAAGATACAGTGGTTGAAAAAGAACACAGATATGTACTGCTTACAAGAAACCCTTTGACTTATGAAGATATGCATAGGATAAAATTACAGAGATGGAAAAAGATATTCCACAAAATTAAAAAACTTAAACGGAGCAGGAGTAGCTACGCTTATTTCTGATAAAAAAAATTCTACAAATCACAGACTGTAAAAAGAGAAAAAGAAGGCCACTACATAATAATAAATGGATCTATGCAGTAAGATGATATAACAGTAGGAAATATTTAGCACCCAAATAAAGCAAACATTAGTAGATCTAAAGAGGGAAACAGACTACAAGCAAATATTGGTGGATAACTTCAGTACCTCATTGTCAGTAATGGACAGGAAGACCATTAAGGAAACATCAACAAAGACCTATTCGATTTAAGCCACACACTAGACCAAATGGTCTTAGCTGACATTTACAGAACATTTTACATGACTGTTGCAGAACACACAGTTTTCTCATCAGCATTTGAATAGACCATATGTTAGGCTGACAAATAAAGACTCAACAGATTTTTTAAAACTTGGAACCATTTTCATTGATTTTCTAACTACAATGGAAGAAAACTGGGAGTCAATAACAAGTCAAACTTAGAAACTAGACAAACGTGGACTTTTATTATTATTATTATATTTTAAGTTTTAGGGTACATGTGCACAACGTGCAGGTTAGTTACATATGTATACATGTGAAATGTTGGTGTGCTGCACCTATTAACTCATCATTTAGCATTACGTATATCTCCTAATGCTATCCCTCCCCCCTCCCCCCACCCCACAACAGTCCCAGGTGTGTGATGTTCCCCTTCCTGTGTCCATGTGTTCTCACTGTTCAATTCCCACCTATGAGTGAGAACATGCGGTGTTTGTGTTTTTGTCCTTGCAATAGTTTGCTGAGAATAATGGTTTCCAGCTTCATCCATGTCCCTACAAAGGACATTAAATCATCTTTTTTTATGGCTGCATAGTGTTCCATAGTGTATATGTGCCACATTTTCTTAATCCAGTCAATCATTGTCGGACATTTGGGTTGGTTCCAAGTCTTTGCTATTGTGAATAGTGCTGCAATAAATATACGTGTGCATGTGTCTTTATAGCAGCATGATTTATAATCCTTTGGGTATATACTCAGTAATGGGATGGCTGAGTCAAATAGTGTTTCCAGTTCTAGATCCCTGAGGAATCACCACACCGACTTCCACAATGTTTGAACTAGTTTACAGTCCCACCAACAGTGTAAAAGTGTTCCTATTTCTCCACAACCTCTCCAGCACCTGTTGTTTCCTGACTTTTTAATGATCGCCATTCTAACTGGTGTGAGATGATATCTCATTGTAGTTTTGATTTGCATTTCTCTGATGGCCAGTGATGATGAGCATTTTTTCATGTTTTTTTGGCTGCAAAATGTCTTCTTTTGAGAAGTGTCTGTTCATATCCTTTTCCCACTTTTTGATGGGATTGTTTGTTTTTTTCTTGAAAATTTGTTTGAGTTCATTGTAGATTCCTGATATTAGCCCTTTGTCAGATGAGTAGATTGAAAAAATTTTCTCCCATTCTCTAGGTTGCCTATTCACTCTGATGGTAGTTTCTTTTGCTGTGCATAAGCTCTTTAGTTTAATTAGATTCCATTTGTCAATTTTGGCTTTTGTTGCCATTGCTTTTGGTGTTTTAAACATGAAGTACTTGCCCATGCCTATGTCCTGAATGGTATTGTCTAGGTTTTTTTCTAGAGTTTTTATGGTTTTAGGTTTGACATGTAAGTCTTTAATCCATCTTGAATTAATTTTTGTATAAGGTGTAAGGAAGGGATCCAGTTTCAGCTTTCTACATATGGCTAGCCAGTTTTCCCAGCACCATTTATTAAAAAGGGAATCCTTTCCCCATTTCTTGTTTTGGTCAGGTTTGTCAAAGATCAGATAGTTGTAGATATGTGACATTATTTCTGAGGGCTCTGTCCTGTTCCATTGGTCTTTATCTCTGTTTTGGTACCAGTAGCATGCTGTTTTGGTTACTGTAGCCTTGTAGTGTACTTTGAAGTCAGGTAGCATGGTGCCTCCGGCTTTGTTCTTTTGGCTTAGGATTGACTTGGCAATGTGGGCTCTTTTTTGGTTTAATATGAACTTTAAAGTCGTTTTTTCCAATTCTGTGAAGAAAGTCATTGATAGCTTGATGGGGATGACATTGAATCTATAAATTACCCTGAGCAGTATGGCCATTTTCATGATATTGCTTCTTCCTACCTATGAGCATGGAATGTTCTTCCATTTGTTTGTATCCTCTTCTATTTCATAGAGTGGTGGTTTGTAGTTCTTCTTGAAGAGGTCCTTCACATCTTTTGTAAGTTGGATTCCTAGGTATTTTATTCTCTTTGAAGCAATTGTGAATGGCAGTTCACTCATGATTTGGCTCTCTATCTGTTATTGATGTATAAGAATGTTTCTGATTTTTGCACATTGATGTTGTATCCTAAGACTTTGCTGAAGTTGCTTATCAGCTTAAGGAGATTTTGGGCTGAGACGATGGGGTTTTCTAGATATACAATCATGTCATCTGCACACAGGTACAATTTAACTTCTTCTTTTCCTAATTGAATGCCTTTTATTTCCTTCTCCTGCCTGATTGCCCTGGCCAGAATTTCAAACACTATGTTGAATAGGAGTGGTGAGAGAGGGCATCCCTGTCTTGTGCCAGTTTTCAAAGGAAATGCTTCCAGTTTTTGCCCATTCAGGATGATATTGGCTGTGGGTTTGTCATAGATAGCTCTTATTATTTTGACATACGTCCCATCAATACCTAATTTATTGAGAGTTTTTAGCATGAAGCCTTGTTGAATTTTGTCAAAGGCCTTTCTTCATATATTGAAATAATCATATGGTTTTTGTCGTTGGCTCTGTTCATAAGCTGGATTACATTTATTGATTTTCTTATTTTGAACCAGCCTTGCATCCCAGGGATGAAGCCCACTTGATCATGGTGGATAAGCTTTTTGATGTGTTCCTGGATTCCGTTTTCCAGTATTTTATTGAGGATTTTTGCATCAATGTTCATCAAGGATATTGCTCTAAAATTCTCTTTTTTTGTTGTGTCTCTGCCTGGCTTTGGCATCAGGATGATGCTGGCCTCATGAAATGAGTTAGGGAGGATTCCCTCTTTTTCTATTGATTGGAATAGTTTCAGAAGGAATGATACCAGCTCCTGCTTCTACCTATGGTAGAATTCGGCTGTTAATCCATCTGGTCCTGGACTTTTTTTGGTTGGTAAGCTATTAATTATTGCCTCAATTTCAGAGCCTGTTATTGTTCTATTCAGGGATTCAACTTCTTCCTGGTTTAGTCTTGGGAGGGTGTATGTGTTAAGGATTTTATCCACTTCTTCTAGATTTTCTATTTTATTCGCAGAGAGGTGTTTATAGTATTCTCTGATGGTAGTTTGTATTTCACTGGTATTGGTGGTGATATCCCCTTTGTCCTTTTTTATTGCATCTATTTGATTCTTCTCTCTTTTCTTCTTATTAGTCTTTCTAGCAGGCTATTAATTTTGTTGATCTTTTCAGAAAATCAGCTCCTGGATTCATTGATTTTTTGAAGGGTTTTTGTGTCTCTATTTCCTTCAGTTCTGCTCTGATCTTAGTTATTTCTTGCCTTCTGCTAGCTTTTGAATGTGTTTGCACTTGCTTCTCTAGTTCTTTTAATTGTGATGTTAAGGTGTCAATTTCAGATCTTTCCTGCTTTCTCTTGTGGGCATTTAGTGCTATAAATTTCCCTCTACACACCTTTTTGAATATGTCCCAAAGATTCTGGTATGTTGTGTCTTTGTTCTCATTGGTTTCAAGGAACATCTTTATTTCTTCCTTCATTTCATTATGTACCCAGTAGTCATTCAGGAGCAGGTTGTTCAGTTTCCATGTAGTTGAGCAGTTTTGAGTGAGTTTCTTAATCATGAGTTCTTGTTTGATTGCACTGTGGTCTGAGAGACAGTTTGCTATAATTTCTGTTCTTTTATATTTGTTGAGGAGTGCTTTACTTCCAACTATGTGGTCAATTTTGGAATAAGTGCAGTGTGGTGCTGAGAAGAACGTATATTCCATTGATTTGGGGTGGAGAGTTCTGTAGATGTCTATTAGTTCCACATGGTGCAGAGCTGAGTTTAATTCCTGGATATCCTTGTTTACTTTCTGTCTTGTTGATCTGTCTAATGTTGACAGTGGGGTGTTAAAATATCCCATTATTATTGTGTGGGAGTCTAAGTCTCTGTGTATGTCTCTAAGGACTTGCTTTATGAATCTGGGTGCTCCTGTATTGGGTGCATATATATTTAGGATAGTTAGCTCTTCTTGTTGAATTGATCACTTTACCATTATGTAATGGCCTTGTCTCTTTTGATCTTTGTTGGTTTAAAGTCTGTTTTATCAGAGACTAGAATTGCAACCCCTGCATTTCTTTGTTTTCCATTTTCTTGGTACATCTTCCTCCATCCCTTTATTTTGAGCCTATGTGTGTCTCTGCATGTGAGATGGGTTTCCTGAATACAGCACACTGATGGGTCTTGACTCTTTATCCAATTTGCCAGTCTGTGTTTTTTAATTGGAGCATTTAGCCCATTTATATTTAATGTTAATATTGTTATGTGTGAGTTTGATCCTGTCATTGTGATGTTACCTGGTTATTTTGCACATTAGTTGATGCAGTTTCTTCCTAGCCTTGAGAGTCTTTACAATTTGGCATGTTTTTGCAGTGGCTGTTACCAGTTTTTCCTTTCCACATTTTGTCCTTCCTTCAGGAGCTCTTTTTGGGCATGCCTGGTGGTGACAAAATCTCTCAGCACTTGCTTGTCTGTAAAGGATTTTATTTCTTCACCACTTATGAAGCTTAGTTTGGCTGGATATGAAATTCTGGGTTGAAAATTCTTTTCCTTAAGAATGTTGAATATTGACCCCCACTCTCTTCTGGCTTGTAGAGTTTCTGTTGAGAGATCCGCTGTTAGTCTGATGGGCTTCCCTTTGTGGGCAACCTGACCTTTCTCTCTGGCTGCTCTTAACATTTTTTCCTCCATTTCAACTTTGGTGAATCTGACAATTATGTTTTAGGGTTGCTCTTCTCAAAGAGTATCTTTGTGGCATTCTGTGTATTTCTTGAATCAATGTTGGCCTGCCTTGCTAGATTGGGGAAGTTCTCCTGGATGATATCCTGCAGAGTGTTTTCCAACTTGGTTCCATTCTCCCTGTCACTTTCAGGTACACCAATCAGATGTGGATATGGTCTTTTCACATAGTCCCATATTTCTTGGAGGATTTGTTTGTTTCTTTTTATACTTTTTTCTCTAAACTTCTCTTCTCACTTCATTTCATTCATTTGATCTTCCATCACTGATATATTTTCTTTTAGATGATCGAATCAGCTCCTGAAGCTTGTACATTCATCCCATAATTCTCGTGCCATAGTTTTCAGCTCCATCAGATCCTTTAAGGACTTCTCTGCATTGATTATTCTAGTTAGCCATTCATCTAATTTTTTTTCCAGGTTTTTAACTTCTTTGCCAGGGATTTGAACTTCCTCCTTTAGCTCAGAGTAGTTTGATCATCTGAAGCCTTCTTCTCTCAGTTTGTCAAAGTCATTCTCCATCCAGCTTTGTTCCATTGCTGGTGGGGATCTGCGTTCCTTTGGAGGAGGAGAGGTACTCTGATTTTAGAGTTTCCAGTTTTCCTACTCTGTTTTTTCCCCATCTTGGTGGTTTTATCTACCTTTGGTTTTTGATGACGGTGATGTACAGATGGGGTTTTGGTGCGGATATACTTTCTGTTTGTTAGTTTTCCTTCTAACAGTTAGGACCCTCAGCTGCAGTTCTGTTGGAGTTTGCTGGAGGTCCACTCCACACCCTGTTTACCTGGGTATCAGCAGCAGAGGCTGCAGAACAGTAGATTTTGGTGAACAGCAAATGGTGCTGTCAGATCATTCCTCTGGAAGTTTTGTGTCAGAGGACTACCCAGCAATGTGGGGTGTCAGTCTGCCCCTCCGGGGGGATGCTTCCCACTTAGGCTACTCAGTGTTCAGGGACCCACTTGAGGAGGCAGTCTGTCTGTTCTCAGATCTCCAGCTGCGTGCTGGGAGAACCACTACTCTCTTCAAAGATGTCAGACAGGGTCATTTAAGTCTGCAGAGGATTCTGCTGCCTTTTGTTTGGCTGTGCCCTGCCACCAGAGGTGAAGCCTACAGAGGCAGGCAGGCCTCTTTGAGCAGTGGTGGGTTCCACCCAGTTCAAACTTCCAGGCCACTTTGTTTACCTACTCAAGCCTCAGCTATGACCGGCGCCCTTGCCCCAGCCTCACTGCCACCTTGCAGTTTGATCTCAGACTGCTGTGCTCCAATGAGTGAGGCTCTGTGGGTGTAGGACCCTCCGAGCCAGGAGCAGGATATAATCTCGTGGTGTGCCATTTGCTAAGACCATTGGAAAAGTGCTGTATTAGGGTGGAAGTGACCCAATTTTCCAGGTACCGTCTGTTACCCCTTTCTTCGAATAGGAAAAGGAACTCCCTTACACCTTGCACTTCCTGGGTGAGGTCATGCCTCACCCTGCTTTGGCTCATGCTCGGTGCCCTGCACCCATTGTCCTGCACCCACTTTCTGACAATCTCTAGTGAGATGAACCTGGTACCTCAATTGGAAATGCAGACCTCACCTGTCTTCTGAGTTGCTAACACTGGGAGCTGTAGACTGGAGCTGTTCTTATTTGGCCATTTAGCTCTACCCAATTAATTATTTTATTACCTTAATTAAATATTAATTAATAATATTTTTATTACCTTAAATATTTATTATCATTTTTGTTGCAATAAAGCTTAACATCTACTTTCTTTTCTTTTTTGATTAATATTATTGCTCATTAACTATAGTTACTATGCTTTACAACTGATCTCTTGGACTTACTTCTCTTTTTTTTTTTTCTTTTCCTTTTTTTTTTTATTATACTTTAAGTTCTACGGTACATGTGCACATTGTGCAGGTTAGTTACATATGTATACATGTGCCATGCTGGTGCGCTGCAGCCACTAACTCGTCATCTAGCATTAGGTATATCTCTCGATGCTATCCCTCCCCCCTCCCCCCACCCCACAACAGTCCCCAGAGTGTGATATTCCCTTTCCTGTGTCCATGTGATCTCATTGTTCAGTTCCCACCTATGAGTGAGAATTTGCGGTGTTTGGCTTTTTGTTCTCGCGATAGTTTACTGAGAAATGATTTCCAATTTCATCCATGTCCCTACAAAGGACATGAACTCATCATTTTTTATGGCTGCATAGTATTCCATAGTGTATATGTGCCACATTTTCTTAATCTAGTCTATCATTGTTGGACATTTGGGTTGGTTTCAAGTCTTTGCTATTGTGAATAATGCCGCAATAAACATACGTGTGCATGTGTCTTTATAGCAGCATGATCTATAGTCCTTTGGGTATATACCCAGTAATGGGATAGCCGGGTCAAATGGTATTTCCAGTTCTAGATCCCTGAGGAATAGCCACACCGACTTCCACAATGGTTGAACTAGTTTACAGTCCCACCAACAGTGTAAAAGTGTTCCTATTTCTCCACATCCTCTCCAGCACCTGTTGTTTCCTGACTTTTTTATGATTGCCATTCTAACTGGTGTGAGATGGTATCTCATTGTGGTTTTGATTTGCATTCTCTGAT
Source organism: Homo sapiens (assembly GCF_000001405.40). Taxonomy (NCBI): domain Eukaryota; kingdom Metazoa; phylum Chordata; class Mammalia; order Primates; family Hominidae; genus Homo; species Homo sapiens. Next base: position 20,944,875 of record NC_000024.10, read on the forward strand.
GGCCAGTGATGATGAGCATTCTTTCATGTGTTTTTTGTCTGCATAAATGTCTTCTTCTGAGAAGTGTCTGTTCATATCCTTTGCACACTTTTTGATGGGGTTGTTTGTTTTTTTCTTGTAAATTTGTTTGAGTTCATTGTAGATTCTGGATATTAGCCCTTTGTCAGAGGAGTAGGTTGCAAAAATTTTCTCCCATTTTGTAGGTTGCCTGTTCACTCTGATGGTAGTTTCTTTTGCTGTGCAGAAGCTCTTTAGTTTAACTAGATCCCATTTGTCAATTTTGTTTTGTGTGGCCATTGCTTTTGGTGTTTTAGACATGAAGACCTTGCCCATGCCTATGTCCTGAATGGTACTGCCTAGGTTTTCTTCCAGGGTTTTTATCGTTTTAGGTCTAACGTTTAAGTCTTTAATCCATCTTAAATTGATTTTTGTATAAGGTGTAAGGAAGGGATCCAGTTTCAGCTTTCTACATATGGCTAGCCAGTTTTCCCAGCACCATTTATTAAATAGGGAATCCTTTCCCCATTGCTTGTTTTTCTCAGGTTTGTCAAAGATCAGATAGTTGTAGAAATGCGGCGTTATTTCTGAGGGCTCCATTCTATTCCATTGATCTATATCTCTGTTTTGGTACCAGTACCATGCTGTGTTGTTTACTGTAGCCTTGTAGTATAGTTTGAAGTCAGGTAGTGTGATGCCTCCAGCTTTGTTCTTTTGGCTTAGGATTGAGTTGGCGATGCGGGCTCCTTTTTGGTTCCATATGAACTTTAAAGTAGTTTTTTCCAATTGTGTGAAGAAAGGCATTGGTAGCTTGATGGGGATGGCATTGAATCTATAAATTACCTTGAGCAGTATGGCCATTTTCACGATATTGATTCTTCCTACCCAGGAGAATGGAATGTTCTTCCATTTGTTTGTATCCTCTTTTATTTCCTTGAGCAGTGGTTTGTAGTTCTCCTTGAAGAGGTCCTTCACATCCCTTGTAAGTTGGATTCCTAGGTATTTTATTCTCTTTGAAGCAATTGTGAATGGGAGTTCACTCATGATTTGGCTCTCTGTCTCTTGTTGGTATATAAGAATGCTTGTGATTTTTGTACATTTATTTTGTATCCTGAGACTTTGCTGAAGTTGCTTATCAGCTTAAGGAGATTTTGGGCTGAGACAATGGGGTTTTCTAGATATACAATCATGTCGTCTGCAAACAGGGACAATTTGACTTCTTCTTTTCCTAATTGAATACAATTTATTTCCTTCTCCTGCCTGATTGCCCTGGCCAGAACTTCCAACACTATGTTGAATAGGAGTGGTGAGAGAGGGCATCCCTGTCTTGTGCCAGTTTTCAAAGCGAATGCTTCCAGTTTTTGCCCATTCAGTATGATATTGGCTGTGGGTTTTTCATAGACAGCTCTTATTATTTTGAAATACATCCCATCAATACCTAATTTATTGAGAGTTTTTAGCATGAAGGGTTGTTGAATTTTTTCAAAGGCCTTTTCTGCATCTATTGAGATAATCATGTGGTTTTTGTCTTTGGCTCTGTTTATATGCTGGATTACATTTATTGATTTGCATATATTGAACCAGCCTTGGATCCCAGGGATGAAGCCCACTTGATCATGGTGGATAAGCTTTTTGATGTGCTGCTGGATTCGTTTTGCCAGTATTTTATTGAGGATTTTTGCATCAATGTTCATCAAGGATATCGGTCTAAAATTCTCTTTTCTGGTTGTGTCTCTGCCTGGCTTTGGTATCAGAATGATGCTGGCCTCATAAAATGAGTTAGGGAGGATTCCCTCTTTTTCTATTGATTGGAATAGTTTCAGAAGGAATGGTACCAGTTCTTCCTTGTACCTCTGGTAGAATTTGGCTGTGAATCCATCTGGTCCTGGACTCTTTTTGGTTGGTAAGCTATTGATTATTACCACAATTTCAGCTCATGTTATTGGTCTATTCAGAGATTCAACTTCTTCCTGGTTTAGTCTTGGGAGAGTGTACATGTCCAGGAATTTATCCATTTCTTCTAGATTTTCTAGTTTATTTTCATAGAGGTGTTTGTAGTATTCCCTGATGGTAGTTTGTATTTCTGTGGGATCGGTGGTGATATCCTCTTTATCATTTTCTATTGCGTCTATTTGATTCTTCTCTCTTTTTTTCTTTATTAGTCTTGCTAGCAGTCTATCAATTTTGTTGATCCTTTCAAAAAACCAGCTCCTGGATTCATTAATTTTTTGAAGGGTTTTTTTTTTTTGTCTCTATTTCCTTCAGTTCTGCTCTGATTTTAGTTATTTCTTGCCTTCTGCTAGCTTTTGAATGTGTTTGCTCTTGCTTTTCTAGTTCTTTTAATTGTGATGTTAGGGTGTCAATTTTGAATCATTCCTGCTTTCTCTTGTGGACATTTAGTGCTATAAATTTCCCTCTACACACTGCTTTGAATGTGTCCCAGAGATTCTGGTATGTTGTGTCTTTGTTCTCGTTGGTTTCAAAGAACATCTTTGTTTCTGCCTTCATTTCTTCATGTACCCAGTAGTCATTCAGGAGCAGGTTGTTCAGTTTCCATGTAGTTGAGTGGTTTTGAGTGAGATTCTTAATCCTGATTTCTAGTTTGATTGCACTGTGGTCTGAGAGATAGTTTGTTATAATTTCTGTTCTTTTGCATTTGCTGAGGAGCGCTTTACTTCCCAGTATGTGGTCAGTTTTGGAATAGGTGTGGTGTGGTGCTGAACAAAATGTATATTCTGTTGATTTGGGGTGGAGAGTCCTGCAGATGTCTATTAGGTCCACTTGGTGCAGAGCTGAGTTCAATTCCTGGGTATCCTTGTTGACTTTCTGTCTTGTTGATCTGTCTAATGTTGACAGTGGGGTGTTAAAGTCTCCCATTATTAATGTGTGGGAGTCTAAGTCTCTTTGTAGGTCCCTCAGGACTTGCTTTATGAATCTGGTTGCTCCTGTATTGGGTGCATATATATTTAGGATAGTTAGCTCTTCTTGTTGAATTGATCCCTTTACCATTACGTAATGGCCTTCTTTGTCTCTTTTGATCTTTGTTGGTTTAAAGTCTGTTTTATCAGAGACTAGGATTGCAACCCCTGCCTTTTTTTGTTTTCCATTTGCTTGGCAGATCTTCCTCCATCCTTTTATTTTGAGACTATGTGTGTCTCTGCACTTGAGATGGGTTTCCTGAATACAGCACACAGATGGGTCTTGACTCTTTATCCAATTTGCCAGTCTGTGTCTTTTAATTGGAGCATTTAGTCCATTTACATTTAAAGTTAATATTGTTATGTGTGAATTTGACCCTGTCATTATGATGTTAGCTGGTTATTTTGCTCGTTAGTTGATGCAGTTTCTTCCTAGTCTCGATGGTCTTTACATTTTGGCATGATTTTGCAGCGGCTGGTACCGGTTGTTCCTTTCCATGTTTACTGCTTCCTTCAGGAGCTCTTGTAAGGCAGGCCTGGTGGTGAAAAAATCTCTCAGTATTTGCTTGTCTGTAAAGTATTTTATTTCTCCTTCACTTATGAAGCTTAGTTTGGCTGGATATGAAATTCTGGGTTGAAAATTCTTTTCTTTAAGAACGTTGAATATTGGCCCCCACTCTCTTCTGGCTTGTAGGGTTTCTGCTGAGAGATCCACTGTTAGTCTGATGGGCTTCCCTTTGAGGGTAACCCGACCTTTCTCTCTGGCTGCCCTTAACATTTTTTCCTTCATTTCAACTTTGGTGAATCTGACAATTATGTGTCTTGGAGTTGCTCTTCTCGAGGAGTATCTTTGTGGCATTCTCTGTATTTCCTGAATCTGAACGTTGGCCTGCCTTGCTAGATTGGGGAAGTTCTCCGGATAATATCTTGCAGAGTGTTTTCCAACTTGGTTGCATTCTCCCCATCACTTTCAGGTACACCAATCAGACATAGATTTGGTCTTTTCACATAGTCCCATATTTCTCGGAGGCTTTGCTCATTTCTTTTTATTCTTTTTTCTCTAGACTTCCCTTCTCGCTTCATTTCATTCATTTCATCTTCCATCACTGATACCCTTTCTTCCAGTTGATCGCATCGGCTCCTGAGGCTTCTGCATTCTTCTAGTAGTTCTGGAGCCTTGGTTTTCAGCTCCATCAGCTCATTTAAGCACTTCTCTGGATTGGTTATTCTAGTTATACATTCTTCTAAATTTTTTTCAAAGTTTTCAACTTCTTTGCCTTTGGTTTGAATGTCCTCCCATAGCGCAGAGTAATTTGATCATCTGAAGCCTTCTTCTCTCAGCTCGTCAAAGTCATTCTCCATCCAGCTTTATTCCGTTGCTGGTGAGGAACGGCGTTCCTTTAGAGGAGGAGAGGTGCTCTGCTTTGTAGATTTTCCAGTTTTTCTGTTCTGTTTTTTCCCCATCTTTGTGGTTTTATCTACTTTTGGTCTTTGATGATGGTGATGTACAGATGGGTTTTTGGTGTGGATGTCCTTTCTGTTTGTTCGTTTTCCTTCTAACAGACAGGACCCTCAGCTGCAGGTCTGTTAGAGTGCCCTGCAGTGTGATGTGTCAGTGTGCCCCTGCCGAGGGGTGCCTCCCATTTATGGTGCTCGGGGGTCAGGGGTCAGGGACCCACTTGAGTAGGCAGTCTGCCCATTCTCAGATCTCCAGCTGCGTGCTGGGAGAACCACTGCTCTCTTCAAAGCTCTCAGGCAGGGTCATTTAAGTCTGCAGAAGTTACTGCTGTCTTTTTGTTTGTCTGTGCCCTGCCCCCAGAGGTGGAGCCTACAGAGGCAGGCAGGCCTCCTTGAGCTGTGGTGGGCTCCACCCAATTCGAGCTTCCCGGCTGCTTTGTTTACTAATCAAGCCTGGGCAATGGCAGGCTCCCCTCCCCCAGCCTCGCTGCCGCCTTGCAGTTTGATCTCAGACTGCTGTGCTAGCAATCAGCGAGACTCTGTGGACGTCGGACCCTCCGAGCCAGGTGCGGGATATAATCCTGTGGTGCACTATGTTTTAAGCCTATTGGAAAAGTGCAGCATTCTGGTGGGAGTGATCCGATTTTCCATGTGCCCCGGGTCCCTCACCCATTTCTTTGACTCAGAAAGGGAACTCCCTGACCCCTTGCGCTTCCCAAGTGAGACAATGCCTCTCCCTGCTTCAGCTCGTGCACGGTGCATGCACCCACTGACCCGCACCCACTGTCTGGCACTCCCTAGTGAGATGAACCCGTTACCTCAGATGGAAATGCAGAAATCACCCTTCTTCTGTGTCACTCACGCTGGGAGCTGTAGACCGGAGCTGTTCCTATTCGGCCATCTTGGCTCCTCCTCCCCTCTGTTCTATTGTGTTTTTGAACCCTTAATATTGGGTGTTGAAAGGGTTGTTTCAGGGTTTGAGGATTCCCTGCATTTTTAGGTTATTAATAGTGGCTTCTAGTCCTTTCCCAGCCTCTGACTTTAGGGGACATTTTCTCTGGTTAGAAAAAGAAGTGGGATCCTTAGGATGAATCCAGACTGGTCTAGGACTGATAGCATGGCCTATTCTTCCTTGAGTTGTCCACACTTCTGGAATAATATTAATTTCCACCAGGGGAAGACAAAGAGTTTGTCCTGGAGCCATAACAATGCTGGCCCCTATGCAAGCTAAAATATATCTTCTTAATAAAGTAATAAGACTTTCAGATAATATTAAGGAGGCATGTATAAATAATATGTCCCCCAACTACAACTAAGCATTTGAGAAAAAATATTGTGTTAGAACTTTCTTGAGACACCCATCATGATCATGGGAAGAGGAAAGGCCTGGATTGGATAAAAGAAGACAGAGACTGATTTCAGTGTCCAGAAGAAGGTCCACCGTCCTTACTTCAACTTTGAGAAACCCCCAGGACTCCTGAGCAGTAAAGGCATATTCAACTGCAGGAGCCAATGTATGAGCCCTGAGACTCATCAGTCCTGCTGAGCCACCTGTGAGAACAGTTCTCAACCATGTAACCTGCATTTCCAGGCGCAGTCCGATCTTCAATGGTCCCCAGGGCCAATGTGGCTTCTTCTTGATGTCTGGGAAATTCTTTTAAAATTGCTGTGACTTGCCACATTAATAGCAATGAACAGGTGGACCTTGAGGATCCTGGACTTTGCAAACCTGAAAAGCAGCCATTAGAACCTTGTCCTTCTCTTTCACTTCCTATCTTTCTTCTGGGCCTCCTCCTGGCCCCTAGTATGAAAGACTAAGGTGGCCACCCTCAGGAGGTTTTCTAAGCTTTTACCTCATTTCTATATCCTGCTTCTTCAGTTTCTTTCTAGTGTCAGGAGCTGCCTGTGTCATAAACTTTTTCTTTACGATTAACTGTCCCTCAACTGAATCAGGGAATAAGGAGGTGTGTTTTATTAGTTTCCCTTACAGCCTTTCCATCAAGTCTGAGGAATTATTATCTGGCTTTTGGTCTACCATGGAAAGTTTAGAATAATTAAGAGATTGAGCCGTAGTTCTAAGCAGGCCCTCTAATATGCACTTTACAAAAGTATTTTCTTTTCCATTTATCTGTGGGTTCATTTCCTTTACTATTGGGAATGACGATTTTTTCTATTGCTTTGCCTCCTCTGTCTCTTTTTTTCCTTTCTGGCCTACTATAGGAGACATATTGCTTATCTCTGAATTTCTCTGTTACCTGCAGTGCTGCCTGTTTTTCATCAGTGGTTAGGGTTTTCCTTAGGAGCAGCATAACATCACTTCATGTCAGGTCAAACATTTAGTTAAATTTTGGAAAACTTTTATATTCCCTATTGGGGTCATCAGAAAATCAACCCAAGTCTCCCTTTATTTGCCCAAGGTTCTGCAATGAGAAAAAAACTTGAACTCTATGGGCATCAATTCTGTTGGTCATTTTCTGTAGGTGTAAGAGCAAAGCTGAGATAGTGGAAAATTTTGGAGATGTTGTACCAAAATGTGTTGATGGAGTTGTTGGTGGGTGCCCTAAATAAGGGGGACAAAAAGAGCCAGGACACCCAATAGCTGTCTCAGATGATTCCCACAAAATTTATTTCTTAAGTGTTGGGGAACTATTCCCTTTGAGGCTTCCCTTTAAAGACTGCTAAGAGAACTGGGTTGATTGTGCAACACTTACGTGGTTCTGGGCTTTCTCATAGGGCAAAGAAAGCCTGTACATAGAGAAACTGAGATCATTTGTTCTCCCCTCTACATAAAAGATCTGATTGTTGGATAATATTAAAATCAAGCCTTCCTTCAAAAGATGAGATCCATTCAATATAGTAAGAAGACCACATTCTTATGCCAATATATATATATATATATATATATATATATATATATATATATATGCTGCTTTTTCTTCAAAGTCTCAGGGTCAAAGGAGTACCAGTGCTTCAGAAAGCACTTCAAGCAGGCTGAAGACAGATAGAGAGATAGGGGAACAAGGATTAATTCAGCCCCATCCTTCCTTCGGAATGACCCATGGTGGAAATTTCCTACCTACTGGGAGTTTCTTGAGACACCCATCATGATCATGGGAAGAGGAAAGGCCTGGATTGGATAAAAGAAGACAGAGACTGATTTCAGTGTCCAGAAGAAGGTCCACCCTCCTTACTTCAACTTTGAGAAACCCCTAGGACTCCTGAGCAGTAATGGTAGTTTCAACAGCAGGAGCCAGTGGTTTGAGCCCTGAGACTCAAATGGGAGTTTCGTACATACTGTTTTCCCTCCCTGGTTTCTTGGACTCCAACATCTGTTAAAATTGCAGCCTATGGATTTAGCCATGACTCTAATCCAAGGATCTGGAAAAGCTAGGTGGTGATAATAGTCGTGCTTACCCACAGAGAACCTGAGAACCTTAGTCATCTGCTGGTGATTTCTGTTTGACTTCCTAGATTTGTATCATCTGTGTGGCTTCACAATAGATGTATTTTGGAAATAATATGTATCCTTTGCACTTGATCAAGGCCCCTTAACAGATGAAGTGTACTGGGTTGAGCTCTATATTCTGCTGTTATGTCCCAGACTACAGTATGCATTCTTAAGCAGTGGTTTTGGTTAACCTCTAGACCTACAATCCTTTACTATTTAAGTACCATTCTAATTGAGAGGCAAAATAGGTGTCTTAAAACAACACAGGGACTGAATGGCTGTTTTCTTGCTGATGTGATAATATTGGGTTAAAATTTGCTTTCAGAGGATATTTTCCTCCTCATTATTGAGTTTTCCCATTCACAGAAGTGGCATGAAGGCTGATCTCTAGTAGAGACACACAAAATGGAAGGAGAATTGGGGCACTAGAGGTTTTCGGCAAAAAACCAATAAGGTTCCTCATGGAGAGACTTTTCATTCCACTAAGTGGCCCTGTAGACCTTGAAATACCAGGCAGTAACTTTATTTCCATGTGTTCTCCAGACAAAAGGTAAAAAGAGGAGGATGTTCACTGGGTGTAAAATCTTCTGTTTCTAGAAAAATCACAAAAAATTCTATTCCTTGAGTTACGTTTCCACTTACTATGGCACTTGATGATCCTGCTTATTTCCCTGAGCTGTAAGAACTCAAAAAACATTGCATATGAAGAGGTGTTAGAAAACATAATGACCATAAAAGGAAAGAAGAAAATTGCGATAAAAAAAAAGTTTGAAGATCATGTTGTTGACAATCAATGGGCTACTGGGCACTGGAGTTAGTGCAGAAGGCTTCAGGTAACAATGGGGTATGACCTCAGCCAGAGACCTTCAGTTGCCTCAGGAGCTCTTCCAGCCCCATGGAATGGCTTTGCTCTCTGTGAAAGGAAACTAGCTGGTAACAGAGCCAACATTCTCAGCATCCTAAGGGCCCTGGGGGATTAGCTAAATGCTCTGAGGCAGATAAGCCTCCACAATGAAGAAGTTTTGTCAAACAACCTGAAGAACCTGAAGTTATTGGTCTCCTGGCCACAGAGATCAAGGATACAGACACACAAAAGTTGAAGTTAACTGCAGAAATCTAATAGGTTAAAGAAAAAAGAATAGCTGTCTGCTACAGAGAGGGGTTTTGGATAAATAAGTTGATGATCTGTGGTGAAATGCAGAATTTTTTGTTTGTTTTGTTTTGTTTTTGAGACACACTCTCACTCTGTTGCCCAGGCTGGAGTGCAGTGGCATGATCTCGGCTCATTGCAAGGTCCGCCTCCCAGGTTCACGCCATTCTCCTGTCTCAGCCTCTGGAGTAGCTGGGACTACAGACACCTGCCACCACACGCGGCTAATTTTTTTGTATTTTTAGTAGAGACGGGGTTTCACAGTGTTAGCCAAAATGGTTTCCATCTGCTGACCTCGTGACCCACCCGCCTTAGCCTCCCAAAGTGCTGGGATTACAGGTTGGAGCCACCATACCCAGCCAAATGCAGTGGTTTTTTATACATGAGTCAGAGAGTAGGCAGTGTCTGATCAACATAGAGCATAAAAAATTGGTTAGGATCAGATATGTTATCTGCATAGGGTGTGAGTCTCTGGAAGTCCACAACCCCAGTCTTTTGTTATGCAGACAAGTAGCTACTCCATGTTGCTCATTTCTTCCTTCTTGTACATGTGCTAACAAAAAAGTAAGCATTGCTATGTACTTTATTTATTAATTTATTAACTATTTCTGAGTGCTTATCCTGAGTGCCCAACAGACATGTAGGGTAAGCACCTAAACCTGGGCAGTAAATTACATACCTTATATTTCTCTCTCCCACAACCACATCTTGAGTCTTTTAATCAGTGTGTTAAGATTCAGTAACCTACTAGACAAACCAGTTTCTAAATATATTAAAAGTAAAGAGAAAGTAACAGAGAATTACATTTTCTCTCAACAAAGCCATGCTTGCAATCCTATTGTTTCACTGCAGATGAAAATGTCCTATTTCAAGTGTCAGAAGCTGAATATTAATTTTTTCCATTTATAGGTACAGTCTTGTTGCTGTGACAATCCTAATGCCCTCTGCAGTAGACAGATGACTTGGGCTAACTAGCAACATTAAGTACGAGAAGGAAAAGGAGAAAAGTGCTTTTATATGCTTCAAAAATATTATTCCAAATATAGATACCTCTTCTGTTATATGAGAGCAGAGAGAACATTGCACAGCTCCTCTCCTGGCTTGGAAGGTCAACATTACAATATTACTTTATTCCACAGTCCTGAGGTATTAATCTAAAATTATACCTCATGATCAAATTAATGTGTAGTTCTAATTAATATGTGTTAAGGAAGAGTATAATGCCTGAGTAACAGAGCCACTTATATTATGTTATTTAAAAATAGAACACCCACATCTTGACAGTGCTTTGCCTTCAAATAAGACAACCAGTTTTATTTGTGGCAGTTGTAATTTAAAAGTGTGTTTTGAGGCCTGGGCACACCATGGAGAACAGATCTGTCAACAGTTTCTTAACATGAAATAAACACAGATTTACAAATTATTTTGTTATGGAGAATAATACAAGGAGGACACAATTTACATGAGAGCTCAGGAATTCCCTTTTGGGAAAAGTGGCATTTGATCACATACCTGAAGACTTAGTAGAATTAGGACTGGGAAAAATGGGGCAAGATGTTCCACAATCAGAGGAAATAAATATTGTACCATCCTGTAATAAAACAATGGTCAGTGAGGCAATAATAAAATTAAAGTTAAAAGGCAGGCAGGGGGTCTCATGATGCTGACCCATGTGAGCCAAGGAGTAGGGTTTGGATTTTATTCTAATGCAGCACAAAACTGCTGAAGGATTTTAAGTATAAAAGCAACATGAATACTCTTCTCCGTACATTTTTGCCTGTCTTTCAGATAGTATCTTTAGGATAGGTTTTTAATCATAGACTTATGTTGTCAATGACATAGATTTTTGTAAGCCTCTTGGTATGTATTTTGAAAGATTTAATATCCATCCAGTTTCCTAACAACAGTGTATAAGAGTGTTCATTTTGCTTTCAACAGCATTATCACTAGAAAAGTATTCTGTCATTTGGGAAAAAACAATGTTATACTATTTTAATGCATCATTTTACTAGTAAATTTGAATATTTGTCAGTGTTTATTAATATTTTATATTTCTTCTTTTTGTAAATTATCCATGGCTTTCTTCTTTTTTGGGGGGAGAAATATTGACATTTATTTTTCTGATGTGAGATCTTTTTTTACATTTGAAGACTAGTACCCTAGTTCTTATTTCTTACATATATATTTTCTAGTTTGTTAATATTTTATTTTTAGTTATACAGTTTTTCTTACTTTACAAAGGTAACTACTTAATAAAAACCATTATCCACATTTAAAAATGCCATTACTATTACTTTAGAGAAAAGGTTATGTGTTTTTGAGTTCCCCTAAATGTGATACCAAGTCTCACTGAAATTAATCTGTTCATTTCATTCATTCACGTTAGTAATCATACCACAATATAACACTTACTGTTCACTAAATTTTTTATATGATGTGCTGTTTATCTGCATTCCTGGGGCTTTTCCTTAGCTATTCTATACTGCCTCTTTTCCCTTACTATCTTAGACCCTTGCCTGTCTTCACAATCTACTAGATAAAACCATGTTATGACTTAGGGTATATGAAAATAACTACTTTGGTCTTCTGGACTGTCTCCCATCAAACTATTGGCCCCCAGGTGCACACCCTCATATTTATTCAGGTGAGGGACAAATGAAATATATCAAATTGTTTTAAAAGCCTCTTGGTATGCATTTCAAAAGAGTTAATATCAATCCAATTTCCTACCAGCATTGTATAAGAGTGTTCATTTTTCTAACCCTCAATAGCATTATTATTGGAAAAGAACTCTGACATTTGAAGAAAAGCAATGTTATGTCACTTTAAAGTGTATTTTTTATTACTAATAAATTTGAGTATTTATTAATTGTTCATATTTCTTCTTTTGTAAATTATCAATAGCCAGCCTTTGTGTTTTATGTGGGGAGGGACACTGGTACTTATCTTGCTTGATAAATACAATCTCATTTGGAAAATAGATCAAAGGGTCATTCTAGGCAAAATCAATAAGGAATTCAGGATAAGTTATTAAATGTTCTTTAGGTTGAGAGATGGCATCTGGGTATAATATGTGAAATGTTGTCAAAAATGTATAATTGGGGAGAAATGTAGAGTTACACAGCCATTTCTTTCCTAAAATGTAAGCTTCCTTTTATACAGATATGATGATGTCTTACAGGAGTGGCTGCTGTAAAATATAGAGAACCATGCAGTTCTCTGTTTTACAGATGAAGTAACAGATTTTTAAAGTTAATTAACTGAAAGTTCTTAATTGTTGGAACTCCTGGACCAACATTCAAAGCAGGTATGGCTTTCTTTTCTTCTGAAATTCTTTAACCGTTCTACTTAATTTTAATAAAGTGTGTTTATTTTTAAAATAAATTAAAATTATTTTGTGATGTTCTTTGAGATAACATTTTTTCAGGATCTGTCAGAATGAGGTCTGTGAATGATTTAAACTATTATATTTATGTGATTGGTGTTTATCATAGATAAACATTCCATTTCTAAATTCTAACTTAGTCTTAGAGACTTGCTATAAAAAGATATTGATAAATTGGATCATAATCCCAAAATTTCAACAAATCTCTATCTAATGATTTTCAGGTGGTGGGCATGTGCCAAAAAGCTCAATAGATACCTGAAACCTGGGATAGTACTTATTTACACTGTTTTCTCCTACACAACCTACAAACATGCCTATAATAAAGTTTAATTTATAAGTGAGGCACAATGAGAGATTAGTAACACTAACAATAAAATAAAACTATACTGTACTGTAGTGTGGCCACTGGCACCTGAAACCAGTTTTAAATTCCTAGTCCAAGAGATGAGAGGACTCTGCTGACTGATTTTCTTTGACTCCCAGTAGGAAATGGTCACTAGGAAAAACAGGTGAATATTATAAATGTATGCTGATTTTTGAGCCATTCTTAAACCATGGTTTAAAAAAATCATCACTAATTTGTTCTAGGATTACTCTCCATAAAAGATAACCTACCTTTCCTCATGCAAGTCTGCAGTGTTTTTGCCATGTTGATGATGAGTAGTCCTGTTCTCTTCCCAGTCCTGTTTTCACAGAGGTGAAAGGAGGAACTTAATGTATCCCTATTGTAACAGGACAGGGGCCCTGATCCAGACTCCAAGAGAGAGTTCTTGAATCTTACATTGTCACCCAGGCTGGAGTGCAATGGCATGATCTTGGCTCACTGCTACCTCCACCTCCTAGGATCAAGTGATTCTCCCACCTCAGCTTCCCAAGTACCTGGCTTTCCTGCTAATATTTGTATTTTTTAGTAGAGATGGGATTTCACGATGCTGGCCAGGGTGGCCCTGGTCAAGAACTCCCAACTTCCAGTGACCCATCCACCTAGGCCTCCCGAAGTGCTAGGATTACAAGTGTGATCCAACATGCCCAGCCAAAGCAAGTTTATTGGGAATGTAAAGGAATGTAAAAATGGCTACTCCATAGACAAAGCAGATCCAATGGCTGCTGGTTGCCCATTTTTTATGGTTATTTCTTGATTATATGCTAAACAAGGGGTGGATTATGTATGCCTCTGCTTTATAAGCCATATAGGAAAACAGCCTGATGTTTCCATGGCATCTGTTAACTGTCATGGTGGTGGTTGGAGTTTAGCAATGAGGACAAACAGAAATCACTCCCATGGCTGTCTTGGTTCTGGTAAGATTTAGCCACCTTCTTTACTGCAACCTGTTTTATCAGCAAGGTCTTTATGACCAGTACTTTGTTCTGAATTCCTCTTTCATCTGTGACATAGAATGCCTTTATAATATGGAAATGCAGCCTAGTAGGTCTCAGCCTCATTTTTTTTTTTAATGTTTTTTTTTTTGTTATTATACTCTAAGTTTTAGGGTACATGTGCACATTGTGCAGGTTAGTTACATATGTATACATGTGCCATGCTGGTGCGCTGCACCCACTAACGTGTCATCTAGCATTAGGTATATCTCCCAATGCTATCCCTCCCCCCTCCCCCGACCCCACCACAGTCCCCAGAGTGTGATATTCCCCTTCCTGTGTCCATGTGATCTCATTGTTCAATTCCCACCTATGAGTGAGAATATGCAGTGTTTGGTTTTTTGTTCTTGCGATAGTTTACTGAGAATGATGGTTTCCAATTTCATCCATGTCCCTACAAAGGACATGAACTCATCATTTTTTATGGCTGCATAGTATTCCATGGTGTATATGTGCCACATTTTCTTAATCCAGTCTATCATTGTTGGACATTTGGGTTGGTTCCAAGTCTTTGCTATTGTGAATAGTGCCGCAATAAACATACGTGTGCATGTGTCTTTATAGCAGCACGATTTATAGTCCTTTGGGTATATACCCAGTAATGGGATGGCTGGGTCAAATGGTATTTCTAGTTCTAGATCCCTGAGGAATCGCCACACTGACTTCCACAATGGTTGAACTAGTTTACAGTCCCACCAACAGTGTAAAAGTGTTCCTATTTCTCCACATCCTCTCCAGCACCTGTTGTTTCCTGACTTTTTAATGATTGCCATTCTAACTGGTGTGAGATCATATCTCATAGTGGTTTTGATTTGCATTTCTCTGATGGCCAGTGATGATGAGCATTTCTTCATGTGTTTTTTGGCTGCATAAATGTCTTCTTTTGAGAAGTGTCTGTTCATGTCCTTCGCCCACTTTTTGATGGAGTTGTTTGTTTTTTTCAGCCTCATTTTACTGAGCTCCTATTCTAGATGAATATGCTCTTGTTCACAGGCCTCTCACAGTATCTTTCTTTTTGATGATAGGATTTAAATGATGGTAGAATAACCTAAACAAAAGCATTCACACTTCTTAGACTTTCATATTCTGACTCCATGAGCATGGGGCAGGCACCAGGTTTACCCAGGGCTGAGTGGCAGCTGGCACCTGACAATGACCCTATCATACGTCAGGCTTATTATCAGCTCCTGGCTGCACCATGCTTGCACCTACGCAGCTTTAACATGTGTGACGTGCATGTGTGGAGACAGAGAAATATGCTGAAACAAATTTTAGATACAGGCAGGAAGGACAGTAGGTGGGGAAGGTCAGAGAAGCATGCACAGCTGGAGCAAAGGCTGCCACCAGCTGGCTCATGGCATACAAGTCTGGCCTCCAGCTCTGGAGCCCCTCATGGACTGCCTGGTTCAGGTGCCACTTTCCTGCCCAGTCACCAGCCACAGGCACCTTTATTGATGAAATAAACTCTGTGGGTGAGTGGTCTTTGGTGGAGATCCAGTGGGGACTGTTGCCAACCCTTGCAACATTGCCATGTGAGTGTCTGTTGAGGCCTCCCTTGAACCCAATTTTCCTAACAGTGTTGCCCAACTTCCTGCCACTCCAGTACCAGAGGCACAGGTGCCACAGGGAGACACAGAAAGTGTGGGTGATGGGGTCCCACACCCTGCAGGCCATCACCCTGCATGTAGCACCTGGCACTCAACCTTCTTGCCTCCCTCACCCAGGCACCATCCTTCTGTTCTCTGAGATGGAGTATTACAAGCAAGCCTGGATCCTTTGGAGCCAAGCTGTTCATGGTGTCAGGGCAAGGGAAGCTGAAAAGGAAGAAGGAGACCAGCAAGGAGAAGAAAGAGATGGCCTAAGCATGCCCCCACTCACACCCATTGCCCACCAAAAGCCCAATGGGATCTTGCCAGAGGAAAGAAGGTAGTACCCTGGGGGCAGCAGGTGGTGGAGAAGTTGCTGGAGCATGTCTAAGAGTCAAACTTTCTAAAATTCTTGAAAAGATTTATTCTGAGTCAAATATGAATGAGCATGGCCTATGACACGGCCCTCAGGGGGTCCTGAGAACATGTACCCAGGATGTTTGGTGCAGTTTGGTTTTATTCATTTTAGAGGCATGAGACACCAAACAAATATATTTAAGAAATACATTTGTTTTGTTCAGAAAGTCAGGACAACTCAAAGCAGGGTTCAGGGAGATGCTTCCAGATTGTAGGTAAATTTACATATTTTCTGGTTGGCAATTTGTAGAGTTTATCTAAAGACCTGAGAACAGAAGAAAGAAAATGTTCAGATAAGATAAAAGGTTTTGGAAACCAAGGTTCTTTTGAAGTCTTATAGTTGCTGCTCTGAGTGACAATATAAGGCAAATGTTTCCTATACAGATCTTTAAAAGGTGCTAGACCCTTAGTCTCTTAGTCTCTTTAGGATTGAGGGAGACTGGAAGAAAAATATCTAGTGATGTTAACAGAGATTAATTACAAATGCAAATTTTTCCCCACAAAGAACAGCATTGTAGGGCCATTTCAAGATATGGTGGAGAAACATCTTTGGGGTAAAATATATATATATATATATTTCTTTGTCACAAAATGTTTTGCCAAAGTCATATTGGAAAGTAAGTTACAATATGTTTGGTTAAATAAAATCTATCTCATGAAAATTTATAATTTTTAGGTCAAAACTCTCCAGACCTCTTATATAGGAATTTGGGCAAGATAAAAAACAAACAAACAAACAAAAAAAAACAGAATATGTTGCAGTCTCACCAATGTACTTTAATGTAGTAGTTTCTCATTGTCTGAACTAGTACCTGGGGTGTTTTGTCTTATGTTCAAGAAAATTAAGGAAAGGGATGGGAGCCTTTCCCATCCCTTGTGAGATGGGAGCCAAGGTTAATAACCGAAAGAAGAAATCTCTCCAGAGCAAAGAGAGGAGTCTGTGTGGATTGCTGGGTTACAGCTGAATTCACAAGCTTTATAAGAAACTTCTCCCATCTATGCAGCAGTTTGCATAATTTCTCTTATCAGTGAAGATGTTTCTACAACTCCTTTTATCTTATGCAGTTTTGGGTATATCTCTAAGCAAGCACAAAGTGGTATCGTTTTTGTTTGTATAACTGTGGGTTTAAGTAAGTGCCTCACTTCCTGTGCAAGTTCCCACAAAGTGTATGCCTGATAAATGGAGAAAACTTTTTTCCTGTGAGCCTCCTAATTATAAAAAGAAGAAAGGACTTATATGCTGGACCCTGTCTGCTTATCTCTGTGCAGGTGCAGCCTTAGCTTTTTTCCTTGGATGCTTTATTTTTACCTGTTGCTGTGACATTTCAGGAGACCTCTTCTGCAGCTTGAGTCTTCCCTAGCTGATTTTTCCATTTCTTCTCCCTGAGTTCTCAAACATAATGGTGGGGAGAGCTCGGTGGTGGTGACAGCACAGAAACAAGTGTCCGTGGAGATGGCACCAACAGCACTATGGAGTCTGCCTAGTCATGGCCTCAGGATTGGTGGTACCAGAGAGTGCTGACAGCTGCCCACCTAATTGTAAACACTCTATGCTGCTGAGGAGCTATGTGGGCAACAAGATGGGCTTCTGAGGCCTGTGAAGAAAAGTGCAGGGCCTGCCCATGACCCACTCACCACCCCTTCACCTTGGGGGTGCTGCAGAAAAAGTCCCGCTATGGGGCTACCAGAGGACTGCACTGTGGCATGATCAAGAGGTAAGCAGTGGGTGTCATGTGAGCACCTCCTGCCAGCCCCATGCTGTGTGCAGTCAGAGCTGGTGGGGAGCACAGTCCTGGGTGTGTTTTGGGAGGAGGAAAAGTGTTGTGGGTGCAGAAGGAGGTGTTCTAGTAAGGGAGCAGTGGGCAGGTCTTGTCTCCAGGTCAGGGTCAGAGTTTCATTGGTCTTCATGGGCTGCCAGAAACCCCAGCAGTGAGGCTGTCACCTCAACAGGTCCTTGCCATTCTCTGGAGAGCCTGCAGGTTCCATGACCTTCCTCCCACCCAGAGCTCCTGGTAGAAGCTGCTAAAGATCTGGCTGGGGTGAGGGGCTTCCTGGAGACACTGGGACCAGACTTTCACTTGCAGTCTCCAGTGGTACTTCTTCCTGAGGTGGGAGGAGGAGCTGGTGACAGGTACACCTGGTCTGGTGTCTTTTTCAGTGCCTGCCATCCCTGTTTTATTCATGTGTACCAACGCTAAGTGTCCTATGAGATGTGGTATTTGTTGTGTATGCAGTAGCCCAAATAGTATATGATGTGTACTCAGATTCATATGCCACTGAGTGTAGAGGGATTCACATAAACAAGTTGGTGTTCCCAGGTATATATCAAAATGATTTCTGTTGAGAGGGGTTAAACAGGAGAGTAACATCACCTGGGTGTTGAGCCCAGCAATATGTCACAATATTTTCTTTGGGCATGTCTCAGGCAGCAGAAGAGATTCACATCAAATAGGTGTTGGACCCAGCAATATGTCACAATTCCCTTTGTGGGCAGAGCTCAGCAAAAGTGGAGAGTCACATTACCTTTTACTAAGCCCAGCAATATGTCACAAGTTCCCATGTGGATGGGGGCAAGAAATGAGAGTCACACAACATAGGTTTTGGGCCCAGATATATGTAACAATGCCCCCTGTGAAAAAAAACTCTGGCAGGACAGTGACAACACCTATGTTCTGTATCCAGCAATTTGTCAAGATCTTTTCTGTGGGCAGGGCACAGATGACAGAGAAAAGTCTTATTGCCTAGGTTCTGCACACAATAATATTTTACAATTCCCTTGACTGCAGGGCTCAGGCAGAAAAGTCACATCACCTCAGTGCTTGGCCCATATATATCATAATGCCAATGAGAGTAGGGTTGTGTTGATGTGCAAATATGAGTCATCATCTCATCTACATTTTAGACACTTTTATGACACTTTCTGTACCATTATGCAGAATGTTATCTTCTGTGAAAACACAATATACAGAAATGTTATCTTCTGTGATGTAACACTTCTTCTGACTAACGCAGACCCTAACACTAGCCCTAACCTGTTGCGCAGATCCTAGCTATGATAGTCATCTTCTCTCCCATTGGAGAGAACAGAAGTAAAATACACCTAAAGAAGAGCAACCTCAAGACATAATATCATCAGATTGTTGAAGGTTGAAATGAAGGAAAAAATGTTGAGGGCAGCAAGAGAGAAAGATCAGGCTACATACAAATGGAAGCTCATCAGATTAACAGTGGATCTTTCTATAGAAACACTACAAGCCAGAACAGGGTGGGGGCAAACATTCAAAATTATTAAGGTAAATAATTTTCAAGTCAGAATTTCATATCCAACCAAACTGAGCTTCATAGATCAAGAAGAAATAAAATTCTTTCCAGACAAGCAAATGCTGAGGAATCTTGTCACCACCAGGCCTGCCTTAACAAGAGTAAGGAAGCATTAAATATGGAAAGGAAAAACTGGTACCAGTCACTGCAACAACACATTGAAATACAAAACCCAATGACACTAAAAAAACTTTTTCAACGAATGTGCAAAATAACTAGCTAGCATCATGATGACAGAATCAAATTCACGTATAACAATATTAACTTAAATGGAAATGCCTAAATGTCCCAAATAAAAGACACAGACTGGAAAATTGGATAAAGTGTCAAGATCTATTGGTGTGCTGTAATTAGGAGACCCATCTCACTTGGAAACACACACATAGGCTCAAAATAAAGGAATGGAGGAATATTTACCAAGCAAATGGAAAGCAAAAAAGCAAGGATTGTAATTCTAGCCTCTGATAGAACACTTTAAACCAGCAAAGATTAAAAAAGACAAAGAAGAATGTTACATTATGGTAAAGGGATCAATGAAACAAGAAGAACTAACTACTCTAAATAGGTATTCACCCAATACTGGAGCACCAAAATTCATAAAACAAGTTCTTAGGACCTTTGAAGGACAGACTTTCACAAAATAATGGTGGGAGAATTTAAAACCCCACAGTCAATATTAGATCAATGAGAAAGAAAATTCACAAGGATATTCAGGACTTGAACTCAGCTCTGGACCAAGGGGACTTAACAGACATCTGCAGAATTTTCTGTCCCAAATCAACTGATATACATTCTTCTCAGCATCACAAAGCAACTTTTCTAAAATTGACCAATTAATTGGAAGTAAAACACCCCTCAGCAAATACAAAACAATGGAAATCATAACAAAGAGTCTCTCAAACCACTTTGCAATCAATTAGAACTCAGGATTAGGAAACTCACTTAAAACTGAAAAACTTCATGGACATTGAACAACCAACACCTGAGTGACTACCGGATAAACAATAAAATTAAGGCAGAAATGAAGAAGTTATTTGAACCCAATTAGGACGAAGAGACAATGAAGCAGAATCTGTTGAACACACCTGAAGGAGTGTTGAGAGATAAATTTATAGCAATAAATGCCCACATCAGAAAGCTGGAAAAATCTGAACTCAACACCCAAACATTGCAATTAAAAGAACTGGAGAAGCAAGAAAAATTCAAAACCTAGCAGAAGACATGAAATAACTAGGATTAGAGAGAACTGAAGCAGATAGAGACACAAAAATAGCCTTGAAAAAAATAAACCCAGGATATGTTTTTTTGAAAAGACTAGCAAAATATATAGACCTCTAGCTAGAATAATAAAAAATAAAACAGAGAAGAATCAAATAGACACAATAAAAAATGAAAAAGTGGTTACAACAGAAATACACATTACCATCAGCAAATACTGTGGAGACCGTATTCAAATAAACTAGAAAATCTGGAAGAAATGGGTAAATTCTTAGACACATACAGCCTGTCAAGACTAATTCAGAAAGAAGTTGAGTCCCTGAATAGATCAATAACAGGTTCTGTAACTGAGGTAGTAATTAGTAGACTACTGACCAAAAAAAAAAAAAAAAAAAAAAAAGTCCAGGACCAGGCAGATTGACAGCTGAATTCTATCAGAGGTACAAAGAGGAGCTGGTACCATTCCTTCTGAAACAATTGTGAACAATAGAAAACAAAGGGACTCCTCCATAACTCATTTTATGAGGTCAGCATCATCCAGTTACCAAAACCTGGCAGAAACAAAACAACAAAAAAGAAAATTTCAGAACAATATCCATGATAAATATCGATACAAAAATTCTCAATAAAATGCTGAAAAACTCAATCCAGTATCACATCATAAAGCTTATCCACCATGATCAAGTTTACTTTATTTCTGGGATGCAAGGCTTGTTTGACATATGCAAATCAATAAATATTATCAATCACATAAAGAGAACCAATGGCAAAAATCACGAATATCACATGATTATCTCAATAGATGAAGGCCTTTGATAAAATTCAACACCCCTTCATGCTAAAAACTCTCAATAAACCAGGTGTTGATGAAACATATCTCAAAATAATAAGAGCTATTTATGACAAACCCATAGCCAGTATTATACTGAATGTACAAAGTCTAGAAAATTTTTCTTTGAAAACCAGCACAAGATAAGCGTGCTCTCTCTCACCACTCTTATTCAGCATAGTGTTGGAAGCTCTGGCCATGGCAATTAGCAAAGAGACTGAAATAAAGGATATCCAAGTAGGAATATAGGAAGTCAAATTGTCTGTTTGTGGATGACACAATTGCATATTTAGAAAACCCCGTCGACTCAGCTGAAAAATTCCTTAGGCTTATAAACAATTCAGCAAAGCCTTGGGGTACAAAATCAATGTTAAAAAATCACACACATTTCAATACACCTATGATAGACAAGCAGAGAAACAAACCATCAAAGAACTACCATTCACAATTGCTACAAAGATAATAAAATACCTAGAAATACAACTTACAAGGGAAGTGAAGGACCTCTTCAAGGAGAACTGCAAACCACTGTTCAAGGAAAGTTAAGAGAGGACACAAACAAATAAAAAATATTCATGTTCATGGATAGGAAGAATGAATATCATGAAAATAGCCATAGTGCCCAAAGTAATTGACAGATTCAATGCTTTCTCATTAAGTTACCAGTGGCTTTCTTTGCAGAATTTGAAAAAAAAATTACTTTAAATTATATATAGAACCAAAAAATAGCTCATATAGACAAGAAAATACTCAGCAAAGAGAACAAAACTTGAGGCATCATGCTACCTCCCTTCAACCTCAACTACAAGATACAGTAACCAAAACAGAATGGTACTGGCACCATGAAAGGGAACAGAGGCCTTAGAAATAACAACACACACCTACAAACCAACTGATCTTCAACAAACCTGACAAAAAACAGCAAGGGAAAAAGAATTTCCTATTTAAAAAATGATGCTGGGAAAACTGAGTAGCCATATGCAGAAAACTGAAATTGGACTGCTTCCCTCACTTTATACAAAAATTAACTCAAGATAGATTAAAGAGTTAAATGTAAAACCAAAAGCCATAAAAATTCTAGAATAAAACCTAGGCAATACCAGTCAAGACAAAGGCATGGGCAAAGACTTTATGTGTGGGAGTTCAGGGAGGATGATGGGGAAAATTGTGAGCCACATACCTTCTTGGGAAACACGAAGATTTTTGAAAAAGTCTCAGGATAAAGTCATGGCTGAAGGCAACTTAACTCTCACCTTGAGTAAAAGTTTAAAGTGGATACAAAGAAAGGTAGAATAGTTGACCTAACTATCCTGTTTACTCATGTGGTCCTAAGACTAAACTTTGATCTATGATGGGTGTTTAATTGCTTTCTACTCGGGAAGTTCACAATGTCAATTACCCTCTAGTGTTGTTTGCTCATGACATTTGTCAATTAATCTTTACTGAATAAATGCAAGTTTCACTGACAGATTGATGCCACAGCTGCAACTAAGTGGCCCAGGTGCTCAGCTGGACTTGCAAAGCAGAATATCTGTATGTCAGCGTACATTATTCATCCATTGTTGTGTCAGGGTCTGCAAGACAGGCCCCTGCAGTTGGTACCCTCATGTGAGGAATGCTGCAAAGGAAGCATGACAGACCCCTAAAAATGAAGTTGAAAAAGGAACTGCATGGTCAGTGAGCAATCAGTAAGTCATTTGTGCCCACTTGGGATTTTCAAGTTTTGGGGGGATTGGTCAGGCTAAGGTTTCATCATGGGAAAATAGTTATCAGCTCAACAGAAAAAGTATGTAAAAGTGTTGAAACAGTTGCTTAAGGCTAGCAGAGCATCAGTTTCACAGGCTCAATTAAGGGACCTAATGCAGACTGTTATCTCACATAATCCAGGGTTCCTAGAAAAAAAGAATGCTAGATGTAGAACCCTGGGAACAAGTATGGAGAAATCTTAAACAATATTATGCATAAGGGCAATGGGTCCCAACATCATTGTTACACATGTGCTTTAGTACAGATGGCATAGTCCAATTATACACAGAACAGCCTAAAAAGGGGAAGGAGGAAGAAGCACCACCTGCTTTACTGACTTTTCCTTCAACCCCAATATCACCAGGCCAAAATAACAAAGAGGAAATTAAGGTTTTATCTGAGTGCCACCTCCAATAAGTACAAAAAAAAACAAGAAATATATCCCAGCTATAGGACTTTTTCTTAGCTGCATTAGAAAGGGAGGTCTTAGCCTGCCCAATAAAGTAAGACTGATGTAGCAATCAGGTACATGAACCAATTTCCTTTAATGCTTATAAAGAGCTAATAAAAAGCATTAAAGAAAATGGAGCCACTAGCCCATTTATGAAACAAATTATTGAGGCATTGGCAGACCACTTCCATATGACCCCACGGGCCTGGTTAATGCTGGCTAAAACAACTCTGGAGCCTAGTCAATACCTCCTCTGGAGGGCAGAATACTACAAGTTGTGCAAACAACAAGCCAACCAGAATCAGACAGTAAGGCAAAATATAACAGCTGATATGCTCTGGGGGGAGCTGGGGTCCTCATTCCAGTGAACAACAACAACAAAATTTTGATCCCCAGGCCTATGCTCATGTCTCTGTGTGTGCTCTTAGGGCTTGGGACTGAATTCCCAAAAACAGAGTTCAGCAGGGATCTTTTGTAAATGTTCAGCAAGGGCCTCAGGAGCCATTTGTTGAGTTTATCAATCTGTTAACCCAGAGAATTAAGAGACAAATTAGTCATGTCCAGGCTGCTGATATCTTACTGTTGCAACTGGCTTTTGGAAATGCTAATGTGGATTGACAGGAGGCAATGCAGGCAATCAGAGGAAAGGCAACCACAGTCAGGGAGCTAATATGAGCATGTCAGCTGGTAAGAACTGAAACACACAAGGCCAAAATACTGGCTATGGCATTAAGGCCTCCTAAAGTAAAAAGGGAGAGAAGCCAAAATTGTTTTCTATGAAGAGAGCTGGGGCATATGAAGAGATAAGGCCTGATAGCAGAGATCAAGTTAACTCAGGGAAAGAATCCCCTTCTATACAATCCTAGTGTAAGAAGGGGAAGCACTGGGCAAATGCAGGTCTAAATTTGATAAAAACGGCAACCCCATAAGAAAGCAGTTGGGAAACTTCATAAGGGGCTAGCCCCAGGCCCCACTTCCAAATGGGGCAATTCCAGCAGCTTCCCTTGGTCATATTGAAATCTCAGTCCTCTCTCTTAGAGCAGCTACCACTGGAAGCACAGGACTGGATTTACTTTGTCCCAGTGGATTAGTGCTAAAAGAGGGGGAAGACCCTAAAAGTATTGGGACTGGGATCTGTGTCCCACTGCCACCAGGAACAATATTAGCCCTGTGTCAGTCTAGCTTATCCAGTAAAGGAATTAATGTGCTCACTGGGGTAATTAATAGTGATTATCAGGGTGAAATATTGGTTAGATGGAATGTAAATATCTGCATATTCTTTCCCCTGGATCCAAGATAGCTCAGTTAATGATTTTTACCATACTGGGTCCCCAGTGCCCATGAAAAAGAAAGAGGAAAGGGAAGTTTTGGAAGCATAGGAGCCACAGAAGATATTGGAATTAATTAATCATTGATCAGAGACCCATGATTACCTTAAAAACTGGAAATAAGAATTTTACTGTCTTATTGGACACAGGGGTGGACAATTTAGTCATTAGTGATTAGAACTCACCAGAAACTTGGTCTTGGGTCACTCAGAAACAGAAAATTGTCATCACTGGGGAAACACACACAGCCAAGCAGAGCACACACACCCTAACATGCTGTGATTCTGAGGGAAGAAAGGCAGTTATATAACCTTTAATCATGCCCATCCCTGTTAATCTTTGAGATGGGATGTGTTAGCCCAATGGGAAGTCAATCTGCAGACCCCTTTCTAACAAAGGCAACTGTTGTTATTTCTCCCCCATCCCTGATGTGGCTTTCTCAAGATCTAATTTGGGTAGAACAGTGGCTTCTGAAGGGGGAGAAATTACTGAAGGCTCATGCCTTAGTTGAAGAACAATGAAGGCTGGCCATGTGGAATTATCTCACAGCTCCTGGAATTTGCCCATTTTCATCATTTACAAAAAGTCTGGGAAATGGAGACTTTTGCATGACTTACATGCTATTAATGCTAATTTACAGCCTATGGTACCCCTTCAACACGGCTTCCCCTCCCCCACAGCAATTTCTTAAGATTGACCTATAATTGTTATTGACTTAAAAGATTGTTTTATACAATTTCCCTAACAGAAAATGACACAGAAAAATTTACATTTACAATACCAGCTATCAGTAATGAAAAGCTATATTGTCAATTTCATTGATTAGTGCTTCCTGAAGGAATGCTAAACAGTCTTAACATATGTCACTATCATGTAAATCAAGCTTTGGTCCCTGGTAGAAAAGCATTTCCTGATTGCAAGATTATTCATTTTATGGATGATACTCTACTAGCATCCCCAGATGGAGCCAATAATTTCAAATTTGTATTCCTCTGTTGTACAGAACACACAGCTAAGAGGTTTAAACATTGTGCCTGAGAAAGTACAGATGTTTTTTTCTTTGAAATCTCTTGAGTATGTACTAACTTCCTGGTCAATAACAATTCAGAAGTTCAAATTAAATGCTAATAACCAAACACTAACAACTTACACACATTTAATGATTATCAAAAATTACTGGGAGTCATTAATTGGCCCTGCACCACTTTGGGGATTTCTACTGATAAATTACAAAACCTGTTTTCTATCTTAAAGGGCATTCCAGCCCTAGATTCTCCCAGATATTTAACCCCTACAGCAAAAAGAGAAGTCGAGGAAATAGAACTAGCCATCTCTCAGAGGTAGCTAGATCACATAGGCCAAGGCTTTTAGTTTCAGTTGTTTATCTTTCCCATGAAACATTCCCCTACAGAGTTAATAGGACAAATGGCCCCTAAGCTACACTTTCTAGAATGGAATTTTGCTCATGTACTGAGACTAAAACACTATCTCCTTATATTCAGTTAATTACTAAAGTCATTTATTCAGGCTAGAAATGATGTAATCAGTTGCTGTGTTGTAATCCTCATGTCACCAGAATTCCTTTAAGTAAAAAGCAATTCTAAACATTATTGTCCTTATTGATAGATCTTCAAATAGGCTTCTCTGATTACATATGACAAATAGAGCACATGCTTCCTGCTGATAGACCCCTTCATTTCTTATCTCATATGCTGGTAATTTTGTCCACAAAAATACTTCACTCCCCTCTATCTAATGATTTAACATTGTTCACTGGTGGGTCTGGAAAACACAGAAAAGCAGCAGTCTGGTGGAGAACACACAATTCAGTCACTTGATCTGGGTTTAATAGAATTCAGACAGCTGAGATTGGGGCTCTGATACTAGCCTTGGAAACTTTTTTCACTCAGTTTATAAATATTGTCAGTCTGCATATTCATCCAATTAGAGCAATACTCTATTTATTTATTGCACAACATTGAGACAGCCCTAATTAAGTCCACTCAGGAGCCAGCCCTGTGTGCTCTTTTTCTCCAACTTCAGCATTTGCTAAATCAATGTACATATTCTATTTTTATTACACATATTCAAGCCCACAGCTCACTGCCTGGACTTTTGGCTTATGGCATTAATCAAGCAGACTTTGAAGTTATGACAAGACTACTTGACCAAGCCACCCAATCACATCAATTTTTCCACCCAAACTGAAGAAACTTATCTAAGCAATTTCAACATACCCAAGACTAGCTATGCAAATTATCCTGCAATGCCCAGATTGCCAGCTCACAGGCGTTCCTCTCCTTCAATAGATGTTAACACTAGAGGACTAGAACCTAATCATTTATGGCAAACAAATGTTATACACATCCCTGAATTTGGAAAACATGTATCCAATGATACTAACACTCATTTAATTAGTGCACATACTCTGCCTGGAGATTCAACTTGATATATCATTAAACATCTTCATTTAACTTTTAAATTTATGGGACGACCCACAATAATTAAGACTGATAATGGTCCAGCTTATGCCAGCTCACAATTTCAAGAACTTTTTTACATGTGAAGCATCCAACATTCCACACATATCTCATATAACCTCCAAGGACAAGCAATAGTAGAATGTGCCCACTCCATCCTTAAAAATATGCTCAAAAAACAAACATGGGGAGTATGGGTAAAGACCCTGCAACACAATTGGCAGAAGTCTTATTTACTCTTATTTTTTTTAATTTAGATGACAAATTTCAATCAGCTGTAGAAAAGCATTTTGTTAAAACCTCTTAAGGCATAAAACCTGCAATTTTATGGAAAGATGTAAATAGTAATGAATGGTGTGGTCCAGGTAAATTACTAACATGGAGAAGAGGGTATGCTTGTGTCCACACCCTCTCGGTCCTCTTTGGATTCCAGCATGGCACATCACCTCATACCATGGCATGGCTAGGACCCCACCTGGTACCAGGGCTGAAGGAGCTAACCCTGCAATACCCATAGCCCCAAGCAATGTGGCTTCCATGGATGACACAAGCGCCAGGTATTACCTAGGGGATGCTGAAGAGCACAACTCAAGAGGCTGAAATAATCCTTCTCTGGACACACACACCATTAACTCCAGATAAGTTATTTCTTTCTATGCTTTCTGTTGTACACTGCAACTCACATATGGTATTAATCCTTTTTATACTCTCACTTTCTCCGCAAACTGTTCCTGCTACACTCTATTGGGCTTGTATTTTAGACTGGCTTTTCTTTTGCCCTGTCACCCAGGCAGACACTCCCTTCCCAGCCTATAATAATGTGACTGCTTGGCTAGGAGGGATAGAATTTATCCCCAGTGGGGTCTGTCAATAATTGCACAGATTGGAATAAGGTGCTAGATAATGCTACATATCACTCCACTATTCTACCACTGACTGTAAGTTACAAAGGCTCTAAGCCTTACTATTTACCTTCACAAAAACAAGTATGACTACATCATGGCAAAGGAAACTTTGCCTTAATATTCTTAGCTGTAGGTAGCCTCAAACTGGGCAATGCAAGCAATGTCACCTTCTCAAATATTCTTTCCTGTGCTAAAGAACAATGCCGGGAAAATAATGGATTTCACTTTTGCTAAGAAGTCTGTTATAGGAAAAAGGCCCATAGCCTCTAGTTAGGCTATTATAACATCTTAGACTGGAGCCCCCACAGCCGATTTCAGGGCAGCCTTACTAATGTCTTTGTCCATCATGGCATCATTCAGTTTCATAGCCACACTCCATTCCCCTATGATTTGGGCCTGTATGGGGATGGGATATCCCAGACCTCAAGTAAAGTCCATGCCACCCCAAGGCAACTTATGACTGCTGGGACATCCTAGCAACTCCCTTAACACCTCTCATGAGACATGTCATAATTCCAGTCACAACTGGAATTATTCATAATCACACTAATCAGTGCCTGATTTGCATTATAAATCCATATGTTTTTCTTATGGCAACTAACATTTCCATTACACCCCAAAACTCCCCAGGTGACCCAGGTTTAGAGACAGGCTTGATTTCCCTCATGTATCACTAATCACAATATATCTAATTTAAAAATTACTAGTGTCATGGTACTAAGGAGATAATCTGAGGCATTTCTACCAGTCAATCTGTTCTTCTGCCCTTGACACCTTAGAACATTCTCTGTCACAGGTCAGACACAAAAGATTCATAGTTACACTTATGGCCTTTATAGTCTCAGCCATAGTCATCCTGTCAACTGCTAGCTTTGCTGTTGCATCTATTACTGAGTCAGAACAAACAGCTGCCTTTGTAGATAATGTGGCCAAAAATGTGTCTAATAAACTTCTTTTACAACAAGGTATAGATCAAAAATTTATTTCATACCTACAAGCCCTCAAGACTGCTTTAGAATATGTAGGTCAATGACAAGATGCATTGGAATTCTGACAGCAATTAAACTGTGACTGGGAACGTAAACATATCTGCATCACTTCTCTAGCATGGAGTCTGTCAATAAATAATTGATATGAGGTAAAACAACACCTTTAGGGAAGCTTTTATGACAATTTAATAGCAGACGTAAAGCAACTTATACATTTTAGAATCCCTTCACACCGTAGACCTATACATTCAACAAACAGCCATATGGAATGGTGTGCAAGATCATTTCTCCTGATTAGAACCCCCACCGTTGGGGGTCACTCTTTGACTGGAAAAGAATGTGGCTAATTGTATTCATGATTATTTTATGTTATTTGCTAATACTAGGATGCAAAGCTGGAATAAGAGCAATGACTGCCACAACTAACAGATTAGTTGCTGCACACATCTGCATTCTCCAATCCAAAAGATCTGATGCAGAAAAAAATAAAGGGGGAAATGTGGGGGCCCAATCAGAATGGTGGGGAAAATTATAAGCCACAAACCATTGAAGTTCTGAAGGTTTTTGCAAAAGTCTCAGGATAAGTTTATGCCTAAAGGCAACCTAATCCTTACCTAGAGTAAATAGCTTAAAGTGGGTACAAAGGAAGGTAGACTAGTTTACCAACCTAGCTTGTTTACTCAGGTGGTCCTAAGACTAACCTTTGGTCTACTGTGAATTCTTAATTGCTCTCTACTCAGGAAGTTTGCAATGTCAATTACCCTCTAGTGGTGTTTACTCATGGCATCTATCAATTAATCTTTACTGAATAAATGCAAATCTCTCTGATTAATCAAGGCTGTGGCTGTGACCAGGTGGCCTAGATGCTCAGCTGGACTGGTAAAGCAGAATATTTGTGTGTCAGTGTACTTTATTCATACATCGTTGGATCAGGGTATGCAGGACAGACCCCTGCATTTGAGACTAAAACACAAACAGCAATAACAGCAAAAGTCAAAATTGACAATTGGGATCTAAACATATTAAAGAGTTTCTGCACTGCAAAAGAAACTATCATCAGGGTGAACAGGCAACCTACAGAATGGGAGAAAATTTTTGCAATCTATCCACCTTAAAAAGGTCTAATATCCAGAATCTACAAGGAACTTAAATTTACAAGAAAAAAACACACAGTGCCACCAAAAAGTAGGCAAAGGATATGAACAGATATTTCTCAAAAGGAGACATTTATGAAGCCAATGGCTATATGGAAAAAAGCTCTTAATAATTGATGATTAGAGAAAAACAAATCAAAACCACAATGAAATACCATCTTATTCCAGTTAGCATGGTGATTATTAAAAAGTCAGGAAGTAACAGATGCTGGGGAGGCTGTGGAGAAATAGAAACATACACTATTTGTGGTATTGTAAATTGGTTCAACCATTGTAGAAGGAAGTGTGGTGATTCTGAAAGGATCTAGAACCAGAAATACAATTTGATCCAGCCATCTCATTACTGGGTATATAACAAAAGAATTATAAACCATTCTATTATTAAGATACCTGCGCATGTATGTTTATTGCTGCAAGATTTACAATAGCAAAGACTTGGAACCAACCCAAATTCCCATCAATAATAGACTGGATAAAAAATATATCACATATACATCATGGTATACTAGGCAGTCATAAAAAAGAATGACTTCATATCCTTTACAGGGACATAGATGAAGCTGGAAACCACATTTCTCAGCAAACTAACACAGGAATGGAAAAACAAACACTACCTCCTATCACCCATACGTGGGACTTGAACAATGAGAACACATGGACACAGGAAGGGGAACATTACACACTGGGGCCTGTCTGGGTGTGAGGGGCAAAGTGAGGGAGAGCATTAGAATAAATACCTAATGCATGTGGGGGTTTAAACCTAGGTGTTGGATTCATAGGTGCAGCAAACCACCATGGCACATGATTACCTATGTCACAAGCCTGCATATTGTTCAGATGTATCCCATAACTTAAAAGTAAAATAAATTTACAAATTAGAAAAAAAGAACTACTAAGCAATGACATCTCAAGAAGAGGAATATCAACAAACCAAAATAGGCTTCTGTCTATTGCATGTTCTAGTCCTGGTTTTTCTAACATAGTATTTTCATGTGCATCTCCTCTGCAGTTCTCTCTCTCTCAATTAAATCTCCATATGATGGCATAGTGAAGGGATGGCATGCCCCTCTGCCCCTGTGGGCATTTCTCTTCAGGTGGGATGAGAGATTGAGAAAAGAAAAAGACACAGAGACAAAGTATAGAAAAGAAAAGTGGGCCCAGGGGACCAGCACTCAGCATACGGAGGACCCCCACTGGCACTGGTCTCTGAGTTCCCTCAGTATTTATTGATCATTATCTCCACCATCTTTGAGAGGGGGATGTGGCAGGACAATAGGGTAATAGTGGGGAGATGGTCAGCAGGAAAACATGTGAACAAAGTTCTCTGTGTCATAAACAAGTTTAAGGAAATGTGTTGTGCCTTGATGTGCACATATACAAACATCTCATTGCATTAAAGAGCAGTATTGCCACTAGCATATCTCACCTCCAGCCCTAAGGCAGTTTTCTCCTATCTCAGTAAATAGCATATACAATCAGGTTTTACACTGAGACATTCCATTGCCCAGGGATGAGCAGGAGACAGATGTCTTCCTCTTATCACAAATGCAAAGAGGCCTTCCTCTTTTACTAATCCTTCTCAGCACAGACCGTTTATGGGTGTCGGGATGGTCAGGTCTTTCCCTTCCCATGAGGCCATATCTAAGGCTATCACATGGGGAGAAGCTTTGGACAATACCTGCTTTTCCTAGGCAGAGGTCCCTGTGGCCTTCCGCAGTGTTTTGTGTCCCTGGGTACTTGAGACTAGAGAATGGTTATGAGTTTTAACAAGCATATTGCCTTCAAGCACTTTTTTACAAAGCACATCCTGCATGGCCCTAAATCCATTAAACCTAGAGTCAACACAGCACATGTCTCTGCGAGCACAGGGTTGGGGCTAGGGATACAGATTAACAGCATCTCAAGGCATAATAATTTTCTTAATACAGAACTAAATGGAGTCTCTTATGTCTAATTCTTTCTATGTAGACACAGTAACAGTCTGAAATCTATCTCTTTTCCCTACACACAGAGATAACAATCTCTTGTTTTGGTATGTAAGAAAGAATTCATCCTTAAAAAAGAGCCCAAATGGGGGATGTCACCCCAAGATGCTATCACATCAGTAGTGTTAAAAAAAAACAACTATTTGGAAACCATTGCCTCTATAGTACATGTTTCTCTTTAGTGCCTGGAAAGGATTAAGTATAGAGAGGAGACACAAACAAAGTAAAGCCCTCTTCCTTTAAGGAATGGTTCTATATTGTAGTTTATGAGGGCTCCAGTTATTAGTCCAGGCCTTATAAGGTCACCATTCCTAAATCGAATGGGAGTATTTTTAGCATGATGATATTTATACTTATTATAGTAGTCCACAGTACCATTTGGAAATTTACATGCTTTGTAGGAAAAATCATTTTGCCTAATAGATTATTAAAAGATCAGGGACATACTTTGTTCCAGCCAGTATATGAGACAACTCTCCTTACAGGAGCTACTTGTCCACACATCATCTGTTGATCCACAAATTTGCAGATTATTGCCATTATCCAATATTATACAAGGGTCCAGGTGTTCATTTGTGCATAGGTTTGGGAAGGACCATGTGTGATTAAACACCTGTTTTGGTGTTATTAAACTGAGCAAATCATCCAGAGCAAACCCAGCAATCAGTCTTGTATAGATGGGCAATGGCTGATTCTGTAAGGGACAAAGAAGGTGAGGCATTGCTACATCTAACAGTGGATGTTAGTAAACTTGATAGTAACAAAATCTTCATGTTTATCTCATATGTGTGACTATTATTCTTGCTGTAAGAATCATAACTAAGCAAAAGATTATGGCAAATGAGATTATTTATTCTATATTCTACTCAGAGGGTGCAACAGTACATAGTCTACTGCAAAGAACAGAGTTAGTACCACAATTCTTGCAAATATGATGTAATTAAGTTCCAGTTAAAATCTTACTCACCAAGATATATATAATTTCTGTTGAATTTCATTTTGGAAATTATGAATGTAATTCCATGGATAATTAAAACATTTTTGTTAAGTATACATCAAAGAGAAGTTCTAATATCTGATGGCAAATCTCAAGAGGAAAGGTGGGATTGAACTAAACAGGTAATTCTCTCTAAATATGTGCTTATTTTTTGTAATTTTCAGTTTGATATCCTTTACTTCTTCACTCTGATATCTGAGATGTTCTTGTAGCCTATTAGGTGTCACTCTTGCTGTGTTCCAGGCTTTGACTCAAGTGTATCCAAGAGTCAAAGTGACCCCAAAAGTTAAATCCCACAGCCTTCACCTCTGAGGGGGGTGGAGAGAAGGAGAGAAGGAGACTGTGACTTCCCTCCCAGCTGGGAACAAGGAGCCTTCACCAGTACCAAATCTCCTGAGTTGAACAAAGGTGGGCCTAGTTCTTGGGGTATAATTTCTAATGGCTGTTTTAATTCCTACTGAAAGTGGGCTATGGAGGTTACATGTTTAACAAATTCAGATATATCCTGATCTAATATAAAATCATTAGTAAAGATTGGTCATCTATACACCATTTCAAAAGGGCTCAACCTACACTTTGAAGGGGTGTTTCTCACCCACACTGAAGTTATAGGAAAGAGAGTAGCTGATGGGAGGTGAATTTCTTGAGACAACTACAGAGGTGGCTCTTAATTATATAATTTGCTTTCTCCACCCTCCCTGAAGACTGTAGTCTCCAAGCACAGTAAAGATGGTATTATACACTCATTGTTTTTGAGACCCACTGGGTAACTGCCACCTTAAATGAAAGGCCATTGTCACTTGGGAGATATTTCATGAGTCCAAAGGGAGGGGATATTTCATTGACTAGTGCTTTTACTACCTAAGATGATTTTTCTGTTGAACATGAAAATGCCTCTACCCAGTTAATGAAGGTATCCACCCCACCAGGAGGTATTAAATCACCATTATACTTGGCACATAAGTAAAATTCATTTGCAAACCTTCTCCTGCACAAATTTCCACTCTTTGAGTTTGCAGATGGAGAAGCCATCTGTTGAGCAGATTGTTTTTGAGGCAGATCTTCTAAGCATTAACAACCTGTTTTTTTGTTGTTGCTGTTTGTTTCATACAGAGTCTCAATTTGTCACCCAGGATCCAGTGCAGTAGCACAATCTTGGCTCACTGCAACCTCCATGTCCTGAATTCAAGCGATTTTACTGCCTCAGCCATCCAAGCATCTGAGATCATATGTATGCTACCAAGAGTGGCTAATTTTTGTATTTTTCATAGAGATGGGGTATCACCATGGTGACTAGGCTAATCTCAAACTCCTGGCCTCAAGAGATCCACCTGCCTCAGGGTCCCACAGTGCTTGGATTACAGGAGTGAGTCACCATAGCCAACCTGTTTGACAATTTTGGTAAGTTTTTACTTGAGAAGAGTCTCTGGGGTAATTGATGAATTTTATTATTTCCAAAGTGAAAACTTTGGTGAAGAATCTTAAAAATTTTTCTCCATTTGGAGGTTGATAAATAAAGTTTGCTATTCTCTGATTGTAACCTCCTGAGGGGTGAAAGCCATGTCCTTGAAAGGTGGCATATTCTATCCTTACAGGGGAATACTGAGGCTTTATATTTTTATGGAGCCCTCCAAAATTACAGGGGCTTCAAGTGCAACTGAGACCTTGAGGTCTTCTTCCTGCTGACTTAGCTGTTTGGTCTGGTAACCTATTTCCTCCAGGTATTTCATTTATTCCTCTTCTGATGTTCTTTGTAATGTATTATGTCACTTCCCATGGAAAGAACACTGAGGGAAATACTCTTATCTATTTCCCAATGGTATTCAATGAGAAACTCATTAGCTGTCAGAAGTGTCGCTTTTTTAATTTTTATTTTCCTTTAAGTTCTGGAATACATTTGCAGAACGTGCAGGTTTGCTCCATAGGTATATGCATGCCATGATGGTTTGCTGTACCTATCAACCCATCAACCAGGTTTTAAGCCCCACATGCAGCTATTTGTCCTGATGCTCTCTCTCCACTCTCCCCAGAACAGGCCCTAGTGTGTGTTGTTCCTCTTCGTGTGTCCATGTGTTCTCATTGTTCAACTCCTAGGTATGAATGCAAAGATGCAGTGTTTGGTTTTCTGTTCGTGCATTAGCTTACAGAGGATGATGGCTTCCGGATTGATCCATGTCCCTGCAAAGAACATAATCTCATTTTAATAGCTCCATATTATTCCATGGTGTATATGTACCACATTTTCTTTTTGCAGCCTATCATTTTTCAGTATCTGGATTGGTTCCAAGTCTTTGCTATTGTAAATAGTCCAGCAATAAATCTACATGTGTATGTATCTTTATAGTAGAATGATTTATATTGCTTTGGTTGTATACCCAGTAATGGCTTTGTTTGGTCAAATGGTATTTCTGGTTCTAGATCCCTGAAGAATCTCCACAGTGTCTTTCACAATGGCTGAACTAATTTACACTTTCACCAACAGTGTAAAAGTGTTTCTGTTTCTCCACAGTCTCACCAGCACCTGTTGCTTGACTTTTTAGTAATCATCCTTCTTACTGGAGTGAGATGATATCTCATTGTGGTTTTGATTTTTGTTCCTCTAATCATCAGTGATGTTGAGCTTTTTTTCATGTTTGTTGGTTGCATAAATATCTTCTTTTGAGAATTTTCTGTTCATATCCTTTGCCCAATTTTTGATGGAGTTGTTTGATTATTTTATTGTAAATTTGGTTAAGTTCCTTGTAAATGCTGGATATTAGACCTTTGTCGGATGGATACATTCCAAACTTTTTTCCTATTGTGTAGATCACCTGTTCGTTCTGATAATTGTTTCTTTTCCTGTGAAGAAAGTCTTTAGTTTAATTAGATCCAATTTGTCAATTTTGGCTTTTTTTGCTATTGCTTTTGGTATTTTCATCAGGAAGTCTTTTCCAGTGCTTATTTCCTGAATGGTATTGCCTAGGTTTTCCTCTAGGGTTTTGGGTTTTTTCACTAAAGCCTTTAAGTCACCCTGAGTTAATTTTTGTGTAAGATGTGAGGAAATGATCCATTTTCTGTTTTCTGCACATAGCTAACTAGTTTTCCCAGCACCATTTGTTAAATAGGGAATATTTTCCATTTTGATTGTTTTTGTTAGTTTTGTTGAAGATCAGATGGTGGTAGATGTGTGGTGTTATGTCTGTGGTGTCTGTTCTGCTTTATTGGTCTGTATGTCTGTTTTGGTACCAGTACCAATGTTGTTTTGGTTACTTTAGCCTTTAGTATAGTTTGAAGTTAGGTAGCATGATGTCTTCAGCTTTGCTGTTTTTGTTTAGGATTATCTTGGCCATACAAAGTCTGTTTTTGTTCCATTTGAATTTTAAAGTTTTTTTTTCTGATTCTATAAAAAATGTCAATGGCAGTTTGATAAGAATAGCATTGAATCTATAAATTACTTTGGGAAGTATAGCCATTTTTGTGATACGCATTCTTGCTATTCATAAGGATAAAATGATTTTCCTAAGTATTTTATTCTCTTTGTAGTAATTGTGAATGGAAGTTCACTCCTGATTTGGCTCTCTGTTTGTGTATTTTGGGTGTATAGGCATGCTTGAGATTTTTGCACCTTGATTTTGTACTGCAAACTGAGACATTTTGACTTCATCTTTTCCTATCTGAATACTATTGATTTATTTCTCTTGCCTGATTGTCCTGACCAGAACTTCCAATATTATGTTGAATAGGAATGGTAAGAAAGGGCATCCTTGTCTTGTGTCAGTTTTCAAAGGGAATGCTTCCAGCTGTGCCCATTCAGTATGATATAAGCTATGGGATTGATTGCCATTAATATCTCTTTTTATTTTGAGATATGTTCCATCAATACCTAGTTCATTGAGAGTATTTAACATGAAGGAATTTTGAATTTTATCAAAGCTCTTTTCTGTGTCTATTGAGATAATCATGTGGTTTTTGTCCTTGGTTCTATTTATATGATGGATTACATTTATTTATTTGAATACGTTGAACCAGCCTTACATCCCAGGAATGAAGCCAACATGATCATGGTGGATACGTTTTGACTTATTCCTGCTGGATTTACTTTGCCAGTGTTGTACTGAGTATTTTCCCATCTATGTTCATCAGAAATACTGGTGTAAAGTTTTCCATTTTAGTTGCGTCTCTGTCAGATTTTGCTATCAAGATGATGCTGGCTTCATAAAATGAGTTAGGGAAGAGTGCCTCCTTTTCAATTGTTTGGAATAGTGACAGAAGGAATGGTACCAGCTCCTGTTTGTACCTTTGATATAATTTTACTGTAAATTCATCTGGCCCCCGGCTTTTTTTGGTTGGTAGGCTATTAATTACTGCCTCAATTTTAGAACTTGTTATTTGTCTATTCAGGGATTTGACTTGTTCTTGGTTTAACCTTGGGAGAATCTATGTGTTCAGGAATTTATCCATTTTTTCTAGAATTTCCAGCTTATTTGCATAGCAGTGTTTATAGTATTCTTAATGATAGTTTGTATTTATGTTGGGTCAGTGGTGATATCTCCTTTGTCATTTTTTATTATGTCTATTTGATTCTTATCTCTTGTTTATTAGTCTGTCTAGCAGTGTATCTATTACATTAATTTAAAAAAAAACAGATCCTGGATTTTGAAGTTTTTATGTCCCTATCTTTGTCAGTTCTGCTATGATTATTGTTATATTTTGTCTTCTGCTAGCTTTTGAATTAGTTTGCTCTAGCTTCTCTAGTCCTTTAATTGTTATGTTAGGGTGTTGACTTGAGAGCTTTCTAACTTTTGGATGTGACCATTTAGTGTTATAAATTTTCCTCTTAACACTGTGTTAGTTGATTCCCAGAGATTCTGGCAAGTTGTCTTTATTCTTGTGGATTCAAGAGAACATTTTTATATCTGTTTTAGTTTTATTATTTACCCAGGAGGAATGACAGAGCAGGTTCTTACATACTTCTGTGGTTCTGTCTGAACTTCCTAATCCTGAGTTCTAAGTTGTCTGCTTTATGTTCTCAGAGAATGTTGTGTTTTCAGTTTTTTGCATTTGCTTAGAAGTGATTTACTACCAATTATGTGGTCAATCTTAAAATAAGTGTCATGTGTCACTGAGAAAAATGTATAATCTGTTGGTTTGAGGTAAGGAGTTTTGTAGGTATATCTTAGGTCCATTTAATCCAGAGTTGAGTTCAAGTACTGAATATCCATGTTAATTTTCTGTCTCATTGATGTGTGTAATATTCACAGTACAATGTTAAAGTCTCCCACTATTATTTTGTGGGAGTCTCTCTCTTGGAAGGTCTCTAAGAACTTGTTTTATGAATCTGGATACTCCTGTGTTGGGTGCATATGTATTTAGGATAGTTAGCTCTTCTTGTTGCATTGATCCCTTTAACATTATGTAATGCCCTTCTCTGTCTTTTTAGATCTTTGTTGATTTAAAGTCTCTTTATTGGAGAGTAGGACTGCAACCCCTGCTTTTTCTTGCTTTTCATTTGCTTGGTAAATTTTCCTGCATTTCTTTATTTTCAGTTTGTTCATGTCTTTTCAAGCGAGATGGGTCTCCTGAATATTGCACACTGATGGGTCTTGACTCTTTATCCAATTAGGCAGTCTGTGTCTTGTTATTGGGCCATTTAGGTTATTCACATTTAATGTTAATATTGTTATATGTGAATTTGAAATCTTTCATCGTGTTATCTTTGTATTTTGCACACTAGCTCATTCAGCTTCTTTATAGTGTCATTGGTGTTTCTATATTTGTGTGTTTTTCCAGTGAGTGGTATTGCTTTTTCCTTTTTTATAGTTAGTGCTACTTTCAGGATCTCTTGCAAGGCAGGCCTGATTAAATCCCTCATCATTTACTTTTCTGAACAAGATTTTAGTTCTCCTTCACTTATGAAGCTTAGTTTGGCCTGATATGAAAATCTGGGTTAATAATTCTTTTCTTTATGGATGACGATTATTGGCCCCCACTCTCTTCTTGCTTGTAAGGTTTGTGCTGAGAGATTCACTGTTATTCTAATGGGCTTCCCTTTGTATATGACCTGTTTTTTCTTTCCAGCTTCCCTTAATTTTATTTTTTTGTTTGTTTGTTTGTTTTTCCTTTCCTCCTTGGAGAACCTGATGCTTTTATGTCTTGGGGTTGATCTTCTCATGGAGTATTGTAGTGGTGTTCTCTGTATTTCCTGAATGTGAATGTTAGCCTGCCTTGCTAGATTTGGAAAGTTTTCCTGAATAATAGCCTGAAGTGTGTTTTCTAACTTTGTTCCATTCTCCCTGTCTCTTTCATGTACTTCAATTATTTGTAGGTTAGGACTTTTTTAAATAGTCTCGTATTTCTCTGAGATTATATTTCTTCTCTTTTATTGTTTATTCTCTAATCTGGTCTGCTTGCCTTCTCTCTTTTTCTAGATCAATTGAGCTCTTGATACTTGGGAATGCTTCATGAAGTTATCATGCCATGATTTTCAGCTCTATCAGGTCATTTATGTTTCTTTCTAAACTGGTTACTGTAGTTAGCCACTCCTTTAACCTTTTTTCGAGGTACATTGGGTTAGAACATGCCCTTTTACATAAGTAGAGTTTGTATTACCTGCCTACTAAAGCCTACTTTGTCATTTCATCCATCTCATCCTCTGTCCAGTTCTGCACCCTTTCTGAGAGATGTTGTGGTCATTTGAAGGAGAAGAGGTGCACTCTGGCTCTTTGGATTTTCAGTCTTTTTTCTGTTCATTTTTTTTTTCTAATATTTGTGAGTTGTCTTGTTTTAATCATTGAGACTGTTGATTCTTGTATGGGGTTCCAGTGGGGGCATTTTGATTTTGTTGATGTCATTGTTATTGCTTTCTGATTGTTAGTTTTTGTTTCTATAATCAGGACCCTCATCTGTAGTGCTGTTGTGGTTTGCTGGGGGGTTCACTTCAGACCTTACTTATCTGGTTTGCTCCTACACATGGAGATGTCTCTCAAGGAGTCTGGAGAACAGCAAAGATGGGTGCCTGCTTCTTTCTTTGGAATATATGACCTTGAGGGGCACCGAACTGATGCTAGTAGTAATGCTCCCATATAAGAAGTCTGATAATGCCTGTTGGAGGGTGACACTCAGCTGAGTGCCACATGGTGTGAGACCCATCTAATGACGAACTTTGGCTGTCCCTAAGTGGAGGAGGTGTGCCATGCTGGGAGGAAACCCACTCATCTGGGCTACCAGAATTCCTCAGAACTAACAGGAGAAAAGACTATGTCTGCTGGTTTGTGGAGACTATGGCCACCCCTCCTCATAAGGGCTTAGGCCCAGGGAAATCAGAGTTCTTTGAGCTACTGGCTGGAGTTGAAGTTCCTGCAGGAAGGCCCCATTCAATGAGAAGGAATCAGTCTAGGACTGTGGCTGCAGTCAGCCACAGCTGGTGTGTTGGCCTTTGTTGAATGCTTCTTGGAACCAAGCTAGCCAGCCTCCCTGTCTCCATCAGGGGAAAAGTGTGGCCTAGAGTTATAGAGAAGGCTGCTACCCTTCCCCTGCCATGCAAGCTTAGTATGTTAGGCAGCTAGAATTCCCAGTGTTGGCTGCTGTGACTCTACCAAGGAACTCAGATGGCTTAAACAGCAGAGAGCCACAGTTGCAGTGATGGCCTCCCTCCCCCTGTGAACTTGGCAGGCTTAGCATACTCTAGCTGAATGACTGTTGAGAATCTGTATGACTCCACAGTTGGGACCCTAGGATTTTGTAGTGTGGGCTTACGAGTAGGATCTTCTGATCCGTTGGTTGCACAGGTCCATGGAAAGAACATGGTTTCCCAGGCTGGTTCACATACTCACTCACTGTCTCCCTTTGCTGGGGAGTGGAGGTTCTCCTGCCCCATGTGGCTTTCAGATAGGCTGCTGCATCACAATGCTCTTTCTTATGCTCCATGGGTAATACCAGAGGCCTAGTAAGTCCTGATAACAGAAACGGGATACCTCAGTTCCCAGTGGAGGGTTTGAATGCTGTTGTGATTCTTTTTGATGGGAGCCTTTGATCACCACTGCTTCTAGTCAGCAATCTTGGCCTCATCCCCAGAAAGTGTCTTTCTTCCAAATAGTGGCATAAGCATGAAGAACCAGGAAAGCATACTTAGAATCATTATATATGTTAATAGTCTTTCAGTTGCTTAGTTTAAGTGCCCTTATAGGAGCAATTAATTTAGCTAACTGAACACACATATCTGGAGAGAGAGAGGCATCCTTTCGATGATGTCATCTAAGGTGAATATTGCATATCCTGCCCTATGGGTTTCTTGTTCTACAAGAGAATTCTCATCTGTAAAGAGAGCCCAGGGTTGGTTTTCTAGAGGACTTTCCTTGAAGTTCTCTCTGGCTGCATAGATTTTCACCATTATTTGTTCATAATTATGTCCAGGATTTCTATGAGAATAAAATGGCTAGGTTCAGGCCCTAACAAATCTTTAACTGAGCTACAGATCCTTCCAGAAGAAAAGCTTGACATTTGTGGAGACAAGTATCTGTTAACCACAGACTTTCTTTAGAGGATACCAGTCTTGCTACATTAAGAGGGTATGTGAAAAGTCAGGTCATTCCCATGGTCAATTTGGTGGCTTCCAGCACTATCAGAGCCATCATTGCAACCACTCAGAGGCAAGCTGGTAGTTTTTAGCTACAAAGTTGAGCTTTTCTCTCAGTTAACTGACTAGCTGATGCACTGAAACTTGGCCCTGAGTTAAAACTCCCAAGATTATCTCCTTTCTTTTGAGATATAAGGATTAAGGGGATTCTCTGTGAAAAGACTGAAGGGTGAGTGCCTTAAGAAGGGCTTGCTTTAGCAGAAGAAAGGTCTTTTAAACATCAGGTTTCCAAAAAAAAAAAAAAGTTTTAGCTGCTTGAATTTTTTTTATAAGGCATTATAAAGGGTGAGCTATTTTACTGTACCCAGTTATCCAGAATATGCAAATACCTGTAATGCCCCCAAATTTTCCTAGCTGTTTGAAGTTTGGGGAAGGGAAAAGGAGAAAATAGGCTTAATCCTCTCTTTACCAGGTTCTGGTCCCTTCTGACAAGACTAGGCCTAGATATCTTACTAAAGTTTGACAGACCTGAGCTTTAGATTTAGAAATTTTATTTTACTGTACTTTTATTGGCAAAGCCCAAGTTAGAGAGTAAAATCAGAAAAAATAGTTAATGGGCCTAGAGATATATCCCAATGCCCATTTTCAGCAAGAAACTGGCAGAATAATCACACATCCTGGGTGCTGGAGCCAGTTACAAGTCACTGTCTTTTCTATGGGCATTGCTTAGTGAGAAGAGTCATATTACCTAGTTTCTGGGTAAAAAGTTCTGTCACAATCTCCCTTACAGGGAAGCCCAGGTAGCAGAAGAGTGTCACATGAAATAGTTGATGGGATCAGATACATGTCTCAATGCTACCTGTGGGCAGGGATATTGCAAAAGAATTACATCACCTGTGTGTTCAGCCAGGGGATAAGTAGCCCTTTTTTCTATAGGCACAGTCCAGGCAGGACAGGAGAGTTACCTAGGTCTTGGGTCCAGAGTTTTATTCTATAGGGAAACCCCAGTTAAGAGAGACACACCACATAGTCGCTGGACATAGAGATATGTCACAATGACCTCTGTAGAAGAGAGAGAGGAGACTCATATTACACTGATTCTGGCTTCAAAAATATATCACAATGCCTTCTG
This sequence comes from Homo sapiens, assembly GCF_000001405.40. Taxonomy (NCBI): domain Eukaryota; kingdom Metazoa; phylum Chordata; class Mammalia; order Primates; family Hominidae; genus Homo; species Homo sapiens. The sequence continues at coordinate 20,987,703 of NC_000024.10, forward strand.
ATGAAAAGGACAATGCAAACATTTAACATCACCTTAGTGTTGGGACTAGCAGTATGTCACAATCTGTCCTTCAGGCAGAACCTATAAATAAGTGGAGAGTCACATCAGCCAATTGATGGGCACAGAGATAGATCACAATGCCTTTTATGAGCAGGTGTGAGGCAGGAAAAGAGAATCACATCGCCTAAATAATGAGTGCAGCGATATCTTACAATGCTTCCAGTAGTCAGGGACCAGGCAGGAGAGTTACATAACTCTAGTGTTATGTAACAATTGCCCATATGGGTAGAACATAAGTAGAAGGGTTACAACATCTGGTTATATGGCCCAGCAATGCTTCACAACACCAACAAAGGACAGAAGACTCACATTACCTGGGTGCAAGGCTCAGCAATATGTCAAAGTGCTCCCTGTACATTAAGCCAAAACTTAAGAAAAAGTCACCTTGTGATGTGTTCAGCAATATGTCATAGTCTCATCAGTGAACTCAGCTCTGGCAGGAGAGTCAAATTACTCAGGTGCTGGGCAAAAGTGTATGTCACAATCACACCTTCAGGAAGGTCCAGGGATGAGATTAAAAATCCAGCACATGTCCCAGTTCTAGTAAACACATGTCCCAGTTCTAAAAATCCAGCATATGTCCCAGCCTCCCGTATGCTGGGTCTAAGTACCTGAGTCAAAATCTTAATGGTGGACTGGATAACTACATTAGAGCCCTTAATGGTGGACTGGACTCTCCCTAGAGAACTGTGCCATTTTAATGAAGACAGACTAACAGATGTGCTGAATCTTGATCTGAGAGTCACCAACCCACCCCTGTGAGAGATTCACATATAGGAGTCAATTTTCAGACTTTCTACTGCTTCTGGGAATGAGATTCAGAACTTCAACAGTGGGTTGTGTATTCATGAGAGGATAACTATCTTTTATGCATGAAATGACTGCCACAATCTCACTTTCTGGACACATTGGAAAACTCTTTACAATCCAAGGATGTAATGTGGTATGCCTGAGAATCACAATTTGCTCTGAGACCTTTGTGTTGGTTTGGACCCATGATTCTCCATGTGGCTGTAAGCCCAGGCATGACAGTCAACATCTTTCAAATTGGCTGGGTTAAGATTATAGAATCCTCACTGGACTGAGCTGGGTTTAGAAATGAGACACTATTTCAACCGTGGCTGGATGTTTATATGTGTTGGTGAAAATTCAAGCTGCATTCACCTGTGAGACTCAGAGCTTCACTAGTGGGCCCTGCAGTGTGTGAATGTAACTATTCTAATGGTTGGTGGGGTGTTCAAAAGAAAAACATAATTTCTGTAACATCTTATGGCTTAATGTGATATTAAGCATATATCATATTGTAGTAAAAAATGGTAATGCTCTATAACCTCCATGCAAATAGGAAACCTAGAATCTTACTTATTTCCTTAAGCCCAGTTATGAGACAGTATCTCTCCTACTGGCTGTTCGGAGGGATGGGAGTCATCATTACATTTGTGAGCTGCACAGAGGTATATGTCACAATTCACCTCTGTGTTTGGAGGGAATTGTCGTGACAGTCACATCACCTGGGCACCGAACCACAGATATGTAAAAATCTTCCCTTGGAACAGGAATTAAAAGAAATTAAAGAATGTGTAAGCAGAAACTCAGTTGTGTGTAAGAAAACCAAATTCCCCCTAAGAAAGAAAAAGAGCTGGAGTCATTTAAAAATTAAGTGCCTGATTTTCTGTGGCTAGTGTGCCTTATTTCTCCTCTTTTCCCAGGCATGCTGAAGATCCTATGTCTCTAGCTGTGCAGCTGCAAGGTCACTAGACAGATAAACTCAAGTCATAAAACGTGTTTTTTTCTTGAAAAGTAAGAAATTACGTAATGCATGTCTCAATTAATTAAATAACTGTATTTGTTTCTGGCTTTTGTAATATGATTCCCCCTCCACAGATCTCCCCCTGCCCCCAGCCCCACAAAGTGCTTAAAAGGTATCTTAACTCTGTTCAGGGCTCAGTCTTTTGGATGTTTATTCTACTGGGCCAGTGTACTTAAATAATAAATATCCTCCTGAACCCGATCAGTCTCTCTGATTCCTTCTCAATCCCATAACATTTCTGGGGGCTTATGCAAGATCGGAGGTGACAGATTTACTGTCTCCTTTGCCTGCAAGACTAGGACCATTGGGCTGAGGGAGACCTGGCATCCAAAGCACACTGTTAGGGAGTTTCACTCAAATAGAGACTGGCTCTTCCAACATCCTTGTGGCCTGCCCAGCAGTGCAATGAAACCTGGGATGGGGCTGCAGGATGATACCGGCACTTCAGTAACTGTGGTAAGGCATAAGAGCCCAAGGCAGGAAAGCCCATCACATAGGAATGAATGGGAGCTTGATCACCTCTTGGGAACTGGCCAACCCAGAGTGACTGGGGGTGTCAGGAGTGGCCTGACAATTTGGATGAGCCTCATATCCCCATTAACAAAATGAAAGGGAGAAAATGTGCCAATACAGTGGCAAGAGCAGCAAGATAGAGCTTGCTGGCAGGGTGGCAAGAGTGGCTTGCCACCTCAACTGAGAGTGTGTGGGTGCATGTGAACCTACCCAGGACATGAGAGAGGGTTGTTTCATCCAATGAGGAGTCCTCGGGTAGGAGTGGTGTGTGTATGTATGTAAATGTGGGAACCTAACTAGTCTCACCCAAGACATGAGAGAGAGTTGTTTCATCCAATGAGGAGTCCTGGGGCATGGGAGGTGTGTGAAAGTGTGTGAAAGAGATGGTCTTGGGAGAGGACAATGTGGGGAAAGATGTGGGGAGACACAGGTCCCTTAGCATGGGCTTTGTGCTCCAAGGTGAGTGCAGGGGAAATCAGACTTGGATATTGCATAGGGCTGATAGGACCAGCTTTGCAGCCATAGCAGGCTGTAACAGAGGAAGACACGTTCCTGGCTAAGGAGCATCTGAAACTCCCATAATAGGACCCAGTCTTATGGACCCAAGAGTAAAAGTGAGGGTGAAAGTGCAACCCAAGGGAGGAAATGGGAGGGAAAGCATTGAAACTAACTCCTTTGGAGTGCATGATAAAGAATTTTAAAAAAGGATTTAGAGGTAATTGTAGGATGAAACTGGATGTTCAAAAGTTAAGGACATACTTTGAATTAGAATAGCCCTCTTTTAGTGTCAGAGGGCTGGCCAAAAGCACTACAGAGAAATTGGCTGCATGTTGTAAGGTGGTGACTAAGGTCAGAGGACAGCCAGGGCATTCAGACCTGGTCTTTATATTGACTCATATCTAAATGAATGCAGCCCTGCCTAGCAGTTTATTGTAGAATGCTCACTGCTCTCTCTTGCTGAGAGAGAAATCAGCTGCACTGGCTGTGAAAGAGAAAGTCACAGACACTTATAGCACTGCCTAGCCAAAGTGAAAGTAAAAATCAGCTGCCCTGGAAGGTATAGAGACAAAAGAAAAGTCTCAGGAAAGGCAGAAAAAACAGTTTTGCAAGAACCAAAGGAGGGAATAGAGACCCCTCCTCCCTACATTCCAATCTACCTCCCTTCACCAAGGCTAACTGCCCCTAAGGAGTTAAGTTCAAATGGATACACACTCCTAGTCTCACCTGAGAAGGAGAAATCAGAGCTCCAGGAAGTTAACATGAAAGGCTTGAAAAGGCAGGCAGGCAATCTTAGTCCCTGTCGTGCCCAAGTCATGCTTATGCCTCTTAAGAGGACAAGAGGACACCCATTATGACCCAAATGATGCAGTCCAGCTTCAGCACCTGCAAAGATGCCAAGAAACATTTCTGCAAAGGATAAAACATAATAAAAGAAAAAGTCAACCAATGTAAAAAATCTCAGAGGTGCTCCAGGGGCAGATAAAAGCACCAACCAGTTTTATAAAATACTGTGTGAGGCATTTAGTTGTACTCTCCATTTAACCCTAAGTCCGCTGAAAATCAGTTTATGGTGAGTACAGCATTTGCAAGGCAGGCCCAGGGAGATACCAGGCATAAATTTCAGAACTTGGAAGCTCCATAGGCATGAATGCTACTAAGCTTATTAAAGTGGCTACCAAGGTGTATGTTAACTGAGATCAGGAGTCATGGACGTGGGCGTGAATGCAGTCATGAACAAGGCCTGTCTGGACAGGGGTTTAAAAGCTAGCTGAGGCTAAAGAAAAATTAATGTGCATGGTGCAAAAGGAAAGGACACAGGAAGAATAAATTTCAAAAGAATAAGAAGAATGGTCTGGGCCCTGGTATAAAAACACCACCGGCTGAGGGCTACTGCACCCAGGAGAAACCCAAGACCCCCTGCACCTGCTGTGGTAGGCAGGGTATATAATGTCAGGAAAAAAGCTCAAATCTACTCTAAAAGTGTCCAGTATTCAAGCTTTTATACAAGTCAAAAAGAAAGATGGCTTAGTAGTGAACAAATGCAGGCTGTTTGTGCACTTTCCTATTCTAATCTCCAGGCATCAATCAAGAGAGTTCTTAAGGTCAGTAAGGTTCTGCCATATTTAGATCCCAAATTTCTTGCTCATGGTTAAAACATTATATGAAGCAACAAAGAGGAAGAAAAAAGGAGCCCCTCCTCTAGGAGACCAACCAGGAGAAGACTTTTAAAGAAATCAAAAAAGCCTTGACACAGTCCCCAGCTTTAGGACTGCCAGATCTAACTAAGCTTTTCTTGTATGCCCACAAGTGAAAGGGAGGCCATAGAGATTCTAACTCAAGCCATAAAGTCATGGCATTACCCAGTGACATGCCTACCCAGGCAATTAGATTCTGTGGCACTTGGTTGGCCTCCTTGTTTTAAGCACTAGCTGCCACTGCCCTACTGTTACAAGAAGCTAATAAACTGACTTTAGAGACTGTGAACACCCTAAACCTGGCTACCTTGCTCCTCATCAAGTCAGTGCCAGGAGGCCCCCTTCATTGCTGTTTGGACATGGTAGATAAAGTGTTCTCAAGCCAGAGAGATTTAACAGATCGGCCCCTAATGGACCCAGATATTGAACATTTTACTGATAAAAGCAGTTTCATACTAAAGGTAGTCTGCCAAGCTGGGTACACAGTGGTGACTTTAGACTCAGTAGTAAAAGTGCAGTCTTTGCTTACAGAAATTTCTGTTTCAAAAGCAGAAATAATGGCTCTGACAAGAGATCCTAGAACAAGAACATAAGACAAATATTTACACAGATTCCAAGTATGCTTCTGCCACTTTGCATCTTCATGAGGCTATTTACAAAGAAAGAAAGAAAGATTTTTAATGGCTGGAAGTAAAGAAATAAAGTTCAAGGAAGAAATTCTATAGCTCTAAGATGCTGTAGGGGTCTCAATACAGATGTCAGTGATGCACTGCAAGAGGTACCAAAAAGCAAAAACACTAAAGGCTAAAGAAAATAGAAAGACAGTCAAAGAAGCAAACCAGGCTGCAATGACAACTCTACCTTCTAAAGAGGAAGCCTTAGTTATGCCTCTCCTCCTGGAGATTCTTCTCCTAGAGATCCCAAGCTACTCTCCAAATGAAAGGGCTTGGTTTGCCTGGAAAAATAAGAACTACATTGAAGAAGAGTGGTAAAAATTCCCCAATAGGAGGCTAGCCATACCTGAAATGGCGGCCCCCAGATTTGTAAAACAGTTCAACCAAGGAATTTACATGGAAAAAAAAATTAAAGACATTATTAAGGCATCATTTCTATGTGTCATGGCTCACTGCTATTACTCGAGCCATTTGTAAACAAACAGTGTTTAACTTGCACTCAAAACAATCCATGACAAAGGCCTACTTGGTCTACAGGAGTTCAGGAAACAGGAGCCATGCCCCGTAAGAAAACTGTTTTTGCCCTGTAAAAAACTATGTACATCACAGAATTGCCTGGAGAGGGGGGCTATCAGTACATGGTGGTGTTCATTTACACCTTTTCAAGATAAGTCAAGGCCTTCTCCATCCAGACAGAGAAGGCACTAGGTGTCAGCAACGTGTTGTTAGGACACATTATTCCCAGAAGTGGACGGCTTCTAACTCTAAGATCAGACAATGGACCAACATTTGTGGCTGAAATAGTTCAGAAATTAACTTGACTATTTAAAAATAAAGTGGAAATTACATACAGCCTACAGGCCACAGAGCTCAGGTAAAGTGGAGAGCATAAACCAGACACTGAAACAGCTGCTGAAGCACTTTTGTCAAAAAACTCATCAAAGGTAGGATCTGGTCTTGTCCATAGTCCTCCTCCAAGTCAGGTGCACCCCCACCAAACAAACTGGGCATTTGCCTTATAAGATTTTGTTCAGCTGGCCATCCCCCATCGTCAGTCAAATTAAAGGTAATCTCTGTAAACTAGCACAACTAACTTCAAGAAAGCAAATGAAGACTTTAAATATGGCCATGTGAAAAATGTATGACTAGGTATTAAAAAAATGCCTATAAATTTAACAGACCCAGTACACCCTTTCAAACTTAAGGACTTTGTTTAGGTTAAAAATAGAATCCAACCACACTCAGACCCATAGAGGATAGGCCTCATACTGTGATCCTGTCTATTCCCACTGCTGTTAAAGTTGCAGGTGTCACACCTTGGATTCATCATAGCTGGCTGAAACCAGTGACAATAGTGACTCCCGATGACAACCAGTGGATTAACCAACAAGAATCAGATTATGCCACTTGAATAGTCCTACAGCAAAACCCAACCACCGGTAAGAAGGACAACTGCCCTGCTAGGGCCACATCAGAGGCTGGTCAGTCTATGCACTGCTGAAGCTTGAGGATCCTCCAAGCTCTGCTCTAGGCACATCTCAGAAGCTGACTAGTCTATGCACAGCTGAAGCTAAGAGGACCATCTCCAGTTAACTAAATGTGGATACAATTTATAAGCCTAGTTATAATTCTGTCAAACTGATTGTTCTGTTGTTATGTTATTACTGAAAATGCTGCAAATGTCTATGCCAAGAGGAAGGTTTGCTGTGCCCATGTGTAGTGTAAGCATGTTTCTATTACATATACTAATATTGTTAACATTTCGGCCTATACTAAAAACAGGAAAAATCTCTAAAAGGATGTCCACACTGTGTACACACTACCGGGGTAGGAATACAATAGTTGAAACTCCACTGTACCATACCTACTATGAATGTGCAAAAACCAATTTAAGAATCTGCACATACAACCAGACCACATATTCAGTCTGTGACCCAGACAATAATCAGCTATATGTATGTTATGACATACCCTAAGCTCTTACCCTATGAATTCTGGTGTGAGGTACATATTAAATTAGAGAAACAAATAAAGGAGAGCTTATAGCTTGAACAAAAGAAGCCTCTCCCTCCTATAAAGGACCTATTTCCATGCACTTTGATGCCTGCCATGCCTCATATGTTCATAATTCTAAAAAACCGGAAGCAGTCTGCAATGGTTTGACATAAGAGAGGCTTAGCAGCAGCAGTCCTAAACATCTGTACAGAGAACCACAAATAGGTTGCCCAGGCTGTAATATTGCATGGCTTATTCTAACACAGCTCCAATACTTATATTCGGGAAAGGCTGCTCAGCTAAGTACTATGTCAGCCAAACCAAATTGTAAGACAAGGACATGCAATCCTTTAAATTTTACTATCTTAAAGCCAGAGCAACCTTTTTGGTCTACAGGACAGACAGCACTATTATGAGTTGATAGATAAGTAGCAGGTCTTGGAATTCTACTACTAATTGTCAAAAAGACTAGAAGGACTCAGATGCATCCAACCTCACAATTCTGGGTCTATAAGTCATTCTATTAGCATTTTGATTAGTCAGTTCATGATGTTCCCCCATCAACAAAAAACCTATTTTCTCAACTAGCTGAAAACATAGCTGGCAGGTTAGGAATTTTCTAATGCTATGAATGTGGAGGAACTAATATGGAAGACCAGTGGCCATGGGAGGCAAAGAAATTAATGCCAAAATATAATTTGACTTTACCTAACCCTGCCAGTAAACCAATAGCTTCAGCCAGTATTTGGTTGTTAAAAATTCTCCATAATTGGAAAGTACCATATCAACCAATGGAGAAAGGCTTTCACAAAGGCAGTAGGAGAAACAACCTGTCTAAGGCAACAGTGCTATGATGACATTAAAAACAAAACTCTACAGAGAAATGCCCAGAACAACTCCCACTTACCAGATCCAAACACTTTCTCTTGATTCTCTACTCAAAGCCACACTTGGCATCAGCTAGAGGCTCCAAATGCTTGGAAGGCACTCTCTGTTCTATATTGAATCTGTAGAGCACAGACGTATTGGCAAATGACAGCTAAATGGACAGGGGCATATGTTTTAAGAACAATCAAGCTATCCTTCTTTCTAATTCCTCTAAAACAAGGGGAAAGCTTAGAATATCCAGTTTATGATATGTCACAATTCTTCCCATGGACAGGGAACCAGCAGAAAAAGAGTCACGTTTTAAATGATGGATGCAAAGATATGTCATAAGGCCTCCTGTGGGCAGATCCCAGGCAGGAGACTCTAACCCTCTAAATTTTGGGCCCAGCAATATGTCCAAATATGCAAAATATGCAAGGAACCAGAAAAAAAAAAGAGTCACATCACCTAGATGCTTTGTCCACTGATATTTCACAATCCCTTTTTTGACATGGCTTGGGCAGATGAGAAGAGTCATAATCCTGTAGTCTCCATAATACACCATGACATAACCGTCTCATTGTCTGAGAGTATCCCTTTGTTCTACATCCAAGAAGATTAAGGAGTGAGGACATAAGGGTGATGCTGGAGTGAAAGTTTAATAAGCAAAAGAAGAAAACTCTCTGCTAGTGGAGACGAGGCCTCAAATGGGTTGCCCACTATAAGGCTGGGATCCTGGTATTTTAGGGGTTGTGGAGAGAAAGGAATGTGCGTAGTCTGCAGGCTGTCTTAAAGAATACATGTTTCAACTTGACCCAGGATCTTGGCTCAGGACCAATCAGAGGCTGAAGTGAAAATCTGGCCTAGGATCTTGGCTTAGGATCAATCAGAGGCTGAAATGATGATTTATAGAGGCTGCATTTACAATCCAAAAAGGAAAGTAAATAAGTAAGCGGCCCACGAGAACACACCAGAGCCCACTGTGTTTGTGCCCAGCAAACAAAAGGAGAAGGAACAACAAAGGCATTTCTATGTCAGGCTGTGTTTCTGTATCTGAGTAAGATGGAGGTTTGTGCAAGTTTTTCTCCAAATGGGCCAGAGGCTCTCTTATCTGTGCATCCGTGGGCATGTCTTCAGGCACAACCGCTGTTAGAATTTTCTTATTGATGCCTGCAGCTTGATTTTTTCCCAGGCTTCTTTTTATGTTACGTGGGGATGAGGCGCTGACTTGTGAGTCAGGGGCTTTCTAGGGACACTTCCCTTGCTGTCTACATAAGGCAAGTTAGCTAACTTCTCTCAATATCACCTAGGTAGTAAATGAAAAAATAATCATATATATGTGTTATAATACACCGGGATGGTGGGTCCATGCAAGAGATTTACATCACCTTGGTGTTGAATCCTTTTATGTAGCAAAATACACAATAAATACAGGGCCCAAGCAGGAGAGAAAATTCACATCATCTGATTGCTTAGTCCAGCTATATGTCACAATCTTTCTTGTGGACATAGTCTACATAAGACATGTAAGTTTCATCAAATAGTGATAAGCCTAGAAAGGTGTTGCAGTGCCCCCTTTGAGCAGGAATCAGGCAGAAGAATCACATCAACCGTATGTTGGTGTCAGTGATAAGTCACTGTCTCATCTGTGGGCATGGCTCAGCCAGGAAAGGATAGTAATATTACCATTGTGCTGGGCCCAGAGATATGTCACAATCTCTCCTATGGACAAAGTCCAGGTAAAAAGCCAGAATCGCATCAAACAGTAGATATGTTCAGAGATATGTCACAACTGTTTATTTAAAAAGGGTCCAGACAGGAGGCTCATATCACCTTTCTCCTGGGCCCAGCTGTATGTCACAATGTCTCCTGCAGGCAGGACAAAGGCAAAATGATAACATCACCTTGGCCTAATAATATGTCACAATCTTTTCTGAGGGCATAAGATAGGAAGAAAAGAGTAACTTCAGGAAGATTCTGGGTGCAATATGTCAAAATTTCCACTGTGAGCAGCAGTCAGTCAGTAGAAGAAATTCACATAACCTGTGTGCTGGGCAAGAGATAATCACCATTCTCTTAGTTTGTAGGGCTTAGGAATTAGATTTATACCATCTGGGTGTTGGACCCAGCAATATTGCACAATGGACTATATGGACACATCACATTCAGGAGAGTCACATAAACTGAATGTAGGGGCCAGCAATATTTCATAATACCACCAGTGTGCTGGGAACAGGGAGGAGATTCAATAACTCATGTGCTGTACTGAGACATACATCACAATAACATCTACAGAAAGTCCCAGGAATAAGATTTACCATCTTGCAAAACTTTCAGTTTTAGGTATGAAAGTCAACACCTCCTGTATATTGAGTCTAACTGCATGATTCACAGCCTCAATGGTGAACCACATCTGTGAATGACAGCTTCAATCTCTCCTGTAAATTGTGTCCCTTTGGTGGAGTCACAGCCTGACAGGTGGTTAAATCTTAGTCTGAGAGTCACCAGCCTACCTGTATACAAGATCCATGTACACAATTCAATTTTACAGCTTTAAATTGCCTTTGAATATGAGATTCAGAACAACAGTGTGTTGCATTTGTCCAGAATTATGACAATCTATATGGTTAGCTGGGTAAAAATAAGAGTGTCACAATCTCAACAGTGTGCTGGATTCTGTTAGAACACTCTCTAATGCCACCTAAAGGTGTTATTCATGAGAGTGTGTATAAGAGTAGAAATTTTCCCTGAGAACTTCATGCTTATATGGACCTATGATTATGTTTGTAGCACTAAACCTAAATATGAGAGTCAACATCTCTCCAATTGGCTAGGTTTGGATATGAGAGTG